>NC_000023.11:12440518-12743548 GCF_000001405.40 Homo sapiens
GCCAGAGGTGGGGAAGCTGGACTTTGATATTACTTGCATCTCTCAGTTAGTGATTAAGGGGTACTTTCAGCTCTCTCTAGTAATTGGCAATGCAGGTCCAAGGGCCCTAGGGAAGCCCTGTAAAGAAGATCTGCAAATGCAAGTCATTGAAAAGGAAAACACATAGGGTGTGTGGGGACTTGGGAGGGGGGGGAGCAGCAACAGAAATGAAAAAGAGGGGATCTGAGGAAACTTGGAAAGGACACCAACTGTATGCACTATAGTGCCCTATAAACTTACTTATAGAGTACCATGTATGGTTGGTGACAGATTAAGAGGCAATGAGAAACAGGATTCTCAGTGAAGAAACCAAAGAGATAGATAGTGAAGGGCCCTACTCCCCAAAATGGTAAATGTCATAATTCTTCTGATAGTTCTAGCTATTAGAATTGCCAAATGGTAAATGTCATAATTCTTCTAATAGTTGTTCTAGTAGTTCTAACTAGATTTTGATGCTCATTTAGGAGGTTGGGTAGCATCTCCTCTCCAGTTTCATTTGCATGTATCTGCGAATAATTCAGAAAGACTGCAGCCCCTACAGAACAACCTCCTCTTCACTGTGCTGTTGAAAGCCCAGCTGGAGGCAACTGTAAACTTACAATCGCCAGCCCTTGCAGGACATCTCTTAGGGAAACTACAGAGCATAATTTGGAAGTCCATGAAGTGCTACATGGCTTTGTCTAAAATCTCATGGGGAGAAATTGAATGGCCTTAAACTGATGCCCAAATTGCATATTTAAAAAACCCTCTAATTTGGAGGAAGTCTCCCCAGGAGGCTGTCTCTGCTGCTTGGCCTATAAAACTCTAAATATTACAATTAAAAATAACAAAGTACACAACTGGAAAATAACATCTATTGAAATCATAATTTATTCATTTGTTTGTTTTTTTTCCCCCTTCTCTCTCCTTCAAATAATACCTCCACGACAAAAGGATCCTCTAGTATCACACTCACTCCCCCTCATTCCTGTGGGAGACTCCCAGGATGCAAAATGATAGGCAGCTGGGGCAGGGCATTTTGCCACTGCCTTCTGCATTATTTAGAGGCAATAAGGAGCAAACTGAGAAGCTGGGGAAAGAAGAAAAGAGTCTTTGGCAAGACACATTGGAGTATTTCTTTTTAAGAATTGAGTGTTTGGGAATAAATGAATGGTGTAGTAGCAAAGTATAGAACAAGGTCTCTCAATTCTGTCAACTTCCAGGTACTAAGGCTGTCACAATGATAATGACATGCCTTTTAACTATTGAGCCCCTCCCTCCAAGAAGTTCCACCTAAGGAGATTATTTTAATGGAACCATGGTTCTTGAAACTGACCACTAGGGAGCAATTCTCATCGATATAGTTTAGCAACACATAGCTCTTTAGTGACTTTAGCCACAAGAATTTGGGGAGTTGGGATGTTTCCAAGCACAGTGTAATGAGCTCCTTTCAGAGAGGCACAGCTTTCTAGAGCAGAACTTCCCAATCACTGTGCTACAAATGGATAGAGGCAGGGTAACCATATGTCACCGTTTGCTGGGGCAGTCTTGGTTTATATCTGTAGTCCCAGCAAAATTATTAATAGTGCCTCCTTTCACTAGAACCATTGTCCTAGTTTGGATGATAAATATGAATGATAAAATATATGGTTGGTTATATGTGTGCCAAGATTTTTATCTCCCTAGTCTTCAGGGTGGCTAGAGTCACAGGGCTGTTTGCCTCAGGCTGTGAGCAATCTTGTCTATTTTGTTCCAGTCTGCTATACAAATATTAACAGTGGGCACAGGATAACTATGAACACTGCCATGGAGACAAGGTGGTCTTAGGTGAAAGAAGAAATAAGTACAGAGAAAATTAACATCTAGGATGCAAGTAATGCAGCCAAACTTTCCTTGTGAATTTGACAAATAGAAGTACTTGTGGTTCTCCTGTAAAGACCGTCTAATTCAAAACTGTCCAATAAAAACAAAATGCAACCAAAACCATAAGATACCACTTTACATTCTTTAGGATTCCTAACACTAAAAAGTCAGAAAATTACAAATGTTGATGAGGGCATGGAGAAATTAGAAACTTCGTACACTTCTGGTGGGAATAAATAATGGTGCGACCATCTTGGAGAACAGTCTGACTGGCTGTTCCTCAAAATGTTACACAGAGAGTTATTATATAACCTGGTAGTTCCACTCCTAGGTTTATACCCAAGTGAGATGTAAACAATGTCCACACAAAACCTAGTACATGAATGTTTATAGCAACATTATTCCTAATAGACAAAACATGAAAACAACACAGATATTCATAAAGTGATGAATGATAAAGAAAATAGGATGTATCCATACAATGGAATATTATTCAGCCATAAAAAGAGTGACGTATTGGTACATGATGCAACTTAGATGGACTTAAAAAGCATTATGAGAAGCAAAATAAGCCCATTGCAAAAGACCACATATTGTATGATTTTATTTGTTCGAAATATCCAGAATAGGCAAATCCACAGAGACAAGGATTAGATTAGTAGTTTCCAGTGGGCTGCAGGGAGGGGAGAATAGGGAGTGACTGCTAACAGGCAAAGGGTTATTTTTGGGTTTGATGAAAGTTTTCTAAAAATAGAAAGTGGTGATGGTTGCAAACTCTGTGAATGTAGTAAAAATCAGCGAGTTGTACACTTCAAGAGAGTGAATTATATGGTATGTAAATCATATCTCAATAAATCCATAGCTTAATATGTATATACAACGCAAGCCACATGTATAATTATAAATTTCCTACTAGACACATTGATAGGTGAAAAAGTGCATATGATTTTAATAATGCACTTCATTTTTAAACTATATTCAAAATATCATTTTAACATATAAGCAATGTTTTTTTAAATTGGTAAAATACTGTACATTCTTTTTATTGTACTCAGTGTTAAAAATTCAGTTTTACACTCACAGTACATCTCAACTGAGACTAGCCACATTTTAAAAACTCAAATATCACATGGTACTGGCGGCCACCATAGTAGAGGGCGTGGGTCTAAGTAATAGTTGTTAATAGCTGCTAGCTTATGGGTTTTGTGTGTGTAATAAGGCTACATCTGAAGACTAAAATAGCCTAAGCTCTTGAGAGAGTTTAGTAGAAGTGGAAACAAATGAAAACATGGTTTCATTGGGTTGTGATTATTCTTAGGGCCAGCTTGTTTGTACCTTCTAGCGTTATTGGTTATGCTGCCAAAGTAAATGTGGGACGCAGATGTTTTTGCTTTTTGTGGAAAAAAACACAAAGATACTAATTGAACCCATTTACCATTCATATTTTGACCTCCTGGATAAGTGTGTCCCAGCCACATGGTGAGTTAGCCTTCTTTGAAAAACTTCAACTTGCATATCATTTGCGTCATTTCTCTACTTTCTGAATCAGCCTAATACTCATTTTGACACTTCTAACTTATCTTGAAAGTCCCCGTTTTTTCATGTTCTAATTTTCTGTCCACCTGATGGTTTTCGGTTCCTTCAGGTCTTGACAGCATAGTATAGAACACATCCTAACTCACTGTATGTTGTTCTGCCCATCCCCTGATTTCAGAGAGATGTAGGGTTTTCATTCTCCTGTAGGGAGACATAGGGGTTATTCATGAAGCAGAGAAAGAAAAAAAAAAATAGAATATGGGGAAATAAGCAGATCTCTTTCCAAAAGCTGAGGTTTTCTAAGGAATATGGAAAATAAGAGGTTCCTAAAGGAAAATTTCTTGCCTGACCAAAAACATAATTATTTCTTTCATTAATTTAGGTGGATGTGTGTTTATGTTGACAATAGAGAATAAAGGGGGTGGTAAGCTCTATGCAAAGAGGGCTGTAAAGAACAGCTGTCAAGACATTTTCTTATGAGAATGAGAAGAGAACTACCTTTGCAACTTCAAAAATGGAGACATGGTATTTGTACTTTTTCTTTTGCTACTAGACAGTGAAGTTCTTGGGACCTAAGGGCAGGGTTTTATCTTGTTCCTCTCTTTCTCCACATCTTAGTCCATTTTGTGTTGTTATAACAAAATACCAGAATTGCCTAGAATACTGGGTAATTTATAAACAAGAGAAATATATTGGCTCACAGTTCTGGAGTTGGGGAGTCCAAGAGCATGACACTGACATCTGGTGAGGGTCCTCTTGCTGTATCATTGCATTATGGGAGGCAGAAGAGCAATAGAGTGCAAGAGAGCAAGAAGGGGCCAAACTTGCTTTTATAACAAGCCTACTCTCAAGATAACTAACCCACTCCCATGATAAGGACATTAATCTATTCATGACCAAATCACCTCTCATTAGGCACCACCTTCCGACACTGTTGCATTGGGGATTAAGTTTCCAACACATGAACTTTGGGGAACACATTTAAACCTTAGCACTGCAGTACATATTTCACTTATTCTACAAGCAACCATCCTGACCTGAGTTTGACTTGGGAAAGTTATTACAACAAAGTTCCTGTTCTTGATCCTTTGGGAGCTCTCTCATTATCCCTGTCTTAGAACTTGGTTTAGCTGGCTCCAGGGCTTTCATGATGGATGAGGTGTGGATTGGTTAGTTCCTCTTGCAATGGCCACTGCATTAGTTATCATAAAATTTCATGTAGAGCAGTGTTTCTCAAAGAGTGGTCCATGGTTGGGCATCAACAGCATCACCTGGGAATTTGATAGAAATGAAAAACTGTAGGTCCCTCTACAGATTTACTGAATCAGAAAATATGTTTTAACAAGCCCTCCAGGTGATTGTAATGTGTGCTAACGTTTGAGAATGCTGACGTAGAGCATTCTGTGCTACATTGGTAGTATCTCATGCTTCACTTGAGGGGCTTTAAAAATAAATAAAAATGGAAATTGTGGAAGAACTCCACCTGACAAAAGTTCAAATAGTAGAATTAGAGAAAAGATGTGCAAAAACAGATTTGGGAATAATAATCAGATCATTTGTTGAATGCCTGTCACGTATAAGACACTCTTCTAGCACCTTTTGCTTACATTCTCTCTATTCCTGACAACAAATGTAAAAGGTCGGTAGTTATATATCCATTTATATCCCTATTTTATAGCAGATGCAACTTATTCAAAAGAGGTTAAGTAATGCATTCACGGTCAACAGCTAATAAGAGGCAGCAGTGAAATGGAAGTTGAAGCAAAGTCTGTGCACTTATAGCAACTAGACAGGAATAAATATGAATTTTGAGCTGTTGGTAAGTGGGGTATTGTTATTATGTACTTTTTTATTATGAAAAATGTTTCATGGCTGACATGGCATTTCTACTCTGTTTTAAAAGATTTTGGCAACAGCCATGAGCCAGTTCAACAATGTATGTCAGATTTGTTTAAAGGATTTTCAAACTGTAGCACAAAGACCAAGCCTGTGCAGGTCTCACATGTTCTTGTGTTTGATAACATCTATTGTTTACAAAATGAGAGATGCTTTATCACAAGGGTTGTTCAATGGATTGGGCTTCTTACTGCTAATGTGACTTGGGTCTGTGAACTCAAAGATGAGAGTTGAGAGCAAGAGAGAGAGAAATTGTAAACTCTTATTCTCAGGGACTGGGTAGAAAAGGGAGAGGCTATCTAGACCACTGACTTTTAATCTTGTTTGATCAAAACCCACAGTTAGAAATACATTGTATAATACATTTCAGGACATACATATGTACATATTTATAAAACAATCAATAATGAACAGAATATTTGTAGTTAGTATGTATGACAAACACTGATGCTTGCTATTTTAGTCTATTTAACTTTTCATACTAGCCACCACCCACTGCAGAGATTTTGCATTCCACTAAGTAGCAACTTGCAATACTGAAAATATTAGAATATTGAAAAACATTATTTAGAGCACACATTTTGGGGCAATTGAGGTGTTTTGAGGGCCTGGAATAAGGAATTAGTATTCCTCTAGTGGGAAGAAGATAATCAAAGAGGCTCTCATCTTGAATTGTAGCACCCATTATTCCCACGTGTTGTGGGTGGGACCTGGTGGGAGATAATGGAATCATGGGGGTGGTTCTCCTACACTTCTCTTGTGGTAGTGAATAAGTCTCATGAGAGCTGTTGGTTTTATAAGGGGGAACGCCTTTTGCTAGGCTCTTATTTTCTCTCTTGTCTGCCACCATGTAAGATGTGGCTTTTGCCTTCCACCATGATGGTGAGGCTTCCCCAGCCATGTGGAACTGAGTCCATTAAACCTCCTTTTGTCTACACATTACCCAGTCTCGGGTATGTCTTTGTCAGCAGCATGAAGGCTGACTAATACACCAGGGGTGGCTCCACCCCTTTTGGGGCATTTGGAAATGGCTATGAGCATGATGTAGCTGTCGCAATGAGAGCGAGCACTGCTGGCGTTTGGTGGTTGGGGGATGGAATGCTGACTGTGGTGAGGAGCGTGGGCAATCTTGCATAGCAAAGTTTGTCCTGCCCAGCATGCCCATAGCTCTCCAGTGGAGGAATGCAATGTGGACCTTTTTGCCACCAAGCCAGTCTGGTCCCTCAGATCCCTAGCAGCCAAAGACTAGATCCCAGGGACTCTTTGGGCTAGGCTCCTGTGGTTCCAAATGACGAAATTAATACCCCAGTCCTAAATCAGTGATGGCAAGAAACCTATCAGGGAAGCAACATGGATGACCAAGGCAGAATTTCTCAACCTCGGCACTGTTGATATTTGGGGCCAGATAATTTTTTGTCCTTGAGAGCCACCTTGTACTTTGAAGTATATCTAGCAGCATCCCTGGCCTTAATGCTAGACGTCATAAGCACTGCTTTTCACCCCCCAGTTGTGACAACCAAAAGTATTGCCAGATATTGCCAAGTGTCCCCAGAAGGGCAAGTCCCCCTCATTAAGAATCACCAGTCTAAAGTAATGAAGAGAACGCCAGACAACTTTTATTAAGAATCACCAGTCTAAAGTAATGAAGAGAACACCAGACAACTTTTTAAATGAATTTCATGTAAGAACAGGCACTTCACAAGTAGCATGCCTGGAACAAGCCTGCCCCCTCCTGCAACTTTTCTGAGTCAGATGGAATCAATGCAACACGTCAGTGGTTTATGGTCTTTTATATTTCCCTAGGTTGCAAGTGGTTAGTCATTTTACAGCCTACCTACGTCATGGATCCAGGGCCTTATTCTGTTTGTTTACATGTGAAATATATAAATTGAAGTCTGTACAGATTCCTGGTAAAATCCAGTTAAGACAATGCATGACACATGGGGCCACTGCAGTTATTATCAAAACAACATACAAAAATAAGCATCATCCCTCTGTTAAGGTCCCTTAATTCTCACTGTGTTTCCTTTCTATTTCATCACATCAAACTAAATGCAGTGTTGCCTTCGAACATCTGCTTTCATAATATAAAGCTGTCTTTTCAACATAAATCTTACTTTCAACTTCCCTAGGAAACATGCTTTGGATTTAGGTGTCACGGGTGGTGACTGTCCTTGTAGAGGACTGTCGTGGTAAACAAAGGTGATATTTGTAGAATGGTAATTAATCACATGCAGCAGGTAATGCTTGAATCTTTTTAGAATCCTCTGACTGTGCATGTTCAGGGAATGATGGAGTGTTTGTATACTCAGTCAAAGTGAAAACATTTTGTTGTTTCCAGACAAAACAAGCCTCTCTTAAAATTTATTGAATTCCTATTTCTGATAAATGAAATGATCTATGCATTTGTTAGAATTTTGTCCTTTTAACGGTAACTACATTTAGAGCTGAAAAGAATAAAAATTTATTATTTAAAATTCATGTTATCGGACAATAAGAGGATCACAGGATTTGAGTAAAAAAACAAAAACCAAAAACAAACAAAAAACAACTACCTAATTCTTGGCCCCGAAACACTTTAATAAATAAAATGAGCTCCTTTCCTGTAAATAAAAATTGCTAAAATGTACAATGTAGACTAGGCAAATTCAAGACCAATAAGTACAGTTTTGGTCCTTCTGAATTTTATTACTTCTGCCATTGATTGAGTTAAGCAATCTTTGGCTGGAAAGAAAATAACATTCCTGGCATATGCCTAGGAAATATTAAATTATCCAGGCAAATGGGTTTGTTTTTTTGTGCAAGGAAGACTAATAGGAATTATTGCTATCTTCATGGAAATACAGGGATCATAGGTCGCTTGTACTGAAATGAAGGTGCTTCTATTTCATGCTCTTAACATTTACATATTTGATTTCAAATTAAGTGATATGTTGAAGATTAAACATCTTTGGATACAATGAGTGTGGAAAGACACATCTGATCTCATGTCAGTCTTTTCCTACTGAGTAGTGCTACCAATCCAATATACACACAACCATACTCTCCATGTTGAGCAGGCATGGACTTAATGTCCCCTCTGGTTGATGCTTAAGGGTGCTTAGGATCCCGCTTGAACAGCCCACCTCTGCTCAGAAAACTAGCTATCTGATGGCCAAGCACCCTGGATACAAGGCTTAAAGGAATTAATTCTCTATTTCATACCTGGCTGATCTGTTCATACATGCAGAAATCCATGAGTGTCCCATGCTATTTGAAATTCTAAATGAAGGAATTTTCACAATACGTATTTAGGCCAAACTGATTGTGGTCAACCCTCTGCTCTCTGAGAAATTCTTTAGAGAGAAAAACCATAGGATAAACAAATACTGGATTTAGCAATCAGAAAAATTATTCTTAAAACTTTTTTTCTAACTTCCCAACTGGGCAACTGTGGACAAGTTGCTCAAACTTTTTGATCCTCACTGTCCTTGAGTGTTAAGTAAGAGTTACCATTTTAACTACCCTATATCTCAATATTGTTGTCAGTATTTGAGACAGTAATATATCTCAAATTGCTTTGGAAGCTGAGTGCACTCAAAATATAAGATACTGTTGTCGTTTTTTCAGTAACTGAAATTGGATTATCAGAATGACTGGACTTGGAGAATTAGCCAGAAAAATTTTTCTTAAAATAATGGAATAATCCAACAAAATATAATACTGACACAAATCATGCTACTACTAATAATGATGCTTTTCACTTATTTAGTACAGGATAAAGATTGTTGTTCTCTCTGTTTATGATAACTTTAGCCAGTTTGTCTCTTGCCTTCATCTTGGATTCTGATTTTATGTTTCACTACTCATGATATCCTTATTTATAGGCAGTTCAGGCCAGGCAGGGTGACTCACGCCTCTAATTACAGCACTTCGGGAGACCAAGGTGGGAGCATCACTTGAGCCCAGGAGTTTGAGATCAGCCTTGGCAACATAGGGAGACCACCATCTCTATTAAAAATTTAAAAATTAGCTGGACACGGTGGTACATTCCCATAGTCCCAGCTACTCAGGAGGCTGAGATGGGAGGATTTCTTGAGCCTGGGAGGTGGAGGCTGCAGTGAGCCATGTTTGCGCCACTGCACTCCAGTCTGGGTGGGAGAATGAGACCTTGTCTCAAAAGAAAAGAAAAAAAAAGAAATTATAGGCAGAAATTATTTGAACTGGCTCTCCTTTTATTCCTGTGAAGAGATTTTCTAAATCCATTGTGCTAATATTAGGGGAGAGAGATGTATTATTTAAAAGCCAAAGGAATGATTAAAAAAAAATAGAAACAAAAGCTACAAAATTAATAAAAAGAAATCATAGGGATAAAACATCCTAACTCTCTCTGTTTGGGTTAGGTTCTATGACCTGTAATAGAAAATTAATAGTAACAGTTATATATAATAATGATAATAAACAGTGGTGTTAAAAGACAGAAGTTTATCTGTCCTATTAAAAAAAAGGGAAGTTGGGTAGGACAAGGCTTGGTTGGACACTGCACAGTCACCAAGGGAACTTTCTGTTCTACCATTATAGTGAATTGCTTTTAATTTCAAGTTCATCTCATGTTGTAAGGTAGCCTATGAATCCATGACACTGACCTCTACATTCCAGAGAATAGGAAAAGGATTGAGACAGAAATAAGGAAAGACATATGATTTCTCAGCATAAAGCAAATTTCATGGAAATCCCATTCAATATTTTCACTGCAATATCATTGCCCACAGCTTAATCACATGGCTTCAGTGAGCTCCAAGACTGGAAACATAGCCTTTTAACTGCTCATACTCATACTTTTTGAAAGAGAGATTATTTTACCAAGGAAGAAGGGAAGCTGACTATTGGATAGCAGCCAGCAAAAACTGCCATAGTTTTCCTCAAATAAACATGTAACCATCTACTAAACTGAGATAGAATGTTTGATGGGGACCTTCTATGCCCAGAATAATTGCCAATAAATCAATGGAAATAACTCTTTGGTTTGGACTCAGTGTTGTTCTATTTATCCAAAAAAAAAAAAAAAAAAAAGAGAGAGAGAAACAGACTGAGAGACATAAACTAGAGTACATTAAGCCAGTGGCCCCTCATCTTATTCAGGAAAAAAAAAAAGGCGAAGTCCTCACAGTGAATGGTCGACAAGGCCCTTCAGGACCTGGCCTATTACCTCCATGACATCATTTCCTACTGCTCATTCCACTTCAGATCCACCAGCCTTAAATGTGGCAAGCAGATATCTGCCTTAGGATCTGCGCACTGGCTCTTCCATTGGACCTGAATCACTTCCCCTGGTATTTGCATGGTTCATGTCTTCTCCTCCTTCAAGTCTTTGCTCGGATTCCCTCTTCTCATTGAAACCTGCCTGATCCAGAGAGACCAGACGTTTTGCCTTCTTTTATTCATAGTATTTAGAACCCTCAGCTCATCCCTGCCCCCCTCCAATGAACAGATAATTAATGACACTTTCCTCTTTTTCAGACAATACCCAATTGTGTTTGGAAAATGGTTTTGAAGAATCTCTTTTGGTCTTTCATGGGTTTTCTAATTTTCTCCTTCCATGAGATACATTTTCCGTCTGTTTAATTGGGAAGAGAGTTGAGGGACATTTTCAGAAGGTGTGGTCTTGAAGGAAAGGGACAAAGATGGCATACATATCATATTTTGACTGATACCTATTTCTGTGTATATAAAAATATGCTCACAGGTCAAGAACCAGGAAAAGGTCTTTAAATATGTAATATCTTTGCTTGTATTTGTCTCAAAAGTTTTCAGGCTGTTAGCACAGTCATTTCTTAGTTTACATTGTAAAACCTTGTTTTCAAATTTTATATTGCTTACAGCTTCCCACTATTGATACCCTCAGTGATATGTGTGTATGCCCGTGTGTGTGTGTGTGTGTGTGTGTGTGTGTGAATTCTACTTACTTTCCTCTTTTCCATTCCTGTCTGTGTCCCAAGTGTTTGCATATTAAATACATTTTCCTTTTTTTCCAGCCTCAATAGCTACTTTATTTTTTCTGAGTTCACTTCTCACCTTCTCCTTGAACTTTTATCTCTAGCAGCTCTATTCTTTCTCTTTTCTAATCTTTTCCCGCTACCTTTCTACTATTCTCTAATACTTATACTATGAGACATTATATGGACTGTATCAGAAGAGATGCTGTATAATTATCTCAGTAGAATATTATCTCCTTTGCTGACTCGTTTTTCCTCTGTTTACAGGGATAATAATGTCAACCACAACCAGCACCCAAATTGCAAAACCGAGACCAACAAGGGCTGCTGTATCTGAAAGGATGACTCTGACTAAAAAAAGCTTTATCTTTTCAGGATAAATACAAATTGCTTATTTTTTACTTTGAATCTCCCATTTAAATTGTCATTCTCAAATAGTAATGATTTTAAATTTTTCAAAAATAATTTTAGATCACTCATAATTAAAATGGGATTTACAGATGGATATCCATCTACTTTGTCATACATTATATCATGGAATAACTTTTGTTTAATATCTGCATCATATTCATTGCCATGAGTATTATCTTGACATCTTTTTTTCCCAACAACTAGATGAGGAGAGCAAGGAAAAGTGATTAAGAATTTGCCATAATCAGCAGAAAACAGCTGGTATAACGGGCCAATGCCAATTTCCCAACATGGCAGTAATCTGCATTGTCAGTCCCTCTGTTCTCTGTCAGCATTATCATTTCTCTCCTGCAAGGCCTATGTTTTAACGAAAAGTATGCCCCCTCAAAAAAAGATTGAACATCTCCCAAATTGAATATCAGTTAAAAGCAAGCCTATTTTTAATATTAATATTCATTTTGTACTGTGAAATTGTCATAACATGTTATGTCCTCTCATAAATGTTGAAACAGGTCCATGATTCAGTACCATTAAATCACTTGTAAATTACCACTGATGAGACTAAAATTGCTACTTCTAAAAACGCACTGCTGTGAGGGCTTCCTGTAGCTTGGTGAATTACCACCTCAAAACTGCCTTACACGTTGTCCTGTCTGCTCAGACATGATGAATGCTTGATGGCCACTGTCCTGGAGCTCCAAATGGCAAGCCCAGGCTTCCAGCCCGGCATGGATATAATTATCTCTACTTTTGATTTTGCCTGTAGAAGGTAGAGTAGAATGTCCAAAAAGTGTAATTATATAATGTGACTCTCATTACTCAAAAATAAAATAAAAAACCACCTATTTGGCATTGTTACTTAGAGGCAAGTAGTATAGAAGCACTGTTGGTCAGTGGTTATGTTGAGTTTTGTTGCCCATTTTAAGGTGTTGTGTTTATCTCATGTGATTTTTCAAAATTTCCTACAGTAGGCAGAGCAAATTAAGCAAATAAAGGAGAGAATTACGCCTCAGCAACTGTCCAAAGAGTACGATGTTCTGCTTCTTGAAAAGCAGATATATTTTTAAAGCAAAGTAGCTACAGGAGGTCAGTCTTAATACTGGAATGGTTAGAGAAAAAAAATGAGGGAATGGCAAGGTTGCTCCTTTAGTTTTAGATTTTTTGTTGTTTATATTTGTTTACTTTTGAAGTGAATAATTTACTTAAGGTATTTAATAGGAAAAAAATTATGTCTTCTTAAAACCAGCACAATCTTTCCTGGTAATTCTGAGGAAGTATTTCTGGATTCCATTGGTGGGAGTAAAATGGTGGCAATAAGGTCATCGTTTTTTTCATTAGCGTATCATCCCTCAGTATCAGTTCCGAGTTATTTTGATATCAAGGACCATAAAGCTGGTTACAGGAAGTTTGGGTTTCCCAGTAGGCAACATTTCACACTATATTCTATCGTTTATTCATTTATAACCATCACGTATTAAGCCCTTTTATGTGACAGAATAAAGTAAAAACAGAACATGACTTTGAGCTAGGGATAACAGCATCTGAAAAATTCAGCCAAGTTTTGATTTCTGATATAGAATGAGCACTTTGATGATTTGCATGGATTATGAGTTTATTTATACAACAGTGAACCTCTGACTTTTATTTTAATGTTCTACGCTCCTCAATCGAACATATTAACATACCAAACCAAAAGGTTGACATTCAAATTTTATTCTTCTGTTTTATCGTGAAGGCTTAGTTGTTATTTCCACATGTTCTATTTTGTAAATGCAGATGAAATAAATATGGTGCAGGAAAGCTTTGTTTGTAAGCAGATTTGCTACTTGTCCAGGGAAGTTTTTTAAAAAGGCAGAAGAAAACTAATCTTTATTATGACTTCTTAGAATATTCAAAAATAGCATTGTCTTAGCTAAAAGTTGGTCTTCAGATTCATAAGTTTCTATGTGAATATTAACATTTTAAATGAGTTGTGCTTCCAGACATAAATCAATCAATGAGCTTATCTTTTTCCTAAAATTTCAATGATGGATCTGTAAGCTTTGATTTTTCAGAAACCAGTGATATCTTAGAGATTTTGGAATACAAAATATTTTTAAGAGAAGGTACTTGGAAAACACTTGTATGACAAATTCCTATTTTCTAAGCTAAGAAGACATTCCTTGCTCTATAATCTCTTCTAAAAGTCATGTGAGTGTTGAAACAATGAAATTTCTGGAAGAACTACAATACTGCAAGATTCCACAATGCAATTAAGAATAACCACGTGATCGTGGACTGCCGAGAATATTGAATGTCAAAGAATTGCTGGAGGGTTTTTTTTTTTTTGCAAAGGAAAATGATGTTTTGATGATCAAGACCAGATTTCCCAATGTAGGTTTACAACAAAAAGAGAGAAGCAAGCCCACGTGAGGAGTTAATTTTTAGACATACTGGTGATGTGTTCTAAAAGAAGAACTCAGATGTTAAGCTTTGCTGCAGATTCTTATCCATCACTGTGAGCTGATCCTTCCAGCACAGTGGGAAACCTCGTTTTTTCAGAGACAATGAGTTCAGTGGGATAAAAGAAAGCATGAGGTTTGGAGTTAGAAAGCCACGTTTTTTTTTTTTTTTTAAAGCTCTACCTATTAGACTAAACTTCAAGAAACTATAACCTCATCATCTTTTCAGTGAGGTATCACTAAGCCTACCTATCTCTCCAGGGTTGATGCAGGGCCGTAAATGGAAGTTTATTAAGTGAAAACAACTTATAAATTCTGTAACATTACACACATTATCCTATTATTTAACAATTACCATATAGCCATTATAAAATTAGAATAAAGTCTGGAGTTAACAGTAATATACCAAAAATAATTGCTCAGTTTTGACAAATATATCATGTGACGCTGGGTGAAGGGCATGCAGGAACTATTTATATTATCCTTGCAACTTCTCTGCAACCTAAAATTATACCAAAATAAAAAGTTTATTAAAAATAAAAGAAAAAAGCACCCTGTGCTTCTTCCACTAACAGAATGTCGCCTGACAGGGTTAGACACGTTTTCAGGATCCTTTCATCACCACCGTATATGTTCAAAGTAACTTTATCCTATAGTTCTGACAAAAGGTTAGGACTGGAAATACAAGGTTTTGCAGAACCAATTAGTTATTGTTTAATTAAAATAATGGTAATCTTGTGTAGAGTATAAAATGGGAGACTCTGGTGATAGATTGCTATTGCCCAGCATGTTAAGTCCTCATCATTCATTTCATTGCATCTGTGTTGCCTGTCTAAAATAAAACATCTCCTATGTTCCACAAAAGACCCTAGGCTTCTTATATAAGATGATTCGTGAATAGCTCCTTCTTGGAATACAGGAGCAATTGTTGAGAGTCCAGGTATATAGTAATTGCAGTTACAGAGATTCAAGAAAAATGACCAGTGGCCTAGGACATCATTGGACCAAGTCAAGTTAGGTAGGTGAGGTATATGAGCTTCCATCAAGGTGTCTAGATTCAATCTTAATGCACTGAAGGTAAATGTCTCATTTGGGAGGAAAGGACTGGAGTGCTGCCTCATTATTGTTCTACCACAAACTGGTCATGTAGCTTTCAAACATTTTTAGTGAACTTACACATGCCTAAGTTTCCTCATTTTCTTTGTTTTTTCATACAAGTGAGTTCCACTGGGTTCAAGCAATTCTCCTGCCTCAGCCTCCCGAGTAGCTGGGATTATAGGCATGCACCACCGTGCCTGGCTGATTTTGCATTTTTAGTAGAGACGGGGTTTCTCCATGTTGGTCAGGCTGGTCTCGAACTCCTAACCTCAGGTGATCCTCCCACCTAGGCCTCCCAAAGTGCTGGGATTACAGGCATGAGCCACTGTACCCAGCTGGTTTCCTCATTTTCAAATGGACATAAAGATAACAGACCTACATTATAGAGCTATAGAGAGAATAAATTAAAATAATCTATGTAAATGCCAACTACATAATATGAACTCAAAAATTACTGGCTGATGTGACTACTCAAGTCTTCTTTCTCCATCTCTTTCTCTCTCTCTTCTTTCTTCCTTTCCATTCTCTCTCCCTTTCTGTCTCCCTTTCTTCCTTTCTCTTTATACCTTCATTTAGTGGTACTAGAACCAGTTCCTACCAGCTTGGGAGAGTCAATAAATTATTAATAGCATGAAATTGGCCATGCCGGGAATATTTACATTACAAAAATCAACAAAAACTACAAATTAGATTGCTTTTATTTTAGCCAGTTTATCAGCATATCACTGCTTGCCCCACCTCTACCCCCTCCTCCAATCTTCCTTCTTCCTCCCTCCCTCTCTGTCAAAGGGAAATAAACACAGAAAGAAATCACCACAGATACCTTCTTGAGCTTTAATTCAAAGAGGGGATTTGTCTTAAATAAGAATTACTCTTTATGTATAAAATGACCAGAGGATAAATGACAGATGAAAATAACTTATTGTAAGATTCTTAAATAATTTTGGACATTTGCTGCTGTAATATTTGCATTCTGCAAACAGGTTTAAACTGCAGTAGATAATAAAAAAATTAGATAGTATCTTCCTCCACAGTATGTTTAATTTATGCTTCAGAGTTTGAACAAAAGCTTCCTACTATTTAGATTGTGCTTAAAATGAAATGGATTTGGTCAGTTCCACACTTTCATCTCTACCTCATATGTGAGGATGAGAAGTTGTCATTCAACAGATTCCCTTCAGGTCAGTTTTGCTGGTGCTGATTTTGACCCTATTTGTGATTTTCCACATGCTCAGCTTCACCGAAGTAATACCTGAATGATTTGAATTTTTAAGAGGCTCAGAAATAAAACTCTAGCCACTCTGAGAGAGGACTCTATCTAAATCCTGTAGACTGTCAGTCAGTAAACTCTTCCACTGTTTGCAATCACAGCTGAGTTGGTTTTGCAGCTGGTTTTTGACAAAACAAATGTGTTCTGTTTGTCCCCTTCGTCAAAAGGAAATGCCAACACAATCTTGAAGAACATTTTCTGGTGGGAATCTACAGGGGAACTGGAGAGAGGGTAGGCAGTTGACATACTACAGAGAAGAAGAATCTAGTTCATTAGACTACTGACCCTCTCATAATGATTGTCATTGCAGTGGTCCTCATGTTTCTCACTCCACTGGGCCATGAAGAAAGATATCCAAAATAGAATTGTTTGGCGATGAGAAGAGTGCTCTGTTCAGAAATCCTACGTTGCATTTATTATCTGCCAGGCACTGTGTTAGTACTTTGTTGAATCACCTCTCATTTAATCCTCATGAATACTACATACGGTATAGATACTATTATTATCTCCATACTAGAGGTGAGTAATTTAGACACAGAGAGCTTAAATAACTTGACAATGTGATGGTTAAGTGGTGGAGCCAGGATTCAACTTCCTGGGGAATATATTAAACCACTTCACTATATTTCCTTTCTGCAAATGATAAGGTGTCAGGTAAGTGTTGATTCTTGTGAAGTATTACGTTAAAGAACCCAGCAAAATGCAGTAATGATGATAGTGATTTCGGAAAATGGTGATTCTATACATTTTACAGCTAGCGCTACAAAATGCTTTACCATCACCGTCTCTCTTAATCTTCAGAGCAAACCTGTAAGATGGTGAAGACCAACTGAATGTTTAGCAAGGAGTTAAGATAGCAAGCCTGAAACTGCTACCTTTAGAAGGGCTCCTTATCAAGGTTGGTTCCTGGCTAATGCATAGGAACTTGACTCCCAAAATGTTCCCTCCATCACTTAATGATAAGGTTTACTCACTGTGCCTAGACAATTTGTACAATGTAATTTATGGTGAACAACTGATTTCCTTCTGGGAACCTGGAATTTTAGAAGTTGCCAGGCAGAGGGTGCCTACATGATCAGCACCCAATAAAAACTTTGGATGTTGAGTCTTTAATGGGTTTCCTTGGCCAAAAACCTCAGACACACAAATTCCTTCATTTTTATTGCTAAGAAGATAATGCACTCAGTGTGACTTTTCATGAGATGGAGAAAGGATAGCAAGTTTGTACAGGGATTTCTCCAGAAGATTCTGCAGACTATTGCTGTAATAAATCTTAACCATGAGTACTACTATGAGACCAATGAGTCCTTCTAGTTAATCACCAAATATGGAGGAGGTTTTGAGGACCCCCAACTCACTGGGATTCATGGAGTTTAAGTCAGTAATCTATCACTGGGTAACCACACTAAAACTTAATGGCTCAGAACGGCCATGATGTATTGTTTCTCTTGATTCAGAGGGTTGACTGGGTAGTTCTGCTGACCTTGTCTGATGTCACTTATGTGACTACATGAGCTTGGCTAATGGCTGACTAGAGCTGTTGGTTCCCAGGCCATCTTGGTTCCTTGATGGCCTTTCCACAGCATGGTGATCTCAGGGTTCCAAGAGGGTGAAAACAGAAGTTTCCAAGACTCTTGAGGTCTAGGCCTGTGATTTCCATTGGTGAAGGCAGGTCAGGGCCAGCTCAGCTTCAAGGGGAAGGGAAACAGTCTCCACGACTTTGGTCGAAGAAATGAAGACCATGAGGCACAATCAATGGAAGAAGCCTAAGATGCAAGTCACTTGTCCAAGCCTGACTCCAATGGAGTGAGGAGCTAAATTTGCCCATAGGGAAGGATAATGAATACAGTGTTCCAAACCACGTCCTGTGTTTTATAGATAGATACTCTATTTTATAAATGAATGAATGAATGAATAGAATGCAAGGAAGAAGCATAAGATGAAGTAGAAGGAAGTACAAAACAATATAACTCCATTGACCATGGAGCACAGAAGTTGGGACAATTGTTGGCAGCCATCTTTGGAAAAGATCTATCACAGAGATAGGGTTTCCTTCATCCAAACAGAGAAAGTACTTCTTTTCAGGTAAATTTCTGCCCATTTGGTGTTAAGCTCTCAGGGAGTAGCCTCAAGCGTGGGGATTTGTCAGGAGTGTCCTCTTGTTTCCTGGGTTTCTCCCAGGATCCTTTTTTTTAAGTAAGTTGAAATACATATTTTGTTAGGCTCCTACTGCAACTGTGGGTGAAATTTGTAAGGGCATTCATTGCCCACCCCCACCATTCCCAGCATTATTGAAATATAATTTATATACAAGAAAATTTGCCAATCTGAAGTGTAATTGCTGAATTTTAGTAATTGTTTACTATTATGTAAACACCTCTAAAATCAAGTTACAGAACACTTCCATCTACCCATAGTTTCCTCAAGTCCCTTACGGTCAATCTGCTCCCCTATCCCCTGGCCCCAGATATCCACTAACTGGCTTTCTGCTATTATAGTTTTGGCTTTCCTAGAATTTCATATAAGCAGAATATTTTGTGTTTGACTTACTCCACTTAGCATAACATTTTGAGATTTATCCATTTTTTGTACGTATCATATTTTGCTTATTTGCACTGTGCAGTGGTATTCCATACTATAGATATACCATAATTTGTTTATTCATTCAGAGTTGGTAGACATTTTGTATTTTTTTCTAATTTTGGTTATTATGCATATCGCTGCTATGAACTACCATGTAGAAGTCTGTGTAGAGACTTGTTTTAATTTCTCTTGATTAAATACATGAAAGTCATACTGCTGGATCGTATGATAAATATATGCTTGACTTCATGAGATATTACCAAAATGTTTCCAAAAGTGACTGTACCACTTCTATCCCCACTAACAATATATGAGAGTCCAGTTGATTCATATTCTCACCAACAGTTGATATTGTCAGTCTTTTTAATTTTAGCCATTCTAGTGGATATCTAATGAGACCTCATTGTGGTTTCAATTTTGCATTTCCCTGCTTAGTAATACTGAGCATCTTTAATGTGTATATGAAATGTCTGATCAAATATTTTTACCATTTAAAATTGGGTTGTCTTCATATTGAATTGTATCAAATCTTTACATATTCTGGATATAAGCCCTCTGTTGGATATATACTTCACGTATATTTTCTCTCAGTCTGTGGCTTGCCTTTTGTTTTCTTAAATGTGTCTTCCGAAAACCAAAAGCTTCTAATCTTGATAAGGTCCAGTTTATCAATATATTTCTTTTATGGCTCATGTTTTCTACATCCTGTTTAAGAAATCTTTACCTAACTCAGGGTCACAAAGATTTTGTCCAACACTTTTTTGTAGAAGTTTCATGTTCTTAGTTCTTATGTTTGGAGATATGATCCATTTTAGGTTAATTTTTGTCCATAGTGAGTCAAGGGTGAGATTCATTTTTTCCATGTGCAGATATCTAGTTGTTCCAACTACATATGTCTTTTGCCCATTGAATTACCATGACACCTTTGTTTAAAATCAATTGGCCATGTAATTTTAATGGCATTTGAAGCAGCTGAAGTACTGCTGTTGTATTTGGGTTTCCCCCAAACTACTGAACATCCCAAATTGATTGAAAGAGCTGTTGTTATTTTCTTGTCAGTATATGTAAATGTCAAAATCGATTTTGTATACAAATAATATGTTGGGGATTTTTTTTAAGTAAAGGAGCATATTGGGCCTCGTAATTCCCTGGTTTTTACTGCTGAATGTAGACCCTCAAAATGAGGATTTACAAAATAATTTGTGTTTAGAAAACAATTACTAAAATGAAATAAATACAGTAAGATTTTATACTCTAATTTTTCTATATTCAAATATTTTTCAAATAAATCCTCTTTTGTGCTACATGTTTATGTAAGTTTGTCATTTACCTTCTTGGAAGAGATTGTCCTTTATTTCCATTGGGTCCTTCATATTGTTTGTGTATGAAAATACTCTCTCTTATACAAAATAATAGTTATTAATAGCAAGTTTCTTTTCTTTCAAAATTCTTCTTTAGCAAAGTTAAAAGTGAAAGCTTAAAGCATGACCTATATAGTTTGTTTTTAAATTTTGCTGACTCAAGAAATCTACTGGATTAAGTGACTGGTACAAGGAAGGTCACATGGCTAGTCACCATGATGTGCAGACTCCAAACCCAGATCCTTCGCTTCCTCACTAGGATTTTTTCCCAAAACGAGATGTGTGATACATGCATGTAACTAACATAGTTCTCATTTTGCATGTAGAGGAAATGAGGTTTTGTGAAGTGTAAAAAACTTCAAGAGAAGGGAAAGAACTTTAGGATTATTTGTTTACAAGATAAGTTCCTTGTGGCAATCTAGGGAGTTACAATTCAAGATACTGATTCTCTGCCTAAAAGTTTCTCAGTCTTTGCTATCTGTTGATCCAAGGATCAAGATAAAAGAGATAAAACTTATCTTGTGGAAGTACATGACGCCATCAATGTCATAGTGAATTCCCTTAAATAGCTTTAAATTGTTCGTAATTTGCATGGAGCACTTCCTCTGAGCAAATTATTTTGTCCTGTGTTGTACATATGGTAATATTATCTCAGCTATTCCACCTGCCAGCCCAGCAAGTTGAGAACTATATTTGTAAGGCTGAGAGAGGATAAATAACCTTTGTAAATTAGCCAAACTTAAATGGGAGTGGGGGTTTCAAACCCAGGCTTCATGACTGCAAAATTTGTGCCCTTAACCACTATTCATACTACTAGCCCATACCATATACAAGAAGTCTTCCTACTGTATGACTTTTACTAAACCTTTTTGAGCACAGGAGCCATGTCTGTTTCATCTTTGAACCCCTGTAACTGTGAGTTTTGGTGAAATAATACCATGGTAAATAAACAAACAACCCCAAATATCTCAGTGGCTTCCAGCAACAGAGGTTTGTTTCTCTTTCTCATGAAAGCCATTGTGGATTACCTGTGGCTTTCTACCTTGCTGCCTTCACTTTAGGTATCACCTAAAATAAAATAAAAGGAAAGAAGAAACACTGAGTCTGCTTAAAAAATTTTCCTAGGAAGTATTCTGTCACTTGCACTCATGTTTCATTCGCCAATGCAAGTCACTTGTCCAAGCCTGACTCCAATAGACTGAGGAGCTAAATTTGCCCATAGGGAAGGATAATGAATACAGTGTTCCAAACCACCTCCTGTGTTTTGTAGATAATACTCTATTTATTTTATAAATGAAAGAATGAATAGAGTGCAAGGAAGAAGCATAAGATGAAGTAGAAGGAAGTACAAAACAATATAACTCCACTGACCGTCAAATTTGAACCAGGACATTATTTTCCTAAGAAGAACAGAATGGATAACTTTTTGTATTTTTTTCATATGGAAACTTAAATATTGAATCTTTAGGGAATTTATGGACTCTGCCCTGGTTGAGTTCCTTATATTTGACCACAGGATTAGTAACTCATCATTACCAACTTTATATAGTTACAGATCCTTTAATGCCCTTAGAGAAAATGGTCAAATATTTGCCCACTTTCCATATTCCCATCATTCAATAAACCTAACTAGACAAAGGTATGCTTTTAAAATGGAGTTTTCCCAGTCCACTGTCAAATCTAGGTTCCAAAGAGTGAAACATTTAAGTATACATCTATTAGAAAATCAAACTGCAGGCAAGGTGTGGTGGTTCACACCTGTATTCCCAGCACTTTGGGAGGCCGAGGTGGGACGATCACTTGAGCCCAGGTGTTGGAGACCAGCCTGGGCAACATAGTGAAACCCCGTCTGTACAAAAAATTTTAAAAATTAGCCATGCATGATGGTGTGCACCTGTAGTCCCAACTACTTGGAGGCTGAGCTGGGAGGATGGCTTGAGCCCAGGAAGTTGAGGCTGTAGTGAGCCATGATCATACCACTGCACTCCAGCCTGGGCAACACAGGAAGACCCTGTCTTAAAAAATCAAATTGCTGTTAAGGTCATATCTAACAATCATCAATGGAAGAGCAGTATATATTTTTCCTACCATGTTGCTATTGTGGTAAGCTGAGGGAGGATGGGTAGGGTCAAACCCCAAAGTACCCTTTATGAAGAACAGACAAAAAGGAATTCTTTCTACAAATTTAATCAGCAGAGGAAAAAGATTGGAGAAACCACTAAGAGGCCTGCTCTGAGACTGCCATCTCATGGTTCCCTTGTTTTGAGCAGGGCGCCCCCCACTGTCACTGTTCACTAAATCTGAGGGTGTGTGTAGACTGGCTTTTTGTAGAGTTTTCTAGAGGGACTACTTGAAAAATACATGACTTGGAGTCAGCTCCGGACTACTTTATCAATGCCAATTTGCTAGCCAGCACTCTCCTCCCTAGTCTGTAGCCCTTCATGAACCAGATATGTTCCTTTGCAATACTTCCTTTCTAAAATAAATGATTATGGAATACAGAATATAAAGGTTATGCAATTTATTCTAATGCCAGAATGAGCCCAGGTCCTGAAGTTGCTGCTTCATCTTAATTATCATTTTCTAGTAAGCATTCGTTTTGACCAGGGCACCAAAGCCAGTCTATAGTGGATCACATCTTATCATGCATGCTTCCTTCATTACTTCTGTCAACAGACATTGAGTGGGTGCCTGTGCCTCCTATGTGTGTGTTTTTTTTTTGTTTTTGTTTTTTTTTTTTAACAGAGCATGAAATAAGGGTGTGAGGGCAGGTAGTTTATTTAGGAGATGATTCCAGGAAGCAGGGGTAAGGAAGTAGGAAAAATGAGAAAAGAAAGAAAAATAAAACAAAAGATTGTGTAGGTTAGAAGTAGGGACCTCAACCCCCCTAGAGAATTTCTAAGAAATTATGTAGAACAAATGTCCCCAAACTATATCCTGTGGGCCGAACCTGGCCTGTTTTTCATGAATAAAGTTTTATTGGCACAGGGCTGCATCCATTTGTTTACATGTTGTCTATAGCTGCTTTTGTGCTACAATGACAGAGTTAAGTAGCTGTGACAGAGACCACATGGCCTAAAATAGCTAAATAAATATCTGGCCCATTGCCAAAAGAGTTTGCTGACCCCTAGTATAGAACTTGCCTGAGACTTGTACTTCTGAAGGATGAAGCTGAAGTATTTATTCACTGACCCCTTCCCATTGTTTCCCAGGAGCCCACCTGGACTGAATTTAAGCAACTTAACGTTCTGAGACAGAAAAGTGGGGAGACCTCATAGCCAGGCCTCTTGATGTGAGACTGCCAGTGGACCTAGAACTATCCACCATAGCTACATGACTAGCACAGGTTGGCCAATAAGGAAGCATTAAAGCAGCTGCTACAATACAGTTATTCTCCAAGTACTGTGTTAGCCTCTTCTCATCCACCAATATTTGTTTTTCTTTGATCAACAAAAAATCTCTACTGTTGTCCTTTTACCATCATCTGGAAAGTTCTGGTTATAATAGACATCTATTATTAGGAGTTTTGAAAGTTTGGATGCATGAAACAGATTTTCTTTGAAGTTAATTTTATAAAATGAACTTGACAATTTTCCCAAATAGGAACATCTATTCATAGCCACTGACTAAGAGACAGGGCTAATAGGGGATCCATTCTAACCATTTAGGTCTCCTAAATGATGGTATATACATGACGGCAAGGGCAAGTTATATGGAACTTAACATTTCCTTGAAGAACAATTTTCCATTTGATGTTGCTTTAGATGATCATTATGAGTAATTATGTGTACAACTGTAATGATTTCATATCAAATTAAGAGGTACTTTGAAACTGGATTATATAAGAATGACAGGTGGGTTAGGTGCTACAATGCTGTACTGGGAGTAGAAATAGAGGTGGTCAGAATAGGAAAAGCAATGGAGCCAAAATGAAAAGACAAAATGGAATTAAGGAAATTCTATTTTTCCATTCCAATTTAGGAAATTTAGAGCCCCCTCCATTACAATTACCCAAAGTGAGACTTTAAGACCAATGATTTGTTTACCATATCCTCCACCGCAGGTAATAACCACTTATTTCTCTAAGTGTACTATATATTCCCAGTAGTTAGAGAGTATTTTGAGTCATTATGGACAGCATTTTTTTTCAAGTGATTGCCTCTGAAAACAGAAGTCAGAAGGCAAGGAATCTGGAGTTAGAACAACACTGTCCTGTACTCAAACTTTCCTTCTAAGGCAGGAGCCCTGTCTACACTATTTCTGGTTGATGAGCATGGCCCAGGTTGGATAAGGTGCTCATTTCTTTGTCAGAATCTCCATGATAAAATGTCATTGATTTGGAAAATTTACATAATCCCAAGCCAGGAAGAGTTTCCACTCTTAGAATTGCTGATTGAAGAGAAGTATCTTCATGTGTTAGTATCCTAATGGCCACTTGGCTCCCAGCTCATCAGCACTAGGGCCAAATGTCTTGGTGGCACAATCTAAGTGAGGCCAGATTTTCTTATACAACAGTCCAAAACAGAGCCTTTCCAAGCCCTAAGATAAATGTGTCATTCCATTGGTTAGAAAACTCTCAACATTTCACCACTGCCCTATGTGCCTCAAAACAAATGCTTTGTTGGATTTCAAATGAGGTTTCATAAATTCACTGGAATTGTCTTTAATGCTACACTTTTAATATTTAAAGATCAGGGTTTTAATAAGCATTTGCTTGGGAGAGTTGTGAGCTTTAATGTTGAATGAAGAGATATATTAAGCAATAAATGCAGTGCCCAGAATGCATGATTATTGCAGGTTGTCATTATTGAGAACAAGCCAAAATCAGGAAAATGATATTTAATGTAAAAAACAACTTCTGGCAACAAAATTATTCTTCTCAATGTAATCTGCCACATCTATTTGGAAGTATAGAAAGGGTAGAGACTGTGGATAACTTTTGCTGTTAGACTGGAACCCTGGGTTCCATGCCTGGGTACAGCCATCAATTTCCCTGACCTGTGTTCTCATTTCTTCTCTGGAGAATGACCATTATACAGCTGAGTTTTCTTTCTACCAGGCTTTGGGTATCTATAAAATACTTTGAAGTTAGATTCTCCATGGGACTGTTTTTTGACTTTTTATTCCCAAAAGAGATGACGGCCCTAGCTGGAAGAGGTGGAAAGGGAGGGGAGCAAGAATGGTAAAAGTGTATTTCCAGCCTGAGTAATTTTGGATTTATCAGTATAATCTCATTAATGCAGATGGAGCATTAGAACTGAGAATATAACCCTTTTTCTGAGAATAAGCTTTTTCGGTTTATGTTCTCAGAAATGCCTGTGAGAATAAACAAGCACACAAAATATTATGCCAAGAAAAAACAGAGCTGATACATTTTCCAGTGCTGCTTTTGTTCCTGTTAGAAATGCCTGCAATGGAAAACAAAAATGACAAGGATCATACTTTTACACTGTGTGATTAAGAGACTCTTTTGCCTCCCTGAATGCATCCATGGTCTTCACTCAGCAGGCCTAACAGATTTTCCTGTGTTTTCTTTTTGATTTCTGTCTTGCCCAGAAGTTTTTTTCCTATGATCTGTTCTTACTGTTCTCTTCTGTGATCTCTGAAAATACATTGGTTTCTTTAGAACTGAACAAGAGTCAAAGGAACATTCATTTTTGAATGCTTGCAGTCCTCAAATCACAGAGGAAGAAAGAAAGAAAAGAGGGCAAGAAACTCTGTTAGTGAGGGACACAGAAAAGACGTTCTTCTGCACTGCCTGAAGACCATGCTGAATGGAATACACAATGAGTGCTAAATCCATTTGCAAAACTAGCTCCTGCTTCCTAAAAGAATAGCAAGGGAAAGAATGGCTAGAGTTGAGCAAGAGGTAGCTAGGTTGACATATTGAGAAAGGTAGAATCAATGGAAGGAACGTCGAAATTCTGGTTTTTAACCAGTGTTGATATGTATGAACTAACTCATATTTGGAGACTTCTAGTTAGCTCCACCTTCTCTCTGTTCCTGAATTTACAATGGTCTCCCACAATTAGGAGAAGTGTGTGTATGTGTGTTGCTACAGAAACTGTCATGTGTGTCTGCTATATGAGTGCATGCTTGCTTGCTCAGAAATACTAATTATGCTCAGAAATACTAAGGCAGTTGTTGGAAATACCAGTGAACAGGCAATTGTGTTTCATCATGACTTCCAAGGCTTACCATTAATGTAGTCTCAAAAAAAAAAAAAAAAGGCAGTTTATGATCATAGATCTTGGCTGGTTCAAGGAGCCACAAGACAGCTTTACCTCTGACACATGCTCCATTGTATCAGGTCAACTTGTGCTATGCAATAGAGCTTGTTAATCAAATTTCCAACACGGTTTCTTTTTACAGCTGAAGACTGGATTTCTCCTCAAGATGAAAGGCTCAAAGCACAGATTTGGGTTGTGTCTACTAAGAAAGTGTTCATTTCTGGCAATTGTTTCTTTGCATTTTAGTAGACCACTCTGATTGACATTTTAACTGCCTATCCCTGTTGGGCAAGCCTCAGTGCTGGGAAGTTGTCAAAATGTTGTGGCTTCATTCTCAACATGATAGTCCACAGTACAAAAGTGCCCAATCCAATGTGTCAAAATAGATTAAGAGAAAATTCTAGCTTATGAACCATCAGGAAAAATTATCCATTTTACTTTTAAGAAATGGAAAGTGCTTTTTGAGGCTCAGCCAAGGGATATAGCACTACTGTCTTTTAATTAAAATGACACTTCACTTATTTTCATGCAACATTAAGTTAATCTGTTCCAATTTAATGCAAATACGGGGAAAGGAAAACATGCATGCTGTTCTACATAAGATCCTTTCTATGAGTAATATCTCATGGAGGGATTTGATTTTATGTGAATGAAGGGTTTAAATTGACACTAAATCAGAGCTACATTTTTAAAAAAAGATCAAAAATATTAATAGAACAGAGTAACTCCTGGTTTCATCTGGGTTACAGGATACTGATTTCTAACTTATTGGTACTTTTCCCATTTCTTCATGAAAAGGTCCATTTTGTCCAGGGCATAGAGTAACAAATGACAATCAAATCTAAAAATTCAATGACCAAAATAAGTGAAGAAGTGAATCAGTGAATTTGCAGGAATTACTAAGTTTTGTGAATTAGTGAGAAATCTTATTTATTAGACTTACCCTACACATCATGGGATGTGTATGAATTTTATCTCTGCATATTGAATGAATTAAAGGAGGATTTGCCTTACTTTATTTTTAGCAGCTGTGTGTAAATTTTTTGTCAGGAATAAATAAGTGGTTTACATCCAGCTGTATCTACTTGAAATGGTGTCAAAGAGCTAGAACAAATTATGGTTTTATAAGGGAAGTATTTTTGAAGAGAACACAAAAGAGATACCATGCAAAGGCAGCAAAAACTATGAGCAAGATTGCATAAAATGAAAATTTAACAAAGGAACATGTGAGGAGGTGTCATATCCCAATTTGATGTTACCATGATTATGGCTGTGCTGATGGGAGTATTAAGCACCCGACACTCCAAGCATATTTTGTGTCTGTATTCAGGCCCTATGCAGAATTAGGAGGATGGAAGTTCTTACAGAAAGGAAACTTCATTTGGGTGAAGTTATTTAATTTTCAGAAACACCTTGTCTGTTGTGGTACATGCATAATTTGAGGTTTACAAGCAACAGATATACCCAAAAGGGGACCCAAGTAGAGAGAATATTCTAGCTACATCACCCCCTTACTATGGGATTCCAAGCATAAGTCACCATGATACCCTGGATCAGACAGGTGTCTGCTCTTTTATTCCCTTGAAAGCACACAGAAATTTTTGGAGAGATGCTCAAAGAGAGTGAAATGTCCTAAAAACACATGTTGATCTTACAAGGAAAGGAACATTATAAAGAAGTGTTGTACTGTGCCAGTTTCACATTGTACAGGGCACATTGGATGTGAGCATGATCAAATTTAAGTTCTTTAACATTTGATACATTCTAATGAACAACTGCAACCCAAATTTGGAAACAATTAAGAGTTCTCTGATACCTTAGAAAAATGTCAATTTGGAAAGTGATTGTTTTTAAAAGCATGGTGGTTCTTTTCCACCTTAAAATGAAATTGAGTCATTTCATTTGCTTAGAATAACTTGGACCTTGGGGTAGAGAGTTAAAATATAAAATTTCGATCATCTCTGAGAAATCAGAAAGTAGAACTTAACGGTTTGGACATATGAAACTAACAGGGGCCCTTCCCTTCCCCTTCTCTTCTTTTTTGGTTTTTTGTTTGTTTGTTTGTTTTTGAGACAGAGTCTCACTGTCACCCAGGCTGGAGTGCAATGGCGCGATCTCAGCTCACTGCAGCCTCCAGCTTCCAGGTTCAAGCGATTCTCCTGACTCAGCCTCCCAAGTAGCTGGGATTACCGGCGCACACTGCCTTGCCCAGCTAATTTTTTGTATGTTTTAGTAGAGATAGGGTTTCACCGTTTGCCCAGGCTGGTCTCAAATTCCTGAGCTTAGACAATCCACCCACCTCGGCCTCCCAAAGTTCTAGGATTACAGGCATGAGTCACCGTGCCCGGCCTCCTTTCTTTCTTTTCAAATTACCTTGGCAAACTATACTTCTACAGAAAAAATGTTATTCCCAGAAGGTTGTGATTTTTCAGGTTGAGGTAGAATGGCTTTTATAATTACCTTCTTGAAGTTAAGCACTGGCAAATACTCAAGATGAAGCAAGATGATGAGTATTTCAAAGGCAACCTTAAACTAAGGCTAATGAAGAGAAGAATAAAATCTTTGAAGTTATTTCAAATGAATTATCCATAGTTGTTTTATAAATGGATACCCTATGTAAAGAAATATGAAGGCATCTATTAGGTAAAAACATCCAAAGGTGTCTCACCTGTTATTGAGAGACTATTCTCTCAGACAGCTGACATACAGCAATGAGGACACTGCTGCCCCTGGAGACAAAAACTATCAGTCATTTTACCTGGGACGAGTTTATTATCTCTGAAATGGAAATACTGATTTCCCCTCCTTAGTCCAGTGATTAGGATCAGATGAAATGACTGGTGTGAAAACACTTTGTAAAGGGAAAGCTGTGACCCCAGATGCAGTATTATAAGATACAGGTATTACAAAATCCAATAAGGAGCCAGTCAGAAGGGAGCCACAGTTAAAATCAGTATATTGGTGAGAATAAAGCCCTCTTCAGAGTTTCTGAATGACCAGTAAAAATCATTCTTTCTGAGAAGGTAGGACTGTCAGCCTGTCTTTCTGTTCAAACACAATTGGAAATTGTCGTTAACATCTCTATATTCTGTACTAGCTTTCCCCCCACTGTAAGAACATTCTACATAATGACCAAAATGTCATTTTTTTCACATTTAATAAATACAGTTACAGCGACTGATGAGCCCCTGTTCAGGAGTATTTAAGACCCAAATTTTACCTCTGTATCACCCGCCTTCACTGAATTGCCCTTGCATTGGGAAAACATGAATTATTCACTAACGAACATTGCTGATTAACTAGATAGCTATGATGTTTTTCTTTCAGCAAAAAGGGTAAATGTACTGACGTCTTTGTGGCTAGGCTCACACATATTAAACATGAATTAGTTGTGTTTGTGAATGAACATAAACATGCTTTAATTCTGGTGCCATTTTATAATCATTTGTGTTCATTTCAGATATAATTATAACAAATAAGATAGAAAATTCTCTCCAAAATTCCCTCGGGACAATATATTTATATTTTCCTGAGACCCTGTATGAGAAGATCAAGCTCACACATCCCTCCCTGAAGCTGTTAAATGTATCTTCTACATTTATCACATTAGAAGTCTTCTCCTCAGCAATATCTTTCTGTAGCTCCCTGTTAATACTGAAAACAAATTCAGAAACCTAGCTTTAGGCTTCTAAGCCCTCATTGGTTACCTCTCTCATATGTGTGTTTATCTAGTCATCCATCCATCTATCCAAGCAACAAATATTTATTTATTATCTAATGTATTTTGCTAGATGCTTCAAAAAACACAAATTCAAGGCTTCCTTCTCCTGTTGATGTTTTGTTCATGCAAACTTTTCTCCTGCACTTTTCATTAAATAAGCTGCTGTTCTCCCAATGGACAGCATTCAAATCAGCACCTAGACCTTCACAACATTCTCCTCAAATTATCTTTACCAGTTTCTGTGAGCATTTCAGGACCCCAGCTGAGTCTGCCATTTCTCACTATGAGATGAAATGCCCGACAGAAACAGACATGTCAGTGCTTGAGTGGTAGCCATTCTCTGTTAACAAACCACATTCCACTCCAAGGAAAGAGGCTCAAAAATTAAACACAAAGCCTGTTTTTCAAGTGCTTATAAGTAATGGAGCAAAAATAAATACAATAAGAAGCACGAAAAATACACTCACAGAAAATACCTGAAGTGAAACTGATACAGTTTTAAAGAACTTCACTAAAGTTTAAGGAGTAGAGGTCAGGGGGATTCTATCAAGCTACGTGACTGGATACTTGGGACAAATCAAAAAAGACTTCACAAGGAGGGTAGTGTGAGCACGGTTTGGAATTGTCAGGCAACAGGATGACTTGATTTGGCAATTCCTAAAGCAGGCATGAGAATTTTAGCAAAGTCAGAAGTGCACACAAGCCCCAAATTTGCCTTGTTGGTATTCTGGCCAGGGAACAAGGAGATTTGACGACAATGAGTTTTAGATGCTCACTGTTGTACTTTCATGGAGGGTAACTCTGCAACTTGTAACTTCCCATTCTGTCTACTTTTCCATGCTGTCTCTTTATAGCAGGGTTTCACAACCTTGGCACTCTTGACAAGTGTCTCACATCATGTCTGCCAATGCTTCCCTGGCCAAGCAAGTCATGTGACCAAGTGAAGGGGTCAGAAAGTTCACTCTGTTCACCATGAGGTGATGACAAAAATGTGGATATATAATGCAACTCCCGGGGAGTTAAAAATTGAGAACAATAACTCAATCTACTGCTGAACCCTAGTGCACAAATTAGCCACAGAATTGCACTGTCACTTAAAACTGTGCTGGGCACAATTTGTGCCCACAATTTGGGCACAAAACAGAGACAAGAAATTAGGTAATGAAAAATTAAGACCCCTATATTGTATAGATCAACATCAAAAAATATTGCTACTACTGGCCATTGGTAAGCTGCAAAGATAAGTTGCCCACAAACCCTGTGTTTGCCATGATGAATCCTGGGGGTCAGTGGTATCTGGTCAAATCTACTTGCCATCACTAATGGTGAGAAGCTAGGTTTGTGACAAGTCCAGTTTCAGCTGCACTTAAAACTATGCAAGAGAACCCAGTATAAAAGCTAAATATGTGCAATTCAAAATTCTTAAGGCAATCATCTTGTTCTCCCCAAACGTAATGATTAAAACTTGGAAGTGCTCTTAAACAACGACTTGTTCCAAGTAAAAATATCTTGTTGTGGGGTCAGCATGGAGCTCAAGAACTCTGGTCATGGAGCAGAGATACGCATAGGCTCATCCTGGGGTTTTCTCTCACAGAATTTAAGAAAGTACAGCTAACCCATGGCAAAGAAGTTAAAAACCTTGAAAAAAGATTAGACAAATGGCTAACTAGAATAACCAATGTAGAGAAGTCCTTAAAGGACCTGATGGAGCGGAAAACCATGGCACAAGGACTACGTGACGAATGCACAAGCCTCAGTAGCTGATTCGATCAACTGGAAGAAAGGGTATCAGTGATAGAAGATCGAATGAATGAAATGAAGCGAGAAGAGAAGTTTAGAGAAAAAAGAATAAAAAGAAATGAACAAAGCCTCCAAGAAATATGGGACTATGTGAAAAGACCAAATCTACGTCTGATTGGTGTACCTGAAAGTGACGGGGAGAATGGAACCAAGTTGGAAAACACTCTGCAGGATATTATCCAGGAGAACTTCCCCAATCTAACAAGGCAGGCCAACATTCGGATTCAGGAAATACAGAGAACGCCACAAAGATACTCCTCGAGAAGAGCAACTCCAAGACACATAATTGTCAGATTCACCAAAGTTGAAATGAAGGAAAAAATGTTAAGGGCAGCCAGAGAGAAAGGTCAGGTTACCCACAAAGGGAAGCCCATCAGACTAACAGCTGATCTCTCGGCAGAAACTCTACAAGCCAGAAGAGAGTGGGGGCCAATATTCAACATTCTTAAAGAAAAGAATTTTCAACCCAGAATTTCATAACCAGCCAAGCTAACCTTCATAAGTGAAGGAGAAATAAAATCCTTTACAGACAAGCAAATGCTGATTTTGTCACCACCAGCCCTGCCCTGCCCTACAAGAGCTCCTGAAGGAAGCACTAAACATGGAAAGGAACAACTGGTACCAGCCACTGCAAAAACATGCCAAATTGTAAAGACCATCAAGGCTAGGAAGGAACTGCATCAACTAACAAGCAAAATAACCAGCTAACATCATAATGACATGATCAAATTCACACATAACAATATTAACCTTAAATGTAAATGGGCTAAATGCTCCAATTAAAAGACACAGACTGGCAAATTGGATAAACAGTCAAGACCCATCAGTGTGCTCTATTCAGGAAACCCACCTCATGTGCGGAGACACACATAGGCTCAAAATAAAGGGATGGAGGAAGATCTACCAAGCAAATGGAAAACAAAAAAAGGCAGGGGTTGCAATCCTAGTCTCTGATAAAACAGACTTTAAACCAACAAAGATCAAAAGAGACAAAGAAGGCCATTACATAATGGTAAAGGAATCAATTCAACAAGAAGAGCTAACTATCCTAAATATATATGCACCCAATATAGGAGCACCCAGATTCATAAAGCAAGTCCTTAGAGACCTACAAAGAGACTTAGACTCCCACACAATAATAATGGGAGACTTTAACACCCCACTGTCAACATTACACAGATCGACAAGACAGAAAGTTAACAAGGAAATCCAGGAATTGAACTCAGCTCTGCACCAAGCGGACCTAATAGACATCTACAGAACTCTCCAACCCAAATCAACAGAATATACATTCTTTTCAGCACCACACCACACCTATTCCAAATTGACCACATAGTTGGAAGTAAAGCACTCCTCAGCAAATGTAAAAGAACAGAAATGATAACAAATGGTCTGTGAGACCACAGTGCAATCAAACTAGAACTCAGGATTAAGAAACTCACTCAAAACCAACTACATGGAAACTGAACAACCTGCTCCTGAATGACTACTGGGTACATAACAAAATGAAGGCAGAAATAAAGATGTTCTTTGAAACCAACGAGAACAAAGACACAACCTACCAGAATCTCTGGGACACATTTAAAGCAGTGTGTAGAGGGAAATTTACAGCACTAAATGCCCACAAGAGAAAGCAGGAAAGATCTAAAATCAAGACCCTAATATCACAATTAAAAGAACCAGAGAAGCAAGAGCAAACACATTCAAAAGCTAGCAGAAGGCAAGAAATAACTAAGATCAGAGCAGAACTGAAGGAAATAGAGACACAAAAAACCCTTCAAAAAATCAATGAATCCAGGAGCTGGTTTTTTGAAACGATCAACAAAACTGATAGACCACTAGTAAGACTAATAAAGAAGAAAAGAGAGAAGAATCAAATAGACGCAATAAATAATGATAAAGGGGATATCATCACCGATCCCAGAGAAATACAAACTACCATCAGAGAATACTATAAACACCTCTATGCAAATAAACTAGAAAATCAGGAAAAAATGGATAAATTCCTCGACACATACACCCTCCCAAGACTAAACCAGGAAGAAGTTGAATCTCTCAATAGACCAACAACAGGCTCTGAAATTGAGGCAATAATTAATAGCTTACCAACCAAAAAAAGTCCAGGACCCAGATGGATTCACAGCCAAATTCTACCAGAGGTACAAGGAGGAGCTGGTACCATTCCTTCTGAAACTATTCCAATCAATAGAAAAAGAGGGAATCCTCCCTAACTCATTTTATGAGGCCAGCATCATCCTGATACCAAAGCCTAGCAGAGACACAACAAAAAAAGAGAATTTTAGACCAATATCCCTGATGAACATTGATGCAAAAATCCTCAATAAAATACTGGCAAACTGACTCCAGCAGCACATCAAAAAGCTTATCCATCATGATCAAGTGGGCTTCATACCTGGGATGCAAGGCTGGTTCAACATACCCAAATCAACAAACGTAGTCCAGCATATAAACAGAACCAAAGACAAAAACCACATGATTATCTCAATAGATGCAGAAAAGGCCTTCGACAAAATTCGACAGCCCTTCGTGCTAAAAACTCTCAATAAATTAGCTATTGATGGGACGTATCTCAAAATAATAAGAGCTATCTATGACAAACCCACAGCCAATATCATACTGAATGGGCAAAAACTGAAAGCATTCCCTTTGAAAACTGGCACAAGACAGGGATGCCCTCTCTCACCACTCCTATTCAACATAGTGTTGGAAGTTCTGGCCAGGGCAATCAGGCAGGAGAAGGAAATAAAGGGTATGCAATTAGGAAAAGAGGAAGTCAAATTGTCCCTGTTTGCAGATGACATGATTGTATATTTAGAAAACCCCATCATCTCAGTCCAAAATCTCCTTAAGCTGATAAGCAACTTCAGCAAAGTCTCACGATACAAAATCATTGTGCAAAAATCACAAGCATTCTTATACACCAATAACAGACAAACAGAGAGCCAAATCATGAGTGAACTCCCATTCACAATTGCTTCAAAGAGAACAAAATACCTAGGAATCCAACTTACAAGGGATGTGAAGGTCCTCTTCAAAGAGAACTACAAACCACTGCTCAATGAAATAACAGAGGATACAAACAAATGGAAGAACATTCCATGCTCATGGGTAGGAAGAATCAATATTGTGAAAATGGCCATAATGCCCAAGGTAATTTATAGATTCAATGCCATCCCCATCAAGCTACCAATGACTTTCTTCACAGAATTGGAAAAAGCTACTTTAAAGTTCGTATGGAACCAAAAAAGAGCCCGCATTGCCAAGTCAATCCTAAGCCAAAAGAACAAAGCTGGAGGCATCACACTACCTGACTTCAGACTATACTACAAGGCTACAGTAACCAAAACAGCATGGTACTGGTACCAAAACAGAGATATAGATCAATGGAACAGAACAGAGCCCTCAGAAATAATGCCACATATCTACAACTATCTGATCTTTGACAAACCTGACAAAAACAAGCAATGGGGAAAGGACTGCCTATTTAATAAATGGTGCTGGGAAAACTGGCTGGCCATATGTAGAAAGCTGAGACTGGATCCCTTCCTTACACCTTATACAAAAATTAATTCAAGATGGATTAAAGACTGAAATGTTAGACCTAAAACCATAAAAACCCTAGAAGAAAACCTAGGCAATACCATTTGGGACATAGGCATGGGCAAGGACTTCATGTCTAAAACACCAAAAGCAATGGCAACAAAAGCCAAAATTGACAAATGGGATCTAATTAAACTAAAGAGCTTCTGCACAGCAAAAGAAACTACCATCAGAGTGAACAGGCAACCTACAGTATGGGAGAACATTTTTGCAATCTACTCATCTGACAAAAGGCTAATATCCAGAATCTACAATGAACTCAAACAAATTTACAAGAAAAAAACAAACAACCCCATCAAGAAGTGGACGATAGATATGAACAGACACTTCTCAAAAGAAGACATTTATGCAGCCAACAGACACGTGAAAAAATGCTCATCATCACTGGCCATCAGAGAAATGCAAATCAAAACCACAATGAGATACGATCTCACACCAGTTAGAATGGTGATCATTAAAAAGTCAGGAAACAACAGGTGCTGGAGAGGATATGGAGAAATAGGAACACTTTTACACTGTTGGTGGGACTGTAAACTAGTTCAACCATTGTGGAAGACAGTGTGGCGATTCCTCAGGGATCTAGAACTAGAAATACCATTTGACCCAGCCTGGGTATATACCCAAAGGATTATAAATCATGCTGCTATAAAGACACATGCACACGTATGTTTATTGTGGCACTATTCACAATAGCAAAGACTTGGAACCAACCCAAATGTCCAACAACGATAGACTAGGTTAAGAAAATGTGACACATATACACCATGGAATACTATGCAGCCATAAAAAATGATGAGTTCATGTCCTTTGTAGGGACATGGATGAAGCTGGAAACCATCATTCTCAGCAAACTATGGCAAGGACAAAAAACCAAACACCACATGTTCTCACTCGTAGGTGGGGATTGTATAATGAGAACACGTGGACACAGGAAGGAGAACATCACACACCGGGGCCTGTTGTGGGGTGGGGGAAGGGGGAGGAATAGCATTAGGAGATATACCTAATGTTAAATGACGAGTTAACGGGTGCAGCACACCAACATGGCACACGTATACATATGTAACAAACCTGCACGTTGTGCACATGTACCCTAAAACTTAAAGTATAATAATAGTAATAAAAAAAGAAAGTACAGCTTTAGTCATCAACTATGTGAAAGCCTCTCTATGCTGGGCATCTGAGAACTGCTGGGCAGACATCGGTCTTTTCAGCTGGGTTGTTTCCAGCTGTCTCATTGAATACAAAGGCAAGTTATGAATATTGAAAGTGCCTTGAGATTAGGAACAATGTGTTAGACAGTGAGATTTTTAAGAATAATTCATATTTAGCAACAAATGAGTTTGCATTGCAATCATTTCTTGACAAATATTTGTTACATGCTCATTACATGCAAGTATAATTTTGTAATGTGTGTACATACCTATTCAACATTATGACTGTTTTGATGAGCTATCTACAAAATATTTTTGTTACTACATTTGTTTATAGATTAAAAGGGCCAAAAATGATCTGGAGGAACTTACAGTTTTGTTTTCTTTTTCCTATCTCCAAGTAGAAATGTTAAGAACTACACATTTGGATTCCCAGAATTCTAAAATAGTTTTAGGGTTCTTGCCCTAGGGAACCCCATGAAAAATTGGAGCACTCAACCGCCTGTGGCAAGATAGGGACAGGTGGCATGGGAAAGTGTCTCCAGGCTCTCAGCTTCCACTGTGCCCTTGCAACACCTGGCCCAGTGGAAACATGCTGGCAACACCATCATGCCCCTTGGGGACATGTATTTTAATTTTAAAACAAAGTGATGTATATGGCATGTGCCTCAATTGGCACCTTCTGCTCCCAGGAAGAAGGAGGTCTCTGGAGTAGGCCAGGATGTTGGTTTCCATGTAGAGAGCATTCCAAGGACAGGAACTGACAGGGAAGGACAGGCCCTAAGAAACCAGAGTAGGCCGGGCGTGGTGGCTCACTCCTGTAATCCCACCCCTTGGGAGGCCGAGGCAGGCAGATCGCATGAGGCCAGGAGTCCAAGACCAGCCTGGAAAACATAGCAAGACCGTCCTCTCTGTAAAAAATAAAAATAAATTAGCTAGGCGCATGGTGGTGCGTGCTATGCCTGTGGCCCCACTACTCAGGAGGTTGCATTGGGAGGATCACTTGTGTCCTGGAGGTCGAGGCTGCAGTGAGCCATGATCACACCACTGCTCTCCAGCCTTAGTGACAGAGCGAGACCCCATCTCAAGATAAAAGAAACCCGAGTAAAGTATGTATAGTGGGGGTAGGGGAAAATCCTTTTTGTCTTTAATGTGTCAAGAGAGAAGCAGTTTTTTAAAAAAGTGCAGACACAAGATTTGAATTAGACAAACCTAAGTTGAAATGCTGGCTACATTGGCTTAATAGCTGGATGACTTTGAGCAAGTGGTCTAGAAGTTTTCTCATCTTTGAAATGGGGATAGGAATAATGACCTTGTCTGCTTGTTTAGATAATTAAATGTGATAATTTTTATAAAATTCTCTTTAAAAGGTGTAGACTGAAAAGTCATAAGACTTAGCTTATAAGGCTAATTTGGACACTCAACTAGCTTGGCCACATATTGAAAGTTTTGAGAATCAATTGCCTCATCTATTACAATGGAGTGGGGGAAGAGAGTCATAACATTACCACATGCCATAAATGAAATCTAAGTAAGACTGTTAATAACACAGGATTGGAAAAAGGGAAACAGTTGCAGAATTCTCCAAGGAACCAATAAAGCATATGAAACAGAGAGTAAACTTGAAAATAAAGCATAAACCAAATTTATGATTTTTCCCCTTTATGCCTCTTCAACATGGGACAGTGGCAGATTTAAAAGTATATTTATATGAAGGAATTACTCTCAAGGGATAAGAGCCATCCTTTTGTGTTTGGTAAAAATTAAGGATGAGGTCCAGAAGAAAGGAATAGGAGAAGTAAAATATAACAGCCTGGACCTATTGTGATGTAAATGAGCAACAGTCTGTATATATATATACACACACACACATATACATATATACACATATATATATACATATATACACATATATATACATATATACGTATATATATACACACATATATGTATATATATGTATATATGTATATATATGTATATACATATATATACGTATATATTATATATATATATATATTTTGAGACAGGGTCTCACTATGTTACTCAGGCTGGAGTGCAGTGGCACAATCATGGCTCACTGCAGCCTTGACCTCCTAAGCTCAAGCGATCTTCCCACCTTGGCCTCCAAAGTAGCTAGCACTACAGTTGCGCCATGCCTGGCTAATTTTTTTTTTATTTTTTGTAGAGATAAGGTCCCACTGTGTTGCCCAGGCTCGTCTCAAACTCCTGGGCTCAAGTGATCCTCCCACCTTGGCCTCCCAAAGTATTGGGATTATAGGCATGAGCCACTACACCAGGCCTGTTCCTAGTTCTTTTTAAGTCTCAGGATGCAGCTAACTTTACCCTCTGGGGTGGTGTCTCTACTAGGAAATGGGTCCCTCCTTTGCAGAGGCTAGGGGAGATTGATGAGATAATGTCTGCAGAGTAGCCTAATCTCCTTGGGAGATTAAGGCTCCCTCTGCAAGTGTACATTTTGATCATTATGACTATCTGTGCCTCTGTGAAATACTGCCAAAGAGAACAAGAAGAGCCTGCCAGAAAGAGAAATTTTCCGAGGGTGAGAGATGAAAAAGAAATGGAATGAAAGGTGAGATTTTAAAAAATAGGAAAAGAAGGAAAAGTAATTGCAAGAAGAAAATGAGAACAATTATATAAACAGAGATTGGATCCAAGGACACATGGCCAAAATCCCAGAATCAGAGGAAGGCTGGTGGTGGTTAAGAAGAAAAACACAACAAAACCTTTGAGAGTTAAAATGCTGAATTCTCCAGGGGTGATCAGAGAAGTTCCAGAATAGAAGCTTCAGGCAGACACTACAGAAATGAAAAGAAATGAAAAAAAAAAAAAAAAAAAGCAAAATTTCCAATAGGTCTTTGCATTTTTGCCTCTTTTCTCTCCTAGGAGAGATTTTTCTATCCTAAAATATTGGATATCACTGGGAGAAATGCATGTGGAATATAAATAGTAATTATGAATTTCTGAGCCTATTAAAAATGTTTATGTTTCTTGTACACAATGCCCTTCCTTTTCAATGCATTCACCTGTGCTCTAGACAAAGCCACTTTCAGAGTACTCCCTCTTTTCACTAAAATGAGATTGGCCTGGACCAGGTTGTCTTGTGCATCACAGCTGATGAATGGCATGCATTTCTGTGGATAAGGCAAATGGTCTTAGTTATTTCAAGAGTCCACATGGGAAACATTTATCACAGCAGTGGAGCTAACATAGACCGTTTGCCTGCAAATGTTGATGGATTGGACGATCGCGTTTCTATTTGCTCAGAGATAGGTAGAAATAATTTCATACTGTCTAAGATTATTTTTGAGTTAAAACAAAAAGTAGCCTAAGAACAAACATGAACTTTGGTATGGATATTTTCCCTAAATAAACTTAGCGGTTGATCAGTTTTGCACTTGTTTGTTGTGAATATAAATTAGGATTGTCTTTTTTCTACCAGAAGCATCTTGAGATCCACAGAACAGGTGACTTGGGGTCTTGACACACTGTTAAGGAGGTAGAGAGTCAACTCAGGTAGTAATACCCAATACCTTTGGGCCAGCCCTTCTTGCTTCCTCCTTGTTGCCTGGAGGAAGAAAGGGAGGATGTGTTTCTGGAACAGTCATTCCTGGATACTGGTTCATTGGAAGCTTCCCAGTGATGTCGCATGTGAGGCATTTACCCAACTGCTTTAGGGAGCTTGCCAGCCCTGCTGTGGCCAGCTTTTCTATTGTCAGGATTCATAGCCACCACTCCCTCTACTTCCCCACTCTCCCACCTAGGCCCCCACGCCTGCCTTTAGCTTTTCCCCTCCTAGTAAAGAGTTTCCACATTTGTACCTATTTTACGAAGTGTCCAACTAAGTCAAATACTTATTCTCCCACATCAGACCCACCCTGTAAAACATGTAAGCAAATACTTTTAGCTTACCATTTGTTGACTAGATGATGACTTTTAAGTACAATTGACCCTTGAACAACTCAGGGGTTAGGGGTGCTGACTTTCATGACTCACCAAAACTCAACTATGAACGGCCTACTGTTGACCAGAAGCCTTACTGATAACTGTAAACAGTGGGTTAACACATATTTTGTCTGTTTCATGTATTATATACCAGATTATTCTTAGAATAAGGTAAGCTAGAGAAAAGAAAGTGTTATTGGGGCCCGGCGCGGTGGCTAATGCCTGTAATCCCAGCACTTTGGGAGGCTGAGGCGGGTGGATCACTAGGTCAGGAGCTCGAGACCATCCTGGCTAACATGGTGAAACCCCGTCTCTACTAAAAATACAAAAAAATTGACCGGGTGTGGTGGCGTACACCTGTAGTCCCAGCTGCTGGGGAGACTGAGACAGCAGAATTGGCGTGAACCCGGGAGGCGGAGCTGGCAGTGAGCCGAGATTGCGCCACTGCACTCCAGCCTGGGTGACAGAGCAAGACTACATCTCAAAAAAAAAAAAAAAAAAAAAAAAAAAAAGAAAGTGTTATTGGATAATCGTAAGGAAGAGAAAATTTATTTGCTATTCATTAAGTAGAAGTGAATCATCATAAAATTCTTCATCCTTATCGTCTTCACGTTGAATAGGTTAAGCAGGAAGAGGAAGAAGAGGGGTTGGTCTTGCTGTCTCAGGGGTGGCAGAGGCAGAACAAAATCTGTGTATAAGTGGACATGTGCAGTTTAACCCTATGTTGCTAAGAGCCAGCTGTATTCACAGAGCCCTGAGGAAACTAACAAGGAAAATATAAAACATTTGTTTCACCCTGAAAGAACTGTAAACCTGATGCGGAAGAAGAGACTCATTTAAATGTCCAAGTTAGATATTTACAGTCAATGAAACTAGAAGGGCTGGTAGAGACAGCCCAGTTTAACCTCCACATTAACTGTGGCTTAGGGAGATGAGCTGACTTCCTGATTCTTAATGTAGTTCTTGTGTTCATTTAACAAATATATGTGAGTGCCTACTGTGCCTCAGATATGGATGTGATCCCTAGTTAAGTCAGCTAACAGAGCCTAGAACTGATAGACAAGTCACCAGGCAAATTAGCAAAAGGAATGGGGGTTGTAAAGAAATCTGTGGGAAGAGCACCTGACTTTGCCCCAAGGGTATAGAAGAGCACAGTCCAATAAAATTATAACATGAACCATGTATGTTATTTTAAATTTTCTGGTAGCCATATTTTAAAAACAAAAACAAACTGCTAAATTTTTCTTTTAATATGTTTTGCTTAACCCAACGTGTCTAAAATATTATTTCAATATGTAATCAATTTATCAAAAATATTGAGACTTTTTATATTTTTTTCTTCCTACTAAGCCTTGGAAATCTGCTGTGTATTTCAGATTTACAGCACATCTCAATTCATACTTGCCACATTTCCAGTGTTCAGTAACTACCTGTGATGAGTGGCTACCATATTGAGCAGAGCAAATTGACAGAAAGTTTCTTGGAGGATGAACAATTAAACCAGAATAATAAGTTGTTAGTTGGCAGAATGAATGGAGAAGAAAGAGTTGGAGAAATCTAGGCCTGAGAGACCAGCAAGCTGAAACACTCTAAGGTTAAAGAAGGCAGTATCTTGCAGAAAATGCATGGAATTCATTGTGGCCTCTCTTGAAGAACAGGGTGGCCATTTATAAAGATGAGGAAGTTAGGCAGAGGAGTAGGTTTGGGGGAATGAACATGAGTTCAGTTTTGGATGTGTTGAATTTAAGATGTCTACAGACAACGAAGTGGAGGTGTAAGGTGGTAAAAACTACAGGAATTCAGAGATCCCACTGTGAATTGGGCTATAGCACAGAAGCTTCATAAGGGAGGTCAGCATTTTAAAGGATGGGTAGCCAATGTCATTTACTCTAGAGGGGCTGTAGGTTATATTGGGTTGGAGTTCTCAGTTTTTGCCATTCAACATGGAGAAAGGGAGACAACAAAGTTAAGTATTAAAATCATCAAAACTTTATGGATCCCAATTTAGCCTGTATGTATCATTCATACCTCATCATCTTCTATAAACAAAGTAGGAGTTCTTGTTATAGTTTCTTGTTATGCTAGAATGGCATTTGGATATAGAATGGAGACCTTTTATTAGTATATTATATTCTAATCCTTCATGAAACCATGGTTCTTTTTGTGTGCATTAGGGGAATTTTATAAATTTTAGGCTGTTATTAGGAAAGATCATTCACAAAATGCAGAAGTTTTACTGTATTATTTTGTGAACCCATGCTGAAGTCAAGTAAATTAATTTTAAGCATCACACTTATTAGTCATTTTTATCCAAATTGTTTCTAAGTTTTTAAAACACCCTCTAAATTTATGTACAAACTTCTTATATAGAATCTAGGTATGGAAAAAATTAAAAATTTTAGATTTTTTTTTACTGGGGAAAATCAAGTGAAAGACAATGCTATATCCCTAAGTATTAACTTTAAGTAAATTTAACATTTCTTCTATGAAATTAACAACTAGTAGGACGTGTACGGGCTTACGGGACTCACAACTGCAAAAGAATGGAATTTGCAGGGCTGGTATAATGACAGTAAGTGAATGAAATGCTGAGCATTAGAATATACAATGGATGAATATGATCGTCCATTGTAAAGGAAAGGATTTGACTTAGTCTCCCTTCTAGAGGCAATGACAGAAGATATATCTTTTTATTCCATTCCTTAAAAGATACACATATAAAGGAGGAAATTTTTAAAGAAAGAAAAAAATTAATTGCTTACAAAATGCAATTACTGCCTCTTTTTCCTGCTGGGTCTTTAGAGCCCAGCTAAGACTGTAAAATACCAGATGAATGGGATTGCTGGAGCAGAAGGAGAAATACACAGCCCATAAACCAGCATGCCAGTGGCTGTGCCATTGGGTTGTATGCATTGGAAAGCACAGAGACTGTGCTCTTTATCTCTGCTGCAGTAAAGATTCACCAAGGATTGGTTGTGCTAATATCAAGTTATTTTATGGCTGCAGTTCATTATGGAGCCTCTTGCAAAATCCCTGTCAAACAAAATGGCTGTCAGAGACACTTTTGTTTTGCTGCCAAAAGCACCATTTGGTTTCTGCTCATTTAGTTACAGGTACAATCAGATGTTTGCTTCTTGCTCTCGGTAATTTCACTGTCCTCAATATAATGGCTTCAGTTATGCCCTAGAAAAACCTCTAGAGTTCAGTTTCATTCCACCCTGTTTATTGAGCTCCAAGTTTAGACAAATCCCTAAACTGGTGGCACATGACTTAACTCAAATGAGTAAGGAGGCTCAGAACCTCGTAAGATAACTAGTATAACTTATAACACAGTAAATGAAGCCACATGGAGTTGTGCAAATGGTGGCCCTGGAGATAAATCAGTCATTTAATTTCTCTACCTACCTATGTATGTATCTATTGTTGACTGTAATATAAGATGCAATTGAAGTGCTGTGAGGCAGGTACTTACTACTCGATAGCAGGGGTTGGCAAACTTCTTCTGTAAAGGTCCAGATGGTAAATATTTTAGGCTTTGCAAGCCATACAGTCTCTGTCACACTGCTCAATTCTGCTGTTTTTGTGTGAAAGCAGCCATAGATGATACTTAAACAAGTGGACACTGGGCCAAGGCCACCGGATGTAGTTTGCTGGGCACTGATGTGGAGAGTGGAGGGAGGAGATGCCATTATTGGATGTGAGAGTCAAGCCTTTGTGAAGGAAGTAGTACAAGAAATGATTCTAACAGGATGTGTAATATTTCTGTAGGAATATCTATTTGCAATCTAGTTTATTCTTGGTTGTTCTCAAATTATTGTGTGTATAATAGTTTTCTGTCATCAACTTTTGTACATGTTCTTCAAATAGTGGGGCCAAGTGATCATTTTGCATTCCTACTGAGTTTAGATGAGTTCCAAGATATGATATAGGCTCAATGAATCTTTTTGGAGAAGAATAAGGTAGGGGCTTCAAGGGAAGTTTCCCAGAGGTTTCAATCTGATTTGCTAAAGAACCAAAGCCGTAACCAAAGATTAAGGACAAGCTATATCTTTTGTATTGTATGCGGAGTTGTGGATGCTGATAGACCTTCTTAAATAAATGCTTAACCCAGGAGTCTGCACAGAGAAGGGAATCCTAGACTACAAGGGAGGCTCTCCGTTAATGTTAGAAGGAAATAAATTAGAGCTTCATTTCACTGGCGGTCACCATGGTCGTGTATAAAAATCTGAGATCAAGACCAGGAGTTTGAGACCAGCCTGGCCAACACTGCAAAACCACATCTCTACTAAAAATACAAAAATTAGCCAGGCATGGTGGCATGCACCTGTAATCCCAGCTACTCAGGAGGCTGAGGCATGAGAATCGCTTGAACCCAGGAGGTGGAGGTTGCAGTGAACCAAGATGGCGCCATTGCACTCCAACCTGGGTAACAGAGGGAGATTCTTTCTCAAAATTAAAAAAAAAAAAATCAGAGATGACTATTAATGTGAAGTGCAAGTTTTGTTCAGGAGCCATATTTTGTTTTGTGTTGCTATCTATTGTCAAACCAGTGCTCATTAACTCTCTTGCCTTGACCTGGGTCTCCCAAGATCAGTATCAGGTAATGAATGGGTACCAACTTCCATCTTGGCAAATCCCTGCCAGGCCAGGGAGCCCCAGGTTGAAATCTCCAACAGGGATAGTTAACATCCTGTTTCAGGAATGTATAAGGGGCTGGCAGAGATTTGCCAGGATGGAAGTCAGCATCCACTCCTTACCTGACACTGACCTTGGGAGACTATGCTCAGACTGTGCTCCCTGAGCCAGCAGCTTCAACACCACCTGGGAGCCCATTAAAAATGCTGAATCCTGAGCCCCACTCTAGGCCTACGGAAACAGAACCTGCATTTTAACAAGATGCTCAGGTGATTCTTATGCACACTAAAGTTGGAGAGGCCCTGCTATAAGGGGCACTTTTCATTATGAAAGGCTTTTCTGCACTTTTCTAATAAAGGTAACAGCTAGCTGCTAAAATCTCCTTCCTGGAAACATTCACAGTTGCAGATACATTATCATTGTCAGCTGGAGAAGATTTTGAGAACTTGTCTAAACTTAGCAAGTCATACATGGTTACAATATAGCTGTTTCCCACAATTTGTAACTCTGTGCTCTTTGTAAATAAATGTCTTCCGTACTGTGGAAATCATTATTCCATGATATAGAAATATTGAGAGCTTATTGTCTTCTTAGTGTTTTCAACTCATTTCCTCTTCATAACACATCTCAGGAAAATATATGATGGTTTTTGTCCTGATTCATAAAATGATTATGTTTGGACATGAAAAGGTAGCAGGGCTCACTTGAGCCTATTATGTGGGTTAGGGCAAGGAATTTCTGGATCTTTCTCTGTGTTCAGTGATAACATGCCTATCATTGGAGCAGATGGATTGAAAAAATATCAATGAACTCCAAATGGAAGCTGGGAATGATGGATGAAAACTAAGAAACCCTAATATGGTTACTAACAGCATCACTTACCTTGCTATAGATTTTTTATTATAAATGTCATAATAAATATAATTGTTATTGAAATTGTTATGGAAATGTGAGACCAGAATGGGAAACTATGAAAGTTATAAAAGAATGTGGGCCTTCTCTTTCACCTCCAGAGTTTGAGGTAAGCACCAGCTCTTAGAGATTTTCTAAAGACATAAACCATAAATCTGTTTTCCCTATATGCAGCAAGGAGGCATGATGGTCATATTTTCAGCTCATACTCAACACTACCTCTTCCTCTCTCTCTACTTTGTATTAGGTTGTTCATTCCTTTCAGGGCGGGGACTTGTCATCTGTGTCTGTCACAGTTCTACTCATAAAATTGTGCTCAATAAAAGGGTTTCTGTATGAACAAAACAAAAATAAATAAGTGCAGAGTGATATTGGATGGGAAGTATCTGCAAATTGGTTTCCATCACTACTGGAAAGTCCCCACATTATCCTTATTTATATCTTTTCTAACTGCAATGTTTGCAGTTGTTTAAAGACAAAAAAAGAAAAGGAAGAAGAGAAGAGAGAAGAGCCGAGAAGGAGAAAGAGAAAGAGTAGTAGGGAGGCCCTGAGTGATAAATATCTATTTTCAAGTGTATATGTTTGTATGCCCTATGAGGCTTGGTGCACTTTCTATTCTTACACATTTTTGATGACCTTGGAGATGTATAGATACTGAGAAATCTAGTGAAATTATATATTTTCCTTTAACATCTAAGCTGGGAGTATTAAAAAGAATCATTTCAATTTCTACACTTCAAATACACATTTGTTCCTTCTATATTAATAGCTTCAGAAAATTATGGGATACCATGGAAATGCATGATGAATTCAGGGTTGGGATGGGGAGAGACAATGGTCATGGTAAATAAATGCAGGAACAAAGCTGTGAATCTCTTCATTAAACAATTTTAAAAGAAAAGCCACCAGAAATCTTCCTAGAATTAGATAAAAATAAAGTACACTAGGTTTATGTGTTTTGTTTACATTATATATAACCCATTAAAAATATTGCAAATGCATTCTAACTCTGGGGAAGGAAGCCAGACAACATATTTTAGCACCAGTGCATTTAGGTGTACCTAAGTGGGCTGTAACTTTCCATCTTACCTTCTTAATTATGTCAGCAGGTTTACTATAAACACCTGCTCTTTAGGGATTATAATTCAGCAGTAAAGAAAGGGTCTCCAGCAGACACTGAGATAGCAAGCCAAACTCAAACATGTTTTTGATAGAAAATAGGCACTTTAGCTTGGAGAACTACCAGCCTTTGGTAGTTTAAAAAAATGTGAGTAAGGCTAAAACAATGGTGGACATTATTAGATATCATACCACTTGATAGTAAAGCTATCTTACAACATCACATTTGAAAACCTTTAAATATCAGCTTGTGATACTGTTTCCACAAGCCCCAAAGAATCTTGATTTGAATTTTGGAAAGCAGCCACTAGAGTGAGTTTTTCCATTATTGTTTTGGACTGCCAGCATATTGCATATTTGAAATACCATTCCTCCAAATAGTGGCCCTATTTACAAGACAAGATCAATTGTTCAGAGATTTAAAACTCCCCATAAATATGCAGGTATGTGATGGGTTGAACTATAATGTTCTATCTTTGGGTCAAATGCTATGGAAAATAGAATTTTTTTTTTCATTTTCCCTGAGTGGTGAACTGTTACTTCAGTGAAAAAAAAGTTTTGCACAATTTGTGTATCAGAGTCTCTTCCAGTCCTGTTGAAGATTACGGCCTTTGAGAAAGAAACCTGGTTAGTCAACCGAGGTGAACATTTTGGAGCTTGAAGGGACTTCTGAAATCATGTAGTCTAGCCCCTTCATTCTAAAAATAAGAAAATAGAAGGGCAGAAAAATAAATGACTTTCTCAAGGTGACACTATAAATCAGAGGTCAGCAAACTATGGCTCGAAGGCCACATGTGGATTTGTTTTTGTAAATGAAGTTTTGTTGGAACACAGCCATGTCCGTTAGTTTCCACATTGTCTATGGCTACTTTTGATACAATGGTGGAGTTGAATAGTTGGTACAAAGAGCTTATGACTCATGAATCTGAAAATATTTAGTATATCTGGCTCTTTACATAAATTTGCTGATCCCTACTATCAATGGTAGACTTAGAACTTAGCCTCCTCAGAATAGTTTTTAGGAAATATTTTGGTTTCCTTACTCAGAAAGAATTTAAGAACTTAATGGAATGGGAGATAATTATTAAATAGATATACTTTTAGGATTCTAAGTTTTTAGGCAAAGTCAAGAAGATTAAGTAAACTACAGTCTAGATAAATATAGGTTAACCCATAAAATTCAAAAATAATTAAAATACATGCCCATGTCCCCAACAAACAGTGAGAATATAATCTTCACAATGAATAGCTAAATCGGAAAATGTTTGAATATTTCGTATACATGTTCAAGGGAAGCCAGTTGGATTTGGCTAAGCTTGGTGAGTAGCAGTATTAGGTTATGAGTCATCCATAAATAAGTGAAATGTGAAGATGAATTTTATCTCTTAAAATGATGAGTGTTTGCAAAAGTGTTTTAACAACACATTTGAAAATTAGATTAGGCCATTTGGCAGATTCAACAATGCTGTGTTTCATTAACTCTGTAATCACTGTCAAGTTCTATGACATGATGCATTTGGTGGGTCCTGAGAGCAATACACAGGTTCCATATTACCGCTAAAGGCAACAGACTGGGTCCTAAATGAAGCAAGAAAAAGCATTTAATGATTGGTATGGGTTAAACTGTTGTCTGTGTGGGATAGTTTGAGGAATGTAAGGAAGATTTCCCTCTCTCCTGAATTTCCCAGCATGAACTCCTAACTGAGAAGTTTCAATTAAAGCTCAGGATTCAGGGGACAACCCAGAGCCAGGACAACGTCCAGGTTGGGTGAGCCATGATGCCTGCCTTCTTCAACAATGTTATAAGTCCCATAAGTGTCCAGGAAAGCAAGCACCCTATCTGCTTGTCACAGCTCTAGTCCTACAAAAGGACTGATACAAGAGTCCTCAATGAAACGTTTTGAATGAGTGAATGAGCAAATGTAATGTCATGAGGGCACTGGATGCTTGAAAAAGAGAAATAGAGCTCTCAGACTACATTCTATCCCACACAGCGGGAACTGTATAGTATAGGGTTGCTATATGCAGTACGAGACTGACCATGGAACCTTGCAAAATTTACCTCTCACAGTTCTGGGGCCAAACTCCCCCTTTTATAATAAACCATTCCCACGATAACAGCATTAATTCATTCATGAGGGTGGAGCCCTCATGACTTAAACACCTCTTAAAGGTCCCATCACCTCCCAATACCACTGCATTGGGGATCAAATTTCCAACATGTGAACTTTGGGGGACACGCTCAAACCATTGTAGATGCTAGGCTAGAAGAAAAAAGTCTAAGTTAGGTGATCATTGGTGTTTATTTTACGTGTCAATAACTCTGGTTTTGTCTATTCTGTTCACTGATGCATTCCAAGCACCTAGAACAGCGTGTGGTACAAACTAGGCATTCAATCAATATTTGTTATATGCATTAAAGAATGTGTGCAAGTAATAATGATAGCAGCTTTTGATCACCTATGTCATACAGTCCTTACAACAATTCAACAGGATGGTCGGTATTAGTCCTAGTTTTCAGAGGAGAAAGCTGATGTTTGGACAAGGATAAGGAACCTGGTTAAGCTCACACAGATGCTATGAGGTGGCATCAGTGTTCAAATGCAGCTCTGTCTGAATCTAGACTCCATGGTTTGGCTTTTTTTTCTACTTTATTCTTCCCTGATTTTACACAAGTAGTAGCAGGTTGTACATATTTCTGCATATTGATTTTTTTTATTTTAATGTATCTGCAGAGTCTTCCCAAATCAGTACATAAAGAATTTCCTCATTCCTTCTTTTTACAGCTGCATAGTATTCCTTTGTGTGGTTGTGCCATGTTTTATACTGATGAACACTTAGGACAAAATGTATGCTCCTTTCAGTTTGGATAGAGGTTGCTAAATTGCCCTCTATCAGGGATTGCCAAAATGCACTCTGGGCAATATATGGCAATGTGTTTCCCTAGAGCCACACCAGCACTGTATGTTTTCACACCTTCAGTACTTCCTCTCTACAATTTCTCCAGCGATTCCACCAAGAATCCACATGGAATCATAACCGTTTTCTAGTTTCATTTGTTTAAAATAAAATCCTAAGTATGAAAGTAATATATATTCACTATAGGAAAAATATACAAAATTTAAATACACAATATAAAATACACAAAATTTAAATACGCAAGAATTTAAAAAACCACCTTAATCTGACAACCCAGATTTAACCACAGTGTACCCATTCTTCCAGACTGTTTTTCTTGCCTATGCACACAGATTTTTTTTACAAGGTGGATCACATGGTGCACACCCTTTTTGTAACCAACTTTGTTCATTTAACTACATCCTATGGCAGTCGGTCTTCATCTACAACTTTGGTTTAATGTCTGAATGCTATTCCATCATTGGATGAGCTGACGTAGTAGCAAACAACCCCTCTTGTTGAGCTGTTCTAAGGATTAAAAAGAAAGAATCTGTGAAAGTGCCTAGAACAGTGCCTGACAGCAGTTATTCAACAAATGGCATTTCAACACACATGTATTCTTACCCACTCAAAGGCAGAGAACTACAATTTTAATCCTAACATCCTGTGCCAGTATCATCATGTAGCTTGGATTCATTTATTAATTCAATTCCCATTTGAACATCTATCATGTGCCTGGCACTAGTCTGAGTAATACTGATAGAAAGGTAAGGACATTGTCCATCCCCTCAAGGGTGAGTGCCCAGCCTACCACCTGGCATCATATGCTTGGGAAGTATAATAACAGCTACAAACTCATGAACAGGTACAACAGCATTCTAGCAGAAGGAGCTCAAGACTTGACCTGTTGACGGTTCTCACATTTAGCTCTGTGATGCCTCTCTGAGCAATGAATCTTAGCCATTCTACTATGCTATCTCCTCAACAATATCATGCTAATTATATTGTCCTTCCACATTTACAGAGTTGGAGAATTCAGTGAACTAAGAGATGCAAATGCACAGTACAAAATTCAAATGTCCAATTCGGGGCAGGGCTGCATCTAACTTTAATGGCAACCACTGCATGTGATGTCTGGGGACTCTATAGATACATGGCCTCAGACCCTGAAGACATCTGGATTCTGTCACTGGATTGTTCACAAAGTGAGGCTGAACTTTGTAAGTAGAAACTTTTGGAAGAAGACCAGTTAACCCAGATTTAATTATCCTAATAATTCTCCCTGATACCTAATTAAGAAACATAACTAACTCAACAAGCTGTGAGAGGCTTGTGCTGAAAATCATAGATGTATAACTACATAATTAATTTTATTGTGTGGGTTGGTAAATCATGTAATGAATCAGATGAAAATAATCAGAAAAGTATTTCAATTTGGTTGTTAAAATATACAGTCAAATGTCTTTTACCATAGTGAAACTCTTGATTAATAATACATTTCTTCTTGATTAAAATCATTTTGTAATGAATATATTTTTGAGCATCTGCTTTCATGAGGCTTGGCATTAATATTTAAAGTAGTTTTTAACTGTGTGCTTTTCCCCCTTTACTATATTTTCCTGTCCTCCTTGTCATAACAAAAGTGACGTCTTAAAAATAGTTGGTGGGATGATTTTTACTTCTATCTGTGGGGCTTTGAAGTTATTTTCAGGCTATTAATGTAGCTTTCCTCACATGTACCTGTGCCAAAACCTGCTAATAAGGAACAGTAGAATGAAAAGCTGCTACCTGTTGTATGAGATCAAAATACTTTGACTACTGTACTGAAGCTTGATTTAATGGAGAAAGTTATGTTCTGAGGGAAAAGAGAAAGCAGCCTGATTCAGGACCTATGTGTGTCTACAGCACGAATAAATGGAATGAAAAGACCTGGTTAGCCGGTTCCTTACTGATTCATGGGGGCAAGAAACTGTACAGGACAGTTTCTCCCTGAGGGTCATGCCAGGGACCCTCTACTAACCCCAATGTGACATATCAAGCTGGGCACAAAAGAAACATGGCTGTCTTCAAAACTTGGAGCTTGTTAAATTCATCCAGAACCATCTATTATCATTCATTTTCCTCACACCTCTCCACTTCCTTACCTTAACCCACATTGCATGTCAACCCAAAACATACCTTGAATACCATCTGCTTGCAAATGTAAAATACTATCTTAGGATACCTTGAGGTATCTGTAGGGTTTGGGGTTCTATAATCCAACCACCATTTACAGCAAGCTAAATGAGAATGCTATATAACCTTGGGTTAGTCTGAAAATAATCTTTGTGAGTCCACAAAGATAAGAATGATAAAATTCTGGATCGTGTTTTATTTTGTTAGACCTGTATAGTATCATGCAATGTCACCGATGAATGACCGAATGCATAGAGCTTTAGCTTTGGTTTTCCCATATCTGAAATGAAGATAATGCATTCCTCAACACCAAGTCTCAAAGGATGCAGCTTATTCCTGGCTACCTGTCCAAAATATTACCAGATACATAAGAAAGCTGATAAGTTGTTATCACACTTATTTGTGGCACAGTGTAAGTAATATGGAGTTTGGAGTAGAAAGTCTCAGGGCTCAGTAGATTGCTGTCCCTATTAGGCTAGTTATACACCCTTTCTGTGTCTCAGTTTCTTCATCTTTGAAAGGGAAATAATAATGCAGGCGCCTGTTGCGTGCTGAGGCAGGCCTGTGAGTATCCTAAGCAGTTATATCCTTAGAAATGCTGCGTGCTACTCTTATTAGTATGACCATTACTGCTTACAACACAATGTACCATTTGATGAGACTATTCTAAATGAGTCAAGCATTGTACTTTAGAGCTTTATGTATCTCATTTATCTGCATAACATCACTGTGAGCTAGTTGTTATTATTTCCATTTTACACATAAAACTAAAACCCAGAAAAGCCAACCTGTTAAGTGGCAAACCTGGTATTTGAACTCTTTCCCTCTGATGTAAAGATATGTTGTATTTATCACTATTAGACTCTAAGCAGAAACCTTGAGAATGCTTGGTTTTATGTTTTATTCAACTAAGGTTTATTGAGAACCTGCTATATACCAGGTACTATACTAAGAATTGTGCATTAATTACATTATCTTCTTGTAACAGTCCTATGAGCTAAGCAGGGTTTTTTCATCTTGGCTCTATTGCCATTTTGGCCAGATAGTTCTATCTTTTGAGGGGCTGTCCTGTGTGTTGTAGGATGTTTAGCAATATACCTAGTCTCCTCCTCCCCTCAGTTGTGACCACCAAAAATCTCTAGATATTGCTAAGTGTCCCTTGGGGGCAAAATCACCCCAGATGAAAAACAGTGAGTTAGAATAATTCTACTTTACAGGTGATGAAAACAAGGTACAGAGAGTTTAGAGTAAATTGCACAGGGTCACAAATCTAGTAAGTGGCAGAATTTGAATCTGACTCGGGACTTTGGAACCTGACCTCACATTCCTTCTCCCCTACGGCATCCCTTTTTCTGATACTGCCATGTTTCTAAGGAAACTCAAATACCAAAGAGGCCTCCAGGTGGCTCCTGAAAGCCTGCCTTCTCCTAGGGCGAGCTGGCCATCGAGATTTTGTCCAGGACTTAGAGGCATGAACGCAGGAGGAAACCATGGGTTGCTTCCACTAATGGTTGCAATACAAATCGTTCCACAACTTTGTCTGTACCATTCATAGCTGCTCTCATTTCCTATCAAGTATGAAGACATTTTTTGTCCAGGAAGGTTTCAATCTGTTGCAAACAATAGATGGGTAAAGCACAAAGTTACAAACCAGTTCAGTCAGTCGCTGGGAGTTTCTGAAGTGACTTAAATAGCCCTGCCAATGTAGGTCGCTATTTTTAAGGCTGAGCTAAGCGTTTGAAAGTGGTTCACACAGCCATGCTCTCAGATAGAAGTCACAGGACATCAGAATTGCAAGAACTCTCAAGGCCTTGCCTGAGCCCGGTGGAAATGGACACTGTGCACCCAGGATCACACAGCTGGGATTTCTGGTAAAAAACTTTCTGATGTTTCCTTCCGCCTTGAGAATGGCTGAACTCATCACCTTCTGACATTCTGGGAAGGTGTGACTGCTTGGTTAAGACCCTTCTTGCCCTGCTCTTGCCAGAATGGAGAAGAATAGATGACCAAGCCTTTCACTGTCTTTCTGTTCTGAGGATGGATTAAAGCCATTCATACTTGCAAAACCACCCAAAGTCCTATATTATAGTTATTTAGCAAAGACTTTATAGCACATACTGAGTGCTTTACAAAATTCACTTAGTATTCTCCCAATGGGTCCTATTGTCATCATTTTACCAAGGAGTAGCTGGAACTGAGGGGGTTAGGGAGATGAAGTAACTTGTTCAAGGTCGTGGAAAATAAACGGCAGAGCCTGGATTGAAGAGAGTCTGGTTCTAACCCAGTGTTTCTCAAACTTGAGTGGGCATCAGCATTGTGTGGAAGCTTGTTAAACACAGATTGCTGGATCACCCCCATCACCCCAGAGTTTTGGATTCAGTAGGTCTTGGGTGGTGCCCCAAAATTTACATCTCAAATTCCCAGGTGATGCCGCTATTGCTGCTCCTGGGACTATGCTTCTCAAACTCTCTGCTCCAGCATATCTGCTCTTGATCACCACATCCTTCCTCTCCTACCTTGTCAGCTAAAAATAAAAAATAATAATAATAAAAAAAAAGGTAGAGTTATGTGGAGCAGTGGGTCGCCACTTTGGCTGACCTGGGTAGTATAAAATACCAATGCCTAGGCCCTATCCCCAGATATTCGGGCTCAGTGGCTTGGCTTTGGTTCCAGGCATCTGTAGTTTACAAGTTCCTCCATGGGGGATTCCAACGTGCAGTAAGGCATCACACTGGAAACCACTGATTTGGGTGATGCCTCACAAACTTTCCAGGGTATATAAATTCCATAGGGATCTCAAGAAAATGCAGATTCTGCATTTCTAACAAACCACAAGGTAATACCCATGCTACCAGATCTCAGCCGAAGCTTGGGGTAGCAAGAACTAGTATTTCCCAAACCCCATGGTTACCAGTTAAAAAATACAGAATGCCTACTTCAATTTAAATTTTCAATAAATAATAACATTACTTTTTGGTATAAGTATATCCTATATATTACAATAAAATTATACTAACATTTATACTAAAAATTATTCATTGTTTATTTGAAATTCAATTTAAGTGGATACTTTTGTTTGGCTTTGCTTTTTGGCTAAATCTGGCAACCCTACCTGAAGACAAGAATCATCTGAATTACTTGTTTCAATGCATTCACACCTACTCATGGATTTCTTGTTCTAATGCAGACCTACTGAATCATAATCATCATTTCTGGGACCTGGTAATCTGTATATTTAACAAGTGCTGCCAGGTGCTTCTTTTCAGCTCAATTTGGGAAGTACATAAAACCCTGGATTATGCCTGCCTGAAATCCTCATACTGGCCGTTGTCAGGGCTGGACTTGTAGTCATCACACTGCATAGGAACCGGAGCCAAATCCCTCTGCAATTACGACCTGTGTCGTTAACTTTTCTCAAGGTTGTTATAGATAAATACTTACAAAGGGTGTTTTTTTTTTCTACTTGCACTTTTAATTTGCTAAATCATACTAAGGCCTTTCAGATCCATGTATTTTTTTTGTCAACACATTAACAGACATGTAGCCATGTTTGATCTTAATTATTCAATTATTTGTTTTGTATCAGGGGATACTCCTTGAGCTAGATTCAGTTGATTTGCATTTGTAGAGTTTTCCAGTATTGGCACTTCATTTGGTATTTTATGACAAGAGGCTTTATTTGAAAACATCTTGCTAAATGGTTGTTAGCTGCTTCCTGAACATACTGTACAGGAAAATGTAGTTTATAATAAAATTCAGCCTTCCTCCAACTCGTTATTATAATGCTATATTTTACATGTAAATTATATTAGGAAGCCTGTGTCTTTCCTTTAGTGATTAAGATTTCATGGAGGGGAAGAAGAATGGAAAGGAAAGGAAAAGGAAAAGGAAAGGAAAGGAAGATAGTTTATTTGTTTTCAATAAGTTAGCCTCCTCTGGGGAAGATAAACTTTCTGACACCGAACATAATTGAGTAAGCCAGAATAAATTGTTGCATTCTCTACATAGGCCTCCTTTCACTCACAAGGATATTCTTTGTGCCATTTCTAACTGTACTATTACTTTTGGAAACATTTTTAATAGAATAGACTGTGTTCATACCTGTAAGTACTTTTCTTGATACCACCTTAGAAAGCATTCAAATGCATTCTCTACTAGCGTAGAGAAATTGGTGGGTTTTTTTGGTTTTGCGTGTGGTTTTTTTGTTGTTGTTGTTTTAATAGTACCTCAGGGTAGCAAATTCATGTGTTCTCTCACTGCAGGGAAGCAGCACATTAAAAAAAAAAAAAACCACCAGAGGAAATTGCCACTGCTGACTTTTGTGCAAAGAAGAGGAACAAAATGCTTGCCATGTCTTTTAGTAGTCAATGGGCCACAGATAATCCTATGGTGGCATTCTACATTTACCAAACCAGTATTAAATTTGTGAACACTTTTTTTCCAACAGAAAAACTGTTCCTACATCCTTTATGAAGGCTGTAGGAAAATGGAAAGGAAGTTAAGAAAAAGGAATGGAGGTGGTTAAAATTATGCAAAATAGTTCATCTGCAGAAAACATGCAGGAAATGGGCTTGTTTCACTTGAGAGGTGTTGGAAGGGCTGGGCTGGGGAGGGATGAGTTGCCCAGTATCCTGGGGAATTAAAAGTCTGAAAGGCCGAGACCCCTGCTTTGGATGTTTGCTGCGGAAGAGCCACCACATGAGGTTGTTCAGGGTGCACCTAGTGCGAGAGTGCCCAGCTGTGTTAGCCCCTGCCACACTCACTAGCCTGGGTGGGCACCAGGCTGGGGGAAGGGTGCCTGCTCTGCAGTCATCTGACTGCAGGGGGTGCTGTTTCCTCTTTGCAAAGGGCTCACGGGTAGCTGAGACTGTGAGTCCCTGAAAGCATCATCACTGCTCCCTGCCACCAGCTTCGGTGGTGCCAGCCTGGGATTTGGAACCACCCAAAGGCTTTTACAGGCTATGCAGTGAATAACTTCATCTGAAGTGAAAGGACCAAGTGATGAGGGATGTTGAGCCATCCTAAAATAGCATCATTTACTTCCTTCCGAAGTATGGTTAAGGTCTGAGGAAGTCTTGGGCATACATGAGGGCAAGGAGGAATTTCTGCAGGTCCTGGGCTGAGGAGGCTTAGCCAGGATTCAGTGATGCTTCAGAAACTGGACTCAGGCCTCTGGTTACAGACTGTGACTACAAGGCTGCCCATTGCTACTGCTTGTCACATGGAGTTACTTCCTCTTTCTTCTTGATCTTGGAAAGGCAGGCACCTAGAAAATTCTCCAGAACCTACCCTTTCATTTTGCTGCTGAATTGAAGTTGTAAACTAGAAATTGTAAAAGATAATGTGTCGATTTTTGTTGCAACGTTAATTGGGGGTTTGCCCAATCTAAGAGGAGCAAGTCACATTCTCCTTCCAGAGTTTGTCTCAGAAGGAATGTTCAGGAGTCAGGTGTAATGATGCTTTTTTTTTTTTCTTTTCCAGCCACAGGACGAAGTCTTCAGGCTGGCCGCCTCCCTCGGGAACCTGGGGCTTGAGCCAGGTGCCGCCCTATGGATGGGAGATGACGGCAAACCGAGATGGGCGAGACTACTTCATCAAGTAGGTTAAACAGATGGCATGAACAATAGAATCCTTGGCCAATGGACTTCTTTATCTTTGTTTATGAGAATGAACATACTTAAATTAGGCACTCATAGGCATTTGGAGGCCATTACTAAAGCAGCTGGATCTCTTAAGCCAGCTGCTTATATTTCTATATATTTATATATTTATTTCTATACATTTATATTTCTATATATTGTGATGTTGGGTTGCTTCATTCTTCGACAGGCACCATCTTCGAATGACAAGTCACTGTGTAGCATGGTAAGCCTGGCTCAGAGCAAAAGTTTCCACCGTTAAATATTAGGCCAAGTTGTATTCGTTGTCTGAGATTAACAACCGAAGTTGGACATGCAAGAATCTCATTTACAAGGTTTTCTAGGAGTGGTCAAGACAGGAATGCTACTTTCTCATCTGTAATTTTTTAAAAATCAGCTAAAAGGATTATGTACATTATTTGTTTTATTGTAAATTTCTCACACTAACGTTGGCTTAGGTTTTGGATTTTTGTGGTGCTCTGGTTTTTTGTTAATTGTGGTATAGAGAGAGAGAGAAAAAGAGAGAAAGATAACATGAAATTTACCATTTTAACCAGTTTTAGGTGTACAATTCAGTGGCATTAAGTACATCCACAATGTTGTGCAACCATTCGCTACTATCCATTTCCAGAACTTTTTCATGATACCCGAAAGAATCTTTGTACCCATTAAACAATAATTGCCAGTTCCTCCCTCCCCTTACCCCCTGGTGACATCTATTCTACTTTCTGTCTCCATAAGTTTATCTGCTCTAGGGACCTCATACAAGTGAAATTTATATATTTTCTGTCCTTTTGTCACTGACTTCTTTCACTTAGCGTAACGTTTTCAGGCTCATCTATGCTGTAGCACATGTCAGAAGTTTTTCCTTTTTTTATTTTTCCTTTTTAATGTTCCCTTGTGTGGATAGGCCACATTTTGTGTATTCATTCATCTGTTAATGGACATTTGGGTTGTTTCCACCTTTTGTCTATTGTTACTGGTATTGTTATGAACATCGGTGTACAAGCATCAATTTGAGTCCCTGCTTTCACATCTTCTAGACACATACCTAGGCGTGGAGTTGCTGAAACATATGGAATTGTTGGGTCAAAATTAAAGGCTGTGTTTAACTTTTTGAGGAACCACCAAACTGTTTTCTGGAGTGGCTGCAGAGTGGTTTTTTTGTTTCGTTTTTTTGTTTGTTTGTTTGTTTGCAGTTTTGTGAAAAGAGCATTTCTATTTCTCAAAATGGCAAGGGTCCATACTGCCCTTTTTCTCCAACCTGAGCAAAATATCCTTAATTATAAGAAATTCATGAAACAGATTTGAAATCAGGAAGTGTGGTTGGGTCTATCCTGATTATAATAGAGGAGAGATTGGAGGCCAGAAAAAAAAATTATTTCACAACCACATGCTACATTCTTTGTTCCAGCCAAGTTGATTATGGACTGATTAGCCAAACACCGGATCACCGTGAGGTGAGGGGTCATTTTTATAAAAAATATCTGCCAAGATTGTTTCTAGGGGATTTGGTCTTTTGTACCAACCCCCGCGCACCACCACATACAAGTGAGGATTGTTGGAAAGTATCAACAGGGACAACACATGTGAGTGTTGTGGACAGTTTCTCAGTCTCTGAAGCCCAAATCTCTCTCCTTCCCTAGAATTGCTGCACAGGGGACAGGACTCCCACCCCTTCAGAGCACAGTTTCTTTCTGACGTACTTAACTCCTGGGTCCATCCCAGGAAGATCCAGTATGCCCTTGAACATGACTGGAAAGTGGCCCCCTGGCTTCCCAAGGCTTTCCTAAGGATATGCTCACAGAGATACTATCATAGAAATGGCAGTGGGAGCAGGGCCTCCCAGAAACCTCAAAGATTAGAAGAAAGGCCAATAGTTTGGCTCAAACCCCAGAGTTTGAATTCATAATTTCATACCGTTTGTCCAAGTCCCTTAGGCTGCTAGGAAGACAGTATTTTTTAATATTATATTGTACCATCTATTTTGTAACATGGCTATGATTGTGTGCAATTGGCTCAGTTAAGGTGAACTAGATGCTTTGACTCAAAACAATAAAAATTTTGGGCTGAAGAAATATAATTTTTAAAAGATATGGATGATGGGTTTATGAAGGTATGCATCAGACTTCTCTGATTAAAACAGGTGTTTCTTTTCCCCTGGTTGGATTTGGGTTCCCATACATTCCAGGTCATTCCATCAATAGGTGGAAACCCAAACTGAGGCCAACTGGTTAGAGGTTCTGGGAACGTCAGCTAGCTCTGCCTTCATGCATTACCATTAGCATCGCTGACATTTTTAAGAGCCAGCCTGGGTGTCAGTTTAACATTTACACTGGCCTAATGCCCACTGTTAAAACATAAGAGCAAATCAGCAGCTTAATAGAGAAACCTGCACTGATTACTAAATGGCAAGTTTTAAAACCAAAGTCACCAGTGTTATTTTTCCAAATCCATGTGGTTTCATTTTACTTGAAAAGTAAGTTTCTACAGTCCTCTCAGAGAAAGTTTTAAGATGTCAAGAACAGTATTTCTTCGGAAAGTGTTTGTTCTTTATCACTAATGAGTTTTATAAATAATGACAATCATTCTTTTCCTTTCCTTGTTTTTTTTTTTTTTACTTACTAGGTAATGTTTATTACAAAGAGGTATTCTAATTATCAGAGTTCTCGGGAGCCCAGGTTTGCAGTGTGGAATATTTCTGTACTCATTAGTTTTAGAAGTTAAAGGTACAATTTGAAAATTAATCTATGGTTGATAATTAGCACCTTTGCATTGAATTTTTCACTCTCTTGCATATTTTTTGAAAGAGAAATTTAGATGTTTTCTTTTTTTTATCTCGTCTTAGGATGTAAATAACCCCCATCAGACAATTGTTTCTGATGGAGGTACAAGTATTCCAAGTGACAGACAAAGCTATGGGAGGAAGTTGGCTTTTATGTGTTCAAAGTTAGAGTCTAACAACTAAATAATGAGATAATTCTAACATAATGAGTCTTTCAGAACATGGCCCAGGAGAGTTCAAAATGTGCTCAAGTTTCATCTTCCCTCTTCCATACCCAATTATTTAGGGTAGGGCTGGGTAACCTGTTATCTATAGAGTTACTGATTCACGGGGTTAAATGAAGGATGCAATAAACACATGCTAATATATGTTTTTATAATACCGTATAGGCTGCAAACTAATGGTTCTCAACCTTGGCCACACATTGGAATAGACTGAGGATCAGTAAAAAATCCTGATGCCTGGGTCTGGGATTGAGCCTGGAAATAGTGAGTTTCAGGAGCTCCCCAGGTAATTCTAATGAACAGCTATGGTTGCTGCTGTAAAGCACTTGTCAACACATGATCTCATTTATTTGGCTTGAACACAGAAATGATTAACTCCATTTTTCTGGATGGTAGAACTGAGACTCAGCCTATGAGAAGGAACAACTTTTGTTGATATTCTTGGAGAAATATGAAATGCAGTTTTAAGGAACAGAAAACATTGTTTAAGAAATATGATAGATGCAAATTTAAAATTTCTCAGTTCCTTACTATTACCAGTTAAGAGAGAGCAGAGCAGGGGAAGGGAGGAAGACAGATGGAAAGAAAGAAACTACAAGGAAAAGGAAAGAGTCATGGGAGAGGGAGTCCCAATGAGAAATGGATAAAAGAGGGAGAGATGAAGAGAAAGAGAAATGAAGAGAAACAGAGAAAGTGAGATACTCTAAGGTGATTGTTACAATAACAGCATCAATTAATAATAACTTTAGATGTAGGTATAGATGGAGAGGGATGTAGATATATTATAGATCCAATCATAGATACAGATATAAAAATAGATATAGATGTGGACATACATATAGATGATAGAGAATATAGACATTGACGTAAGTATTAATACAGAGATAGATGGGTATAGATACATAGATGGATATAGACTATAGGTATAGATGATAGAGCTATAGATATGGATATGGGTATAGATGATTAGATACAGATATAGACTATAGATGAGTGACTATACAGTCACATTCACCCAGGAGAGTCCTGGTTTATGGGTATCATTCTGAAGTAATTACAGACAGCACCTCCTTTTGCTCTCAAAGTGTTCTGGTTTGGATAACACAAGATAAGGTATTTTAAAAATACATGTTTAAAAGTCAGAGAATGAGGAACACCATTTTTTAGTTAAATTGGGTAAAAATATGCTTGTTTGACTGCAAAGGTAGGGAGAGTTAATGCAAAGTAACATGATTCATAAATCTGGAACTTTGGTTTTGTAAATTACAGGAAAAAATTAAAACATGAGCAAAATAAATATTAAAATACTAGCTGGCAAAATAGATTATTATGATGAGCCAAGTTAGAGTCTGGGGATAGAGATGGGGGTTGGAGAGGAGACTGGAGGGTCAGTTCCGAAGCACATGGCCTGATTTTTCAAGTTATAAATTTAAGAGGCTTTTTCTTGTTGGCCTGCTGGCTTCCTGGCCACCTTCATCCTGTGTACACAAAAAGTAGCCCTGTATGAGGATTGGACAAGACATGCTGTTCTATTATTCTACCAGCAATTCCCACAGTGGGCAATTAAACTGAGTTACTATCTCCTTAATGCAGAATAATTCAACTCTGAATCCTGAAGAGTAGAGATTAGTAATGAGATGTGGAAACTTCCACTTTGTTCTGCAGTATGGGCTTGGCTCAACTTCGGAGTAGTTTAGTCATTCCCATCTGCCAATCTATTCCATGGTCAATGTAAAATGTGTTTTTGGCTTATCTATCTATAGAAAATAATAATCTGAATAAATACAAGTAATTTGTATGCCCTTTCTTATCAACCACAGCAGAAGACAGTCAAGTCAACATGATAGGATTCTGTCATCATGGAAATTAGAAATAGAAAAGCCTTACCTCATTCTTCTGTGTGAGCCCCAAAGTATTTACCCAGTCTAATAGGTTATCTTCAGATATTATTTGGTAGTTCTAGGGCTATTCTTTGGATATTTTTTTCTTGATTTTTACTACAAGATTTCATGAGACTTTTACTGTTATTCTGTGGAGTCCCTTTATCTGTTACTCTGTGGTGAATTCCCTTAAACTTTTTCTCCTCTAAAAAGTTTTTTAAATGTCAAGAAGAGTTAAGGTGTAAAGTTGGGATGTGGATATTGTGGTTGTGCCCATCATCCCCTGTGATATTTTTATATTTGGAGCAGACACCAATTTCCTACTTTATCAAGCCTACGTTTTAATACACACCCAACAAAGGACAAATTGATCTGAGAGATTACACAAGTTGTTATCTTTTGTCTCTGCTAATAAAATGCTGCAGGTCTTTGTGGAAATTAACAGTTGTGCCCATGAAGGAAATAAGAGAAATCTCTTGGTGATAGGTTACTCTGTTATTCTGTGAGGTGTATAAGCATCCAAAGAGTTAATAACTAGCAATATGTTAGAAAACAGGCAGTTTGCCTCATTTTTTGTGGGTGTTTTTGATGAACAATTCTTAAATATGTTGCTTTTGAGTACGCATGATGGGTTCTGCATAAAAAGCAAATACTTGCCTCATGGCAAGAGCAAATGTCATTTGGTTCAATGAGTTCCTAGATCCCAAGCATCCAGTCAAGGGGAGGAAAGTATATTGTAATTTTGGAATGGGGGAAACGAAGTCAATATGATAGTATCATTACATGAAATGAAAGGTAATTATGCCCTGTTAATACAAAAGCTTCCCAGGCTGAACATTAGGAGCTGTTTATTCCCTTCATTGGAGCAGATTTGTTTTCTTTTGAATCTGACAAAGCACCTATCTGCTGAGTTAATAATCACTGCTCCCAGCTGGAAGGTAAGTTTGCAGAGTTGATGGAAGGGCTTTTAACAGGAAAGCTCTGAAATGACTCTATCATTCCAGATCTAATTTGGCATATGGCACAAAGAGCTGTGCTAGGCAAACTTCTGCTTCAGAGGCTGTTTCATTTTCCCTATGTTTCTTCTTGAATGTTTCTTCTTGAAACTTTGCTGGCTTACTTAATCTGGCCTTCACTCTAGGACAAATCCCTGAGTTGCTCTCCTTATTTGTCCAGCAGGCCAGAGTATCTGGAGGGATTGTAATTATCTAAAGTTCCTTGGGCCACTTGACTACAACAGAGTTGGGGCATGTACATTCAAGCCAAGCTGTGGACAGCAGGTTAGCTAGTGCACTGGGTCGCCTCTTTCTTCTCCTATGCTGTATATAGCCCCTAGGGATGTACAGGAGGTGGGTCACAAAGTCCATTCAGTATCACAGGGATGGCCAACCTGTGCAAAGGAGAAGCACCTGGAGGACCAGGTTTCCATCACAGCCTGTAATTGAAATACTAGCTTGGGGCTGCCTGCCACCCTTGATTTTTTTGAGTGGCCTCTGGACCTCTTCTTTCTAGATTGAGCCAACCCTTGCAGAGAGCAATTTTGATGTTATTGCCTAAGGCTGGGGCACAGGCAGAAATTCTGGCCTGTGCCAAATGCCACGTGGGGGTGTGGGTGTTGCTGCCAAGTAAATTGGCTGAGCTTAAGAGGACATGGAATCACCTTGGAGGCAGGTGCCTTTTCAGTATTGTCTGCACTCCAGCATAAAAGAAGGAGAGCAGGGCCAGGAGCGATGTCTCACACCTGTAATCCCAGCACTTTGGGAGGCTGAGGTGGGCGGATCACCTGAGGTCAGGGGTTGGAGACCAGCCTGACCAACATGGAGAAACCCTGTCTCTACCAAAAATACAAAATTAGCCAGGCATGGTGGCACATGCCTTTAATCCCAGCTACTTGGGAGGCTGAGGCAGGAGAATCGCTTGAATCTGGGAGGCAGAGGTTGCGGTGAGCCAAGATCGTGCCATTGCACTCCAGCCTGGGCAACAAGAGCAAAACTCCATCCGAAAAAAAAAAAAAAAAAAAAAAGGGGGGGAGAGCAACTGAGACGGGAGGGCTGGTGACAGAAGTGCCATACTGTGGTCCACCAAAAGGTGGGAAACTGCAGTTCCTGCCAAGCCCTTATCCTGTAGTTCCTCTCAAAGCTTGAATAAAGCCTTGTTATCAATGGCCAATTTCTGGTGAAGAGCTCCTTCAATTGCAAGGATGATAAGAGATCACACTACTCTTGGAGCCAGTGAACACTCGGATCAATCTGAGTCACGAGTAGCCATGTCACATATTTGCTGCACGGAGCATGCCCTCCGGCTGCTCCATAAACACAGGTTTGGCATTAGGTGTTCAGGTTGAGAAGGCTGGGAGAAACTCAGAAATGCTTTTTGAACTTAAAGGGTGCCGCTGAGCACATGGGGCTGGCTCCATGATTTTTAGGACCTGTTGCAAAATGAAAATGCAGGCCCCTTGTTCAAAAAGCAGGATAAAAGTGCTGGAAAAGGTATGAAAATGTAAAGCTTTTCCCCTTCTTCTGTGGTCTCTCTGTTAACATGTCATAGAGTTTTTTATTTCCTATTTAATGACTTTTTTTTTAAGACAAAGTCTCTCTCTGTCGCCAGGCTGGAGTGCAATGACACGATCTCGGCTCACTGCAACCTCCGCGTCCTGGGTTGAAGAGATTCTCCCACCTCAGACTCCTGAGTAGCTGGGATTACAGGTGCACGCCACCACACCCAGCTAATTTTTGTATTTTTAGTAGAGATGGGGTTTCACCATGTTGGCCAGGATGGTCTCAATCTCTTGACCTCGTGATCTGCCTGCCTCAGCCTCCCAAAATGCTGGGATTACAGGCGTGAGCCACTGTACCCGGCCTATTTAATGACATTTCATAATAAGACACATGAAAATTTTAAATTATTAGCAGGAATTTTACTAATCATCCTTGTATGATGAAAGTTTCAGATGAAAATATAAGAGCATTAACTTGTCTGAAGAATCACTGAAATGATACAATTTGTATTTCATAGCTTAGACATGCATATGTCTTTCATTCTAATCAGAACAGTAGAAATGCTGCACACAACTAACTCAATTGTTTTGATTGTACTTCTTAATATGAGCACATCCTACTAACACTCCCTCCCTTTGGCTTGCTGGTGAGTAAGGGAGAACTGAAAGAAAAAGAACAGTGGGCTGCCCTATCTTTCCCTTTCCTTCTGTCATCATTTTCACTGTAAGTGGTTGGCTAATACAGGGAAGTAACACAAGTAAGAAAGGATATGGCAGGGTTCCTTGGTCATTCATGTTTCTTAGAAGGCCATGTCTGTTAACAACTCATTAGCCTTTCACCATCACCTCCCAACCTCACCTCTTGACTCTTTTTAAAAAAGCATTTCTCACATGGCCTTCTCAATAAAGGCTTAGCAAAGAGGAATGATTGCTTTTAGCTGTTGACTCCCTCACAAAGCAATCCCCATGCCCTGTCAAGGATAGGTTTTCTCATAAAAAGATAAATACTTTTCTTCCCCCACCCCAAGGTAATCCTCTAAGCCAGGTCAGCAAACCTTTTCTGTAAATGGTCACATAGTAAATATTTTAGGCTTTGGAGGCCATGTGGTCTCTGTTGTGACTCAACAGTGCAAGTCTGCCATGGTAGTGTTAAAGCAGTCATAGGAAACATGTAAATAAATGGACATGGTTGTGTTCCAATAAAACTTTATTTACAAAAACAGACTGGGGGCCGGATGTGACCCATGAGCTATATAGTACTTTGCCAATCCCTACTCTAAAACATCATCCATTTGAGCCCATTCTTATATTTTTAATTCACTAATTGATAAATTTTCAAAACCCTCCCATGAAATGAGGAGCTGACACATGTTTTATGTTTGAAAGAAACTAGGGCAGAGATTAGTAAAATGACTTTTCTGAGGTTGCAGGGAGCTAAAAATGGACCTCAGAGCCCCAGTTTGTCCTACTTGTTGCCAGAAAGCTCTATGATGTGTCTTCTGTCAGCATGCAGTTCTTGCATAGCTCTGACACCTATGACCTACCTTAAAGGTTGTTCTAGGAACAATGTCAACATTCACCAGAGAAGTACAACTTTTAATATGAAAATGCCATGACTCCTCCCTTCCTTTTGGTGGGTGTTCACAGGGAGGAGGTCTGCTAATCAATCACAGGGTTTGCATCTGCTCTCCCACTCTAACCAGCACCTTTGTGGGAGGGGTACAGAGGACAGGAAATGATAGCAGGGGGCAGCCCAGTCACAATGGAATGCTGAATACAAGTGCAAATAATTATTAGGAAGGTGAAAATTACATAGCAATTTGCGCTTACTAATGGTCGACAGAAAAACAGCCCCATTGTACTTTCAAAAAGTTAATTGTCCATAGTGTTTTGGAAAAATGTTGCTTATTATCATTGTGGAATTTTATAAGGCTTCTGTGTAAATGTCCTTAACTCATTTTTGGTGATATTCTGTTCTAGATTGTTCTCTCAGCTTCTCCTTTCTCTCACCATTCTCCTTTTGCTCCAAGCTCATGAGAGGTTCCTCAGGTGGTTCTTTTTTTTTTTTAAGCTCAACATTTAAACTTCAGTTTCCCACATTATCAAGCCCGCATTCCTACATAAAACCCCCAAAAGGGTAAAGGATTAATAAGTTGAATATGTTGGTACCATTTGGTTTTGGTCCAGAAATTACTGGAGACTCATGGCTATTCTCCTACAGGAGATAAAGGAGACCAACAAAAATCAGTTTGCACTGCCTAGAATATTGTCTGGGAAATAGTATGCAGTTAATAAGTATTTGTTGAATAGATGTTTAGATGTATGTTTGTATCAGTAGATGGGTGGATGAATGGATGGATGGATGAATAAGCCTGTTTCTGAAGCCTTATATTCAGTGGGCCATAAGGGAAAATGCTGATACAAAAATCAGTGAGTATCTCTTCTTAAATTACTGATGTAGAAATGTCACTAGAAGAATTTAGGCATTAGCCAGGTGTGGTGGCTCACGCTTGTAATCCCAGCACTTTGGGAGGCCAAGGCGGGCAGATCATGAGGTCAGGGGTTTGAGACCAGCCTGACCAATATGGTGAAACCCCATCTCTACTAAAAATACAAAAATTAGCCAGGCATGGTGGTGCGTGCCTATAATCCCAGCTACTCAGGAGGCCGAGGCAAGAGAATCACTTGAACCCAGGAGGTGGAGATTGCAGTGAGCTGAGATCGCACCATTGCACTTCAGCCTGGGCGACAGAGTAAGACTCTGTCTCAAAAAAAAAAAAAAAAAAAAAAAAGAATTTAGGCATTTAGTGGGATACACCTTACTCCTGCAAGAATGGCCATAATCAAAAAACCAAAAAATAGTAGATATTGATGTGGATGCAGTGAACAGGGAACATTTCTACACTGCTGGTGGGAATATAAGCTAGTACAACCGCTATGGAAAACAGTATGGAGATTCCTTAAACAACTAAAAGTAGAACTACCATTTGATCCAGCAATCCCACTACTGGGTATCTACCCAGAGGAAAAGAAGTCATACGAAAAAGATACTTGCACATGCATGTTTACAGCAGCACAATTCGCAATTCCAAAAACATGGAACCAACTCAAATGCCCATCAATCAACAAGTGGATTAAGAAACTTTGGTGTATATATATACGATGGAATACTACACAGCCATAAAAAGGAATGAATTAATGGCATTCACAGCGACCTGGATGGGATTGGAGACTATTATTCTAAGTGAAGTAACTCAGGAATGGAAGACCAAACATCATATGTTCTCACTCATAAGTGGGAGCTAAGCTATGAGAATGTCAAGGCATAAAAATGACACAATGGACTTTGGGGACTCAGAGGAAAGAGTGGGAAGCAGGTGAGGAATAAAAGACTACAAATAGGGTACAATGTATACTGCTCGGGTGATGGGTGCGCCAAAATCTCACAAATCACCACTAAAGAACTTACTCATGTAACTAAACACCACCTGTTCCCCCAATAACCTATGGAAATAAAAAAAAAATTATAAGAATTTAGGCATTTAGGTAAAGCCTTTATTTTATAATAAGACACTAAACGTTTATCAAAACCTTGTCACCAATTCATAAGTTAGTGTGGCTGTTTATCAGAAATTCAAGATGCAATAAAATTATCTTTCTGGAAATAGTGTCGTTGCAGTGTATTTTAGCAACAAGTGGCATAGAATAATAAAGCACAGAAATAAGAGTAAAAAAACTTGGGGTAAAATCCCAGCTCTTTCAGTGTTAGCTCTGTGATGGTGGATTATCACTAGGACACTGTGGGCCTCACTTTTCTCATTATACAACAATGTGTTTGGACTAGAAATCTGTATCATCTGGGAATCCTGTGAGGTACAAGCAACAAAAAATTCTAAGTCAATTTGGCTTCAATGATAAAAATAATTTGTTGGTTTATGTACCTAAAAAATAAATGATAAAACTGTTACAGCCAAAAGGAGTCTAAGGATACATGACAACTCAATGTAATATGCTATACTGGTTGGAATTTTGGAACAAATAAAGGACATTAGGTAAAACCTAAAGAAATCTGAATAAAATGTGGACTTTAGTTAATAATAATGTATCAATATTGGTTCATAAATTGTGACAAATGTACCACACTAATGTAAGATGTTAACAATAGGGGAAACTGAGTGCCACATATACAGGAATGCTCTGTACTCTGTAATTTTTCTGCAAATCTAAAAGTGTTCTAAAATAATGTCAGACATAAGAAATACACAAAACAGGATAATGTCAGCAAGATGGCGGACTAGGAAGCTTCAGTTCCTCATTCTCCCACAGAGCCACAAAATTAACAACAAGTTATTGACCAGAATAACTTTGTGAGAATTCTAAAGACCAGTTGAAAAGTTACAGCATCTAGACCAATGTAAAACCAAGAAGGAATTCCAGCAAAAAGGAAAGGAAACTTTTAAAAAGTTTTGCATACCTGTTATCAATGCTTCTCTCCCTATCTGATTTAGGATAGTGCAACTAACAGGAAACCTCCCACCTTGGGAATCCTCTTTTAGGATGAAAACAAAAGAGCGGACCATGCATCTAGCATTTGGGCTAGTCTGGAGGCTGTCTAAGGAACTGGTTCCTGAGTTACGTTACTCAGAGCACTGATGGGACTTGGTGAAGCACTGGTGGCCTTCTTTGGAAGCTGCTGAAAACAAGACATGATCCTCAGGGCATGTTATAGCTGCAGTTCCAAAGGCAGACACCAGCAGAATGTTCACAGGCTTCTAAGAAGAAACAGGAACAACAAGCTTCTTAGGAAATTGGAGATGTTTTAAAGCATAGACACAAACGCAGAGAAGACAGCATATCCTTAGAAAAAGTTTGGAGAGGTCCTAGAATCTATCGCGGAGCTAATCCGTGAAGATTTTTCCCTGCACAAAGTCAGACTATAAAGACTAGGAGAGGTGGTTGTTTCTCAAATGCCCAAGTCTCAACAACAGCAGTGACAAATCCCAAGGCATACTAGGAGAGAGGAAAACCAGGCCCAATCAAAGTGCCAAAATAAAACTCCAGAAACTGACCCTAAAGAAACACAGATCAATTCTCCCTCACAAAGAATGTAAAGTAACTGTACTAAACATGCTCAATGAACTAAAATGGAACACAGATAAACAACTAAATAAATTCAGGAAAATGATGCATGAACAAAATAAGCATATCAACAAAGAGACACAAACTATAAAGAAGAACCAAACAAATTCTGGAAGTGAAAAATATAATAACAGAACAGAAAAAAATTCAAGAGGTTTCAACAGAAGACTGGATTTGACAGAAAAAAAAAACAAACTTAAAGACAGATTATTAGAAGTCATTATTAGAAGTAATCAAGTCAGAGGATTAAAAAGAAAAAAATAAAAGTGAAGAGAGCCTAAGAGACTTACGGACACTGACAGGTAAACCATTGTATGCATGATGGGAGTCCCAGAAGGAAAAGAGAGGGAGTAAGTGTTATTTGAACCAACAATGGCCAAAAACTTTTCAAACTTGAGGAAAAAAAATGGGCATGCAAATTCAAGAGGCTCAAAGAACTACAACCAAGATAAATTCAAAAAGACCCACAAGAAGATGCATTGTAATCAAATTGTCAAAAGTCAAAGACAAAGAATCTTGAAAGCAGCGAGAGAAAAATAACTCATCACATACAAAACAGCTTCCATAAGGTTATCAGTGGAATTACCAATAGATAACTTACAGGCCAGAAGGAAGTGACAAAGAATACTGTATCCAGAAATTGCCACAGCCACCCAACCTTCAGCAGCCCCCACCCTGAACAGTCAGCAGCCATCAACACCGAGGCAAAATCTTCCGTTAGCAAAAAGATTATGATTTGCTGAAGGCTCAGACAATTGTTGCCACATTTTAGCAATGAAGTATTTTTAATTAAGGTGTGTACATTGTTTTTTAAGGCACAATGTTATTGCACATTCAATAGACTATAGTATGGTATGAACATATTTTTTAAGTTCTGGGATACATGTGTAGGACATGCAGGTTTATTACACAGGTAAACATCTGCCATGGTAGTTTATTGCACCTATCAACCCATCACCTTGGTATTAAGCCCTACATGCATTAGCTATTTATCCTGACGCTCTCCCTCCCCCCACAACCCCCAACTACAGGCCCCAGTGTGTGTTGTTCCTCTCCGTGTCCATGTGTTCTCATTTTTCAGCTCCTGCTGGTAAGTGAGAACATGTGGTGTTTGGTTTTCTGTTCCTGCATTAGTTTGCTGAGGATAATGGCTTTGAGCTCCATCCATGTCCCTGCAAAGGACAAGATCTCATTCCTTTTTATGGCTGCATAGTATTCTGTGGTGTATATGTACCACATTTTCTTTATCCAGTCTATCATTGATGGGCATTTAGATTGATTCCATGTCTTTTCTATTGTAAATATTGCTGCAGTGAACATATGTGTACATGTAACTTTATAATAGAATGATCTATATTCCTTTGGGTACATACCCAGTAATGGCATGGCTGAGTCAAATGGTATTTCTGGTTTTAAGTTTTTGACTAATTGCCCCACTGTCTTCCACAATGTTTGAAACTAATTTACATTACCAAAAGTGTGAAAACATTCCTATTTCTCCACAGCCTTGCCAGCATCTGTTGTTTCTAGACTTTTTAATAATTACCATTCTGACTGGCATGAGATGATATCTTATTGTGGTTTTGATTTGCATTTCTCTGATGATCAGTGATGTTGAGCTTTTCTTCATATATTTCTTGGCCACATAAATGTCTTCTGTTGAGAAGCGTCTGTTCGTATCCTTTGCCCACTTTTTAATAGGGTTGTTTTTTCTTGTAAATTTGTTTAAATTCCTTGTAGATTCTGGATATGAGACCTTTGTCAGATGGATATATTGCAAAAATTTTCTCCCATTCTATATATTGTATGTTCACTCTGATGATAGTTTATTTTGCTGTGCAGAAGCTCTTTAGTTTAATTAGATCCTATTTGTCAGTTTTTGTTTCTGTTGCAATTGATTTTGATGTTTCCATCATGAAATCTTTGCCTGTGCCTACGTCCTGAATGGTACTGCCTAGATTTTCTTCTAGGGATTTTATAGTTTTGTGTTTTACATTTAAGTCTCTAATCGCTCTGGAGTCAATTTTTGTATAAGATCTAAGGAAGGGGTCCAGTTTCAATTTTCTACATATGGCTAGCCAGTTCTCCCAGCACCATTTATTAAATAGGGAATTCTTTCCCCATTGCTTGTTTTTGTCAGGTTTGTCAAAGATCAGATCATTGTAAATGTGCAGTCATATTTCTGAGATATCTATTCTGTTCCATTGGTCTATGTGTCCGTTTTTCTACCAGTACCATGCTGTTTTGGTTACCGTAGCCTTACAATATAGTTTGAAGTCTGGTAGAGTGATGCCTCAAGCTTTGTTCTTTTTGCTTAGGATTGTCTTGGCTATATGAGCTCCTTTTTGGTTCCATATGAATTTTAAAGTAGTTTTTGCTAATTCTGTGAAGAATGTCAATGGTAGTTCAATGGGAATAGCACTGAATATATAAATTACTTCGGGCAGTATGGCCATTTTCAAGGTATTGATTCTTCCTATCCATGAGCATGGAATGTTTCTCCATTTGTGTGTGTCCTCTCTGATTTCTTTGAGCAGTGGTTTCTAGTTCTCCTTGAAGAGGTCCTTCACTTCCCTTGTTAGCTGTATTCCTAGGTGTTTTATTCTCTTTGTAGCAATCGTGAATGGGACTTCATTCATGGTTTGGCTCTCTGCTTGTCTGTTATTGGTGTATAGGAATGCTTGTGATTTTTGCACATTGATTTTGTATCCTGAGACTTTGCTGAAGTTGCTTATCAGCTTAAGAAGCTTTGGGGCTGAGATGATGGGGTTTTCTAGATATGGGATCATGTCGTCTACAAACAGAGACAGTTTGACTTCCTCTCTTCCTATTTGAATACCCTTTCTTTCTTTCTCTTGCCTGATTGCCCTGGCCAGAACTTCCAATACTATGTTGAATAGGAATGGTGAGAGAGGGCATCCTTGTCTTGTGGCAGTTTTCAAGGGGAATGCATCCAGCTTTGGCCCATTCTGTATGATATTGGCTGTAGGTTTGTCATAAATGGCTCTTATTATTTTGAGGTATGTTCCATCAATACCTAGCTTATTGAGAGTTTTTAACATGAAGAGATGTTGAATTTTATTGAAGGCCTTTTCCACGTCTATTATCAAATGGTTTTTGTCTTTAGTTCAGTTTATGTGATGAATTATGTTCATTGATTTGCATATGTTGAACCAGCCTTGCATCCTGGGGATTAAGCCAACTTAATTGTGGTGGATAAGCTTTTTGATGTGCTGCTGGATTTGGTTTGCCAGTATTTTATTGAGGATTTTTGCCTCGATGTTCATCAGGGATATTGGCCTGAAGTTTTTCTTTTTTGTTGTATCTCTGCCAGGTTTTGGTATCAGGATGATGCTGGCCTCATAAAATGAGTTAGGGAGGAGTCTCTCCTTTTCAATTGTTTGCATTAGTTTCAGAAGAAATGACACTAGCTCCCCTTTGTACCTTAGGTAGAATTCAGCTGTAAATCCGTCTGGCCCTGGGCTTTTTATTTTTTGGTTGGTAGGCTATTTATTACTGCCTCAATTTCAGAACTTGTTATTGGTCTATTCAGGGATTCAGCTTCTTCCTGATTCAGTCTTGGGAGGGTGTATATGTCCAGGATTTTTTCCATTTCTTCTAGATTTTCTAGTTTGTTTGCATAGAGGTATTTATAGTATGCTCTGATGGTTGTTTCTATTTTTGTGGGGTCAGTGGTGATATCCCCTTTATTATTTTTATTGTGTTTATCTGATTCTTCTGTCTTTTCTTAGCTAGCAGTCTGTTTTATTAATTTTTTCAAAAAACCAGCTCCTGGATTCATTGATTTTTTAAAATGTGTTTTCATGTCTCTATCTCCTTCAGTTCTGCTCTGATCTTGGTTGTTTCTTGTCTTCTGCTAGCTTTGGGGTTTGTTTGCTCTTGGTTCTCTAGTTATTTTACTTGTGATATTAGGGAGTCAATTTGAGATCTTTCTAGCTTTTCGATGTGCTAGAAATTTCCCACTTAACACTGCTTTATCTGCGTCCCAGAGATTCTGGTATGTTGTCTCTTTTTTCTCATTGGTTTCAAAGAACTTCTTGATTTCTGCCTTAATTTCATTATTTACCCAAGAGTCATTCAGGAGCAGGTTGTTCAATTTTCATGTAATTGTGTGGTTTTGAGCGAGTTTCTTAATCTTGAGTCCCAATTTGATGGCACTGTGATCTGAAAGGCTGTTATGATTTCAGTTGTTTTGCATTTCTTGAGGAGTGTTTCACTTCCCTTTATGTGATCTATTTTAGACTAAGTGCCATGTGGCACTGAGAAGAATGTATATTCTGTTATTTTTGAGTAGAGAGTTCTGTAGATATCTATTAGGTCCACTTGATCCAGAGCTGAGTTCAAGTCCTGAATATCCTTGTTAATTTTCTGTCTCGATGATCTGTCTAATATTGACAGTGGGGTCGATAGTGGGAGACTTCTCCCACTATTATTGTGTGGCAGTCTAAGTCTCTTTGTAAGTCTCTAAGAACTTGTTTTATGAATCTGGGTGCTCCTGTATTGGGTGCATATGTATATTTAGGATAGTTAGCTCTTCTTGTTGAATTCACCCCTTTACCATTATATAATGCCCTCCTTTGTCTTTTTTTTATCTGTGTTGGTTTAAAGTCTGTTTTATCAGAAATTAGAATTGCAATCCCTGCTTTTTTCTGCTTTCTATTTGCTTGATAAATTTTTTTCTATCCCTTTATTTTGAGCCTATGTGTGTCTTTGCATGTGAGATGGGTCTCTTGAATATTGCAAGCTGATGGGTCTTGACTCTTTATCCAACTTGACATTCTGTGTCTTTTAATTGGAGCATTTAGGCCATTTACATTTAAGGTTAATATTGTTATGTGTGAATTTAATACTGTCATCATGATGCTAGCTGGTTACTTTGCAGACTTGTTGATGTAGTTGCTTCATAGTGTCATTGGTCTTTGTACTTCAGTGTGTTTTTGTAGTGGCTTGTGATAGTTTTTCCTTTCCATATTTAGTGCTTCTTTCAGGAACTCTTGCAAGGCAGGCCTGGTGGTGACGAATTCCCTCAGCATTTGCTTGTCTGAAAAGGATTTTATTTCTCCTTCACTTATGAAGCTTAGTTTGGCCAGAAATGAAATTCCGGGTTGGAAATTCTTTTAAGAATGTTGAATAATGCCCCCCAATCTCTTCTGGCTTGCAGGGTTCCTGCTGAGAGATCTGTTATTCTGATGAGCTTCCCTATCTAGGTGACCTGGCCTTTCTCTCTGGCTGCCCTTAACATTTTTTCCTTCATTTTGACCTTGGAGAATCTGATGATTATGTGTCTTGGGGTTGATCTTCTCATGGAGTATCTTACTGGGGTTCTCTAGATTTACTGAATTTGAATGTTTGCCTGTCTTGCTAGGTTGGGGAAGTTCTCCTGGATGATATCCTGAAGTATGTTTTCCAACTTGGTTCTGTTCCCCCTGTCTCTTTCCGGTACTCAATCAGTCATAGGTTCAGTCTTTTTACATAATCCCATAGTGCTCAGAGGTTTTGTTCATTCCTTTTCGTTCTTTTTTTTTTTTTTTTTTTCCTAATCTTGTCGACCTGTCTTATTTCAGCAAGATAGTCTTCATGCTCTGAAATTCTTTCCTCTGCTTGGTCTATTTGGCTATTGATACTTGTGGTTGCATTGTGAAGTTCTTGTGTTGTGTTTTTCAGCTCCGTCAGGTCATTCATGTTCCTCTCTAAACTGGTTATTCTGGTTAATGGCTCCTGAAATGTTTTATCATGATTCTTAGCTTCTTTGTATTGGGTTAGAACATACTCCTTTAGCTCAGCAAAGTTCGTTATTACCCACCTTCTGAAGCCTACTTCTGTCAATTCATCCATCTCAGCCTCTGCCCAGTTCTGTCCTCTTGCTGGTGTTCTGATCATTTGGAGGAGAAGAGGCACTCTGGCTTTTTGAGCTTTCAGTCTTTTTTTGTTGATTCGTTCTAATCTTCATGAGTTTATCTAGCTTCAATCTTTGAGGCTGCTGACTGTTGGATGGGGTTTTTGTGGTGACTTTTTTGTTGATGCTGTTGTTGTTACTTTCTGTTTGTTTTTCTTCTAACTGTCAGGCCCCTCTTCCGTAGGGTTGCCATGGTTTGCTGGGAATCCACTCCAGACCCTATTTGTCTGGGTCCCTCCCACACCTGGAGGTATCACCAGTAGAAGCTGCAGAACAGCAAAGATGGCTGCCTGCTCCTTCCTCTGGGATCTCTGTCCCAGAGGGGCACCAACATGATGCTAGCAGGAATGCCCCTGAATAAGGTATCTGGTGACCCCTGTTGGGGGTTCTCATCCAGTCAGGAGGCACAGGATCCAGGACCTGCTTAACGAAGCACTCTGGCTGCCCCTTGGCAGAGGGGGTGTGCCGCACTGGGGGGATTCACACTAATCTGGTGTGCCGGGATTCCTCCGAGCCAGCAGGGGGAAAGACTAAGTCTGCTGATCCATGGAGACTGTGGCCTCCCCTCCCCCAAGGGGCTCTTTTCCAGGGAGATTTGAGTTCTGTCCTTAAACCCCTAGCTGGAGTTGCTGAAATTCCTACAGGTAGGCCCCGCCCGGTGAGTAGAGAGGGGTCAGAGTCTGGCCTAAAGAGGCAGTCTGGCCACGATCTGCCACAGCTGCTGTGTGGGCTATGGGGTATTCCCCCTGGGTCCAAACCATCCAGTCTCCCCAGCCTCAGCAGACTGGAGCTGCAGCGATGGTGGCCACCCCTCCCCCTGGGAGGTCAGTCATCTTAGGCAGCAGGCAGCCACAGTGATGGCCGCTGCCCTTCTCCATGGGAGCTCAATAGTCTTAGGCAGTAGGCAACCAGAGAGATGACAGCCACCCCTCCCCCTGTAAATTGGTAGTCTTAGGCAGTCTCCAGCCGAGTGGCTGCTGAGAATCTGCACAGCTATGTGCTTGGGACCCAAGGCCCTGGTGGCATGGGCTCAAGAGGTGAATCTCCTGATTCCCGGGTTGCACAGATTGTGGAAAAAACCTTTGGCTGATACCAGACAAAGACATTACAAGAAAATAAAACTAGAGCCCAATAACCCTGATGAACACTGATGCAAAAATCCTCAAGAAAATACTAATATACTGAATTCAACAGCACATTAATGCAGAAAAAGCATTTGATAAGATTCAACAACCTTTCATGATAAAAGAAAAAACACTCAGCAAACTAATAGAAGGAAACTACCTCAAAATAATAAAGGCTATCTATAAAAAGCCCAAAGTTAACATTATACTCAATGCTGAAAAACTGAGTTTTTCCTCTAGGATTAGGAAGGTGGCAAGGACACCCACTTTCACCACTTCTATTCAATGTAGATTGGAAGTCCTAGATTAGGCAAGGGAAAAAAATAAAACATCCAAATTGGAAAGGAAGAGCTAAAATTGTCTCTATTCACAGATGACACGAGCTTATATGTAGAAAACACTAAAAATTACGTGCGCGCGTGCACACACACACACACACACACAAACTGCTAAAACAAATTCAGCAAAGTTACAGGTCACAGAACAGTCAGTTGCATCTCAAAAGGAATAATCAAAAAGGAAATTAAGAAAATAATTCCATTTACAATAGCACTAAAATAAAATACTTCAGAATAAACCTAACCAAGGAGATGAAAGACTTATACACTGAAAACTGTAAAACATTGCTGAAAGAAAGTAAAGACGACAAAAATAAATGGAAAGACATTCCATACTAATGGATTGGAAGACTTAATATTGTTAAATGTCAATATTGCCCAAAGCAGTCTACAAATTCAACACAATTCCTGTAAATATGACAGTGAAATTTTTTTCAGTAAGAGGAAAACATTATCCTAATTTTTGTATGACAGCTCAAGGAATCCTGAATAATCAAATCAATTTTTTAAAAGAAAACCAAATTGGAGGATTCACATTTTCTGATTTCAAAAAATATTATAAAAGCTTTGGTAATCAAAACAGTGTGATAGTGGTATAAAGACAGACATATAGTCCAATGGAATAAAATAGAGAGACCAGAAATATACCTTCACATACATGATTAAATGATCTTTGACAAGGCTGCCAAACTGAAAAACTCTTAAAAGAGAACATGGGGGAAAGCTTTATGACATTGGATTTGACAATGATTTCTTGGATATGACACCAAAAGCCTAATATAAGGCAACAGAGGAAAAAATAGACAAATGGGACTACATTAAATTTCAAAACTTTTGTGCCTCATAAAACATGATCAACAGAATGAAAATCATGCAACCTATGGAATGGGAGGAAATATTTGCAAATCATATATCTGATATGAGGTTAATATTCAGAATATAAAAAGAACATCTACAACTCAACAGCAAAATGTCAAACAACTCAATTTAAAAATGGGCAAGGAACTTGAATAGACATTTCTTCAAAGATGATAAATGACCAACAAACATGTGAAAGGATGCTCAACATCACTATTCATCAGGGAAATGCAAACCAAAACTACAATAAGATACCACATACGTTAGGATAGCTACTCTCATAAAAAGAGGAAATAATTAGTGTTGGCAAGAATGTGGAGAAATTGGAACCCTTATGCACTGTTAGTGGGAAGGAAAGTGGTATAACTAATGTGGAAAACAGTATGGCAAGTCCTCAAAAAATTAAAAATATAACTACTATATGATCCAACAATCCCACTAGTGTGTATACATCCAAAACAATTGAAAGCAAGGTTTCAAAGAGGTATTTGCATACTTTTGTTCATAGGAGTGTTATTCACAATAGCCAAGAGGTAGAAGCAACCCAGATGTCCATCAACAGATGAATAAACAAAATGTGGTCTTTACATATAGTGGAAAACTATGGAAATACTGTTATATGCTACAACAAGGATGAACCTTGATGACATTATGCTAAGTAAAATAAGCCAGTTCCAAAGGACAAATACTGTAGATTCCACTCATATGAGGTATCTAAAGTAGTCATATGGAAAACAAAATGGTGGTTACCAGGAGCTGAGGGAAACAGATGAAGGACAGTTGTTTAATGGGTATAAACTTTCACTTTTGCAAAGTGAAAAAGTTCTGGAGATCTGTTGTGCAACAATGTGAATGCACTTAACACTCCTGAACTTTATACTTTAAAATGGCTAAAATTACAAGTGTTTTTTCCCCACAGTTAAAAAAAAAAATACACAAAGTGCATGCCAGTGCCACTGTCAGAAGAAGTAGTTTAAAGAAGGTCCCAGAGGCATCAGGACTCTGTTTCATCCCTCTGAGCTCTCTTCACTTTGCCTTACTCTTTGAGTTTCATCCCTGATATCTGCATCCCTTTCCATCTTCACATTGGCCATTCAGAAGAGAAAGAGAACCTGTGTCCCAGCATTCTCAGAATCAGCCATGCTACTCACTGATTGGACTGGTGGAAGCCACACACCCAAAACTGAACCAGTTACTATGGGCAGGAGAGATGGGAGGTGTGGGTTGGCTTAAGCCAAGTAGGGCCTGCCTCTAAAATGGAAATGGAATTGATCCCACCCAGACCACTTGGGGAAGAGATGGTTTTCTAATGGGACCAGGAATCAGCAAACTTTCCCGGTGAAAGACCACACAGTAAATATTTTAGGCTTTGTGGGTCATACGGTTTCTGTTGCAGCTACTCAACTCTGCCATTGCATCATGAAAGCAACCAGAGACGCTAAGTAAATGAATGAGCATGGCTGTGCTCCAAAAAAACTTTACAGACACTGAAATTTGAATTTTATATAATTTTCAGGTATCATGAAATATTCTTTAACCACTAAAATATGTAAAAATCATTCTTAGCTCATAGGTGGCTGATAGGATTTGGCCCACAGGCTATAGTTTGCAGACTCCCGTTCTAGAGAATATATCCAAATGCCTTTTTAGCTTGGTGATTATTTTTCTTTATAATTTTACCGGGGTTGCCTTCAATCCTCCTGCAATACCTATAATGAGACCACCCTCAGCTGGTGTATTTGCTCAGAATCCTCAACCCAACTAGCAACAAGGCATTTGGAAGATCGTGCAATCTCTTCTCCTTTCCCCATCTGCAATGGATTGTCACAATATGTTTGTTATCATAGCACACTTGGGATATACAAGATAATACGCTGTTAAATATTAATGATAATAATTCTCCTCCTCCACCATTATTGGAAATTAAAGACATGACTTCAACTCCATAGGTACGATTTATAGAGTTAGGTTTAAACTCTGTCATGTGGCTAAGCAATTGTTCTTCTATTTTTGTTCACCTTTAGCAGTGACTTTTTTCCTAGCTTAAATATTTAGTAGACTGGAACTGTCTTCAGGATGATATATTTCTTAAAGGCTTTATTTTCCAGTCATTGGACAGAGTTCTATTATGTAAATGATTAAAGCAAGTATTCAAAATGTGAGTTTAAAGATCTTCAGAATCAGAGGGTGACCCTGGAGAGAGAGAGATAGGAGGTAGAGCTGAACAATAAAGAGAAAAGGGAGAATAAAGTCAAGGAAGCTTTTAAATTCCTATAAGGAGCAGGTTTGGTTGAATTTCTGAAGAAAGATAAAAAAAAAAAACTGGCTTGGGAAAAAGTAAAATTCACTGGAATACCCATGGGGCTATAGGAGGGCAATGATATGTTTTAAAATGAAAATGGAAAACTGTGGAATTATTTGGTTAAATGTATTTTGGCAGCCTTTGGATTTTAGTTCAAATACCTTTAGCACATATAATGACTTTGTTCTTTATGACCTACCTAGTTACTTCTTCAAAAAAAAAAAAAAAAATTCTGAGCCTCAAACTAGCCTGTGGTGCACTCACAAAAGCCACCCCTTTGGGGCCATTTTGTCCCAGCCAGTGGCATCTTTGTGCTAAGTTTCAAGGTTCTATGAGAAGACTAGATTTCAACCCCCATTTGGCTCCTTGGACAAGCCCCCTGCATAGCCATTTGCACTGGCCGGGGTCTGAGGTGATTCATGATAAATGACATATCTGATTGGGTAGCAGTGCACTTGAGTTGCTGTTCCCCAGGTAGACTTTCCAAACAAGGTCAAAAAGCCATTCAGGGTACAGGGCTTTGAAGGACCACATAGAATTCACCTCTGTTGACACTAATGCATGTATTGAATAGAGGACTTAGTTGTCTAGCTCTTTACAAAACTAAATTGTCCTAATTCTGGAAGATTACAATTTATAAACTCCAGAACTTTATTATAGTGATTGCTTTAATGGCAATTGATTTTCTTTTCCTTTTTTTTTTTTTTTTTTTTTCTTTTGAGACAGAGTCTCACTCTGTCACCCAAGCTGGAGTGCAGTGGCATGATCTCAGCTCACTGCAACCTCTGCCTGCCTGATTCAAGTGATTTTCCCACCTCAGCCTCCCAGGTAGCTGAGACTACAGGCACACACCACCATGCCTGGCTAATTTTTGTATTTTTAGTAGAGAAGGGGTTTCACCATGTTGGCCAGAATGGGCTGGAACTCCTGACCTCGGGTGATCTGCCCACCTCTGCCTCCCATAGCGCTGGGATTCCAGGCGTGAGCCACCGCGCCCAGCTGGCAATTGATTGTCTAATGCCTATTTTACAATTGCTTCCTTCTATGCTCTCTTAAGCCCTCATTGTGAGGCCCACTCAAGGTTAAGGAGGAACCTCTGACTCTTTCTCTGAGTGGCTCCATAATGCTTTTGCTGTTTACTTTATCTGTTTTCTCCAGGGACTTTGTTGTTGTTTTATTTTTCTTTCATTTTCTAAAATTTAGGACTGCCAAATGTTAAACTGTCCCCCTGACATAGCTTTTAGCTTTAAATGTGGCTTCTAATAGCAGCCCCTTCATAAGATATCCTGCTGCCTGATTTCCTTTTAATTTGTAGTTTATAACCTCCTGCCAACCAGGTAACAACAAACTGAGGTTGTTAGAACTATTTATAAGATAAAAGTTAATAGGCTCTAAGTGAGAGCCTCATGGGCTCTCATGAAACATTAGCCTGAGGTTTGGTGCTCAGGTTGTATGCTGTCTCCTTGACACTCATTCTTTTGGTTTGAATTCCCCATATCTTTTCCAGTGCTTGATTGTTGTATTCCTGACAGTTGCATTTATAGGAAAATGACCTCTAAATAATGTTAAGGTGGAGGCTTTTTATTATTTTTGAAATAAAAGCTAAGCTGCAGGAAAGCCTGGTGGTTAGGGGTGTGAAGTCTAGAGTGAAGCTCCCTGGGGTTGGATCTTCTGTATCACTTTCCAGCCACTTGAGGGTGGGCATGCTGCCTTTCTGTAGTTTGCTTTATTCGTCTGTAAAATGAGCATAATTGTACTTACTCCACTGAATTGTAAGAGGGTGTCAAAAGACAAAATTAAAACAAAGTTAGTTATAGATCTAATTGGCTTTTATTTGCAATTCATGAAACCGGGCAGCCTCCATTCTATAAAATGGAATGAGAGCTCCACTGGGCAATGACAGAACAGTGAGTTTTGTAAGGTGGCAATAAGGAAACAGAATAATTGGGAAAAAAAAAAAAAAAGAACACCTGCTGAGCATGGTAGCTCATGCCTGTAATCTCAGCACTTTGGGAAGTCAAGGTAGGAGGATCTCTTGAGGCCAGGAGTTCAAGACCAGCCTGGGCAACATAGTGAGACCATCATCTCTAAAAAAGTTTAAAAATTAGGCAGGCTTGGTGGCATGCACCTGTAGTCCCAGCTACTCAGGAGGCTGAGGCAGGAGGATTACTTGAGCCCCAGAGTTGGAGGCTATAGTGAGCTATGATTGTGCCCCTGCACCCCAGCCTGGGTGACAGAGTGAGACCCTGTCACGATAATAACAAAAGAAAAAAAAGTTTAAAAACTGATTGGTTACCTTCAGGTTACTTTTATGGGAGGGTTAAAGCAAAGGGGACTTCCTTATTAGGCTGACTCAGATGGACTGGAATCTCCTGTTTTCAGGAAAAACTGGTCTATTTTGGAATCTATCTCCTTCCTTAAAACTTCAGTTTGATTATGTGACATTTAGCATGAGTGACTTCATTTTGGTTTACACTGGTCTGTTGGGGCCTACTGCAGGAGCTCAGTCCAAAACAATGGCCTCCTATAATTTTTGTTTAACAAGGGTTAAATGACTTATTCATATGAAGTGCTAAGAACAGGAAGCACTCAAGTCTTAGCTTTTAATCACCATTAATATGATGATGATGATGATGGAGAGAAGGAAGAAGAGAACAAGTAAGGAAGCAGACTCTCCAAACAGACTTCAAATTAAATATCATTAGTGTGCCTGGTGTCTTGGAAAAGATGATGTGTAGTGTCCTTTTCTGCTACCTGTCGCTCTGAAATATATAAAGTTGTAGATATGGCAAATTTTAGGCTTATCATGTTTGACCTTGATATTCTCTGCCTCCTCTTTTAGCCCCTGTTTCCTACAGCATCATCTCCTTGATGCCCTTCTTCTTCTCCAATGAGAACCTGCATTGAGAAATGGATCTGATAGAGTCAGTCACACTAGAGCAAGCTTGTCCAACCCGCAATCCATGGGACATATGCACCCCAGGACAGCTTTGAATGTGGCCTAACACAAATTCATAAACTTTCTTCAAACATTGTGGGAAATGTTTTGCGATTCTTTTTTTGTTTTGTTTTTAGCTCATCAGGTATCATTAGTGTTAGTGTATTTCATGTGTGGCCCAAGATAATTCTTCTTCTTCCAATGTGACCCAAGGAAGCCAAAAGATTGGACACCCCTGCGCTACAGTCTGACGGAGGAGACTGTGTACTACTCCTCCTGGGGGTATTTGCATTTTCTTAAAGGAAAATGCCTTTAACTAGACAACTGATTCTAATAGTAAAAGTTCTGATACCAAAGACTACCCCATCCCCCCTCGCCACTTTTCTGCCCACCTGCCAACCTGCATTCCTATAAACATACAAACACTCTGTTTTGAAGTTTAGGCACAACTGACCAGCATTAAGGTTAAAATAGAGATCATAAGACTGACAAAGCAGACTCTTTGTGGCAATAAGATACCAAATTATAAACATGGCCTATGGTCATGCAAGGCAACGTTAAGTCACACCCTACAAACCATAATATCTCATTAAACAGATTTTTTTATTCACCAGGTAAAATATGGCTTATGTTCCAACCTGACTCTGGCATAGCATCTCATGACAGAGCAGATCCTGAAGGAAATTATTTCACCCCAAAATATATTTCTTTGACATATTTTGAAATGGCCATGCAAAGCTGTCTTTTGTGGCCGTTTCTACTGCTTAAACATTCATGTACAAGTCTTTGCATGTGAACATATTCTTTTTTATTTTTCTTAAGTAGATACCTGGGAGTAAAATTGCTGGATCATATGGTTACTCTTTTAAAAGAAACTGCCAAATGTTTTCCATTTGACGTTCTTACCAGCAATATGTGAATCCAGTTTCTCCATATCCTTGACAATATTTGTGGTTATCTGTCTTTCTGATTATAGCCATTCTAGTGAGAGTGAAGTGGCATCTGATTGTGGTTTTGATTTGTATTTCCCCTGTGATTAATGATGTTGATAATCTTTTCATATGCCTATTGACCATTTGTGTATCTGTTTTTGGAGAAATAGCTAATTTCAAGTCTTTTGCCTACTTTTAAATTGGGTCATTCATCTTCCAATTAATAAGTTGAAAGAGTTCTTCATATTCTGGATAAAATATTTCTTTTTATTTCCTGAAATATTTTGTTATAATCTTTTTCTCAAGTCTGAGAGTGCTACAGGGTAGGTAATTTAAAGTTGAGGGCCTTCGAAATGCCTCCTCACAGGAGCAGCACTGATTAGCGGTTCCCACAAGCGTATAGCCATCTGCAGGCTCCCCTGGTGGGTTTGTTCCCTTGGTGTGACCAATTCATCAAAGTATAGTCTGTCTGTGTCACTCTCTCCATAGCAAGAGCTGGGTGCAGTCTGACATCAGCCATCATCTGCCCTGAATTTTAATTTTAAGCACCTTCGGTACTGATGTTCACTCCTGAAATCTAGAGCAGCCAGAGTAAGTGACAGGAGCCTATAATGAGAACCTTTTCTGGAATATTATTCTTAACACATGCATAGATTTGCCCCTCTGGTCACAAAGAGCCCCTTGGGGCAAATCGCGTTGTTAGCAGTTGACGGAGTGCAGAAACTGCTGACTCCAGAGATTTCCATTTCTAAAGGACTTTAGAGTAATCCTATTGTCAGTTTCACTCATCACACCTCCCTCTGGATCCTTTTCCCTTTTCCCTCCCATGCCAACCTTTATAACACATTCTCTAAATCTTCCTCTTGCATGAGCTGTAGCCATCTGGTGGTCAAATGGGCATTAAAAGTGCCTTTGACAGCATCGTGGAAATTGTAATTCTTGTGTTTTCAAGACAGATAGCTAACAGGTGACAACAAAGGTTTTCAACTTCCAGAAGTTATCATATGAGAAAATAGTCTGATATTTTACTAAGCCAAAACTATTTCTTATGCTTTAAAATAATGTTGTCTTATACATCAGTGTACATATCAACGAGAAATTACTCACAGGTGGTGCTTGTTAAATTCTCAATCTTTCACAACACATTTAGTTTTAAGTGCTGCTCTTAAAATGCCCAGGAGTCTAAGCCCTAGAATTACAAGTTTAAAAAAAAAAGTGCTTTTTCTTATCTACAGTCTGTCTTCATCTGCTGTATCCAACCCAGTTTCATGGGTTATCATATAACCAAATCAAATTATGGAAAGCTGGAAAAAAAATAAGCAATTCCTAAAGAAAACAATGGCTTTAGTTGATCATTTTGTCTTTGAGATTGTAAACTCATAATTGGTATGCCTCTTGAGGGATAAATGTTTGAGTGACTGTGGGGGCCTCACATTCCTCATAGTGCTTAATTAAAGCTTTTACTGATTTTTCAATTGTTGGAGAATACAATGTTAGTGGCATCTTTTTGGCTGAGTCCTCACCTAGAGAACTCACTAGAGGTGTTTCCACTCATGTTGCTTGGTATTTAGCCTCATTTTTCCCTTCGTTAATTTACATCTCTGTTTATTTTATTGTCACTGCTTCTGTTAATATAAATGATCCTTGTTAATCCTTTGGGTTTAAGACTTGCAATATTAATTGGCCCTTACCCAACAGCAGAGATCTGAGTTACAGTTTTTTTTTTTTTTTTTTTGTCTTCCTTCTTTGTGAAACATAAGCAAATCACCACACTTTTAGAATCTGGCTGTTTTTTTGTTGGTTGGTGCATTCTGCTTTGCATTTCTGAGAACTCCTTCACTCAGGCTAAATATCCTTCTCCCATTTTAGACATCTGCATGGCAACCAGATGTAGACAAAAGTGTAATCTACACTGGGTCAATATACCTGAAAACACCCTTGTAAACGTTAGTTCCTATCTGGAGCTCAATGACGACAATGCCTATGCTACTTTCATATGTTAAGTCCTACTAGTGAAACTTTCTTACAGAGATGGGATGCCGTTGTTGGAATTTTTCCTAAGATGTTAGACAGAGCTTCTCAAATTTTCAATTCAAGGACATTTTAAGGCATAAGAAGTCTTTTTGGCTTAATGGGGAAATTGAAATGTTCTCTCATGCAATAACTTCTGGCATTTAAAAACTTCTCTATTATTATCCATCAACCAACCAATTAACAGAAATTTATTGATTAATTGCCATATGCCAAATGATGTAGTAAGTACCATGAGAAGTAGGAAGCCAAAATGTGACCCTGATTTTAAGGAGCATAAATTTGTTCATCTATTCATTTATTCATCCATTCATTCAACTAATATTAACTAAATGTTCAGTGTGTGCCAGACACATAATCTAGTTAAGGCAAAATAAGCATAGCAAAAATATGTAAGAACTGTGTAGCAGGATATCAGAGATAAGACAAAACTCCCAGGAGCTAGTAGTTGGCAGAGCTAACATATCTTATCTTCCTCACAGTAGCCAGTCTGTTAGTCTGTTTTTTTTTGTTTTTGTTTTTTTTTTTTTTTTTTGGAGACAGAGTCTTGCTGTGTCACCCAGGCTGGAGTGCAGTGGTACGATCTCGGCTCACTGCAACCTCCACCTTCTGGGTTCAAGCAATTCTCCTGCCTCAGCCTCCCAAGTAACTGGGACTACTGGCACCCACCACCACGCCCAGCTAATTTTTGTATTTTTAGTAGAGACAGGGTTTCACCACGTTGGCCAGGCTCGTCTTGAACTCCTGACTTGTGATCCACCCACCTCGGCCTCCCAAAGTGCTGGGATTACAGGTGTGAGCCACTGCACCCCTGGCCCAGTCTGGTAATTTCTTTCACTTCTGATGCAGTTGCAAAGCCTCCATGGCCTGACCCAGCCTGCACTGGGCTCCTCATATTAAAAACACTTGCCAGAGTGAAAAGAAAGATAACAGCATTGCTAAGTGGAAGACTCCTCTTTGAATCATCTTGACCGTTGTTCCAAGGGAGTATTGTTTGTAGCACAGATGTACTCTGTAAAAATCCAGTGTTAGGAGTCATTAAATAAATCTCACCTGAAAAAGCCTTCTTTGTATTGACATTTAACCTGGTATTCAAGATTATCCAGATCTATCCTTGAGTCACTTATTTATCAACCTACCCAGACTGGTTCTCTCATTCTGTTAGTTATCTATTGCTGCATAACAAATTTCTTCAAAACTTAGTGGCCTAAAACAACTTACAGTTATTCTCTCCCATGGGTCAGAAATTTGGGCCTGGCTAAGTGGATCCTCCACCCCAGGGTCTCTCACAAGGCTGCAATCAAAGGGCTGACTAGGACTTGGAATCTCATTTGAAAGTTAGATTGGGGAAGGATCTGCTTCCAAGCTCACTCAGTAGTTACTGGCAGGATTAGGTTTCTCCAAGGTCGTTGGACTAAGGGTCTCAGTTCCTCACTGACAGTTGGCCTGAGGCTGCCTTCAGTTTCTTGCCATGTGGGCCTCCCCAGCATAACTGTTTACTTCATCAAAACAAACAAACTGAGAAGGCTAAAAAGAGTTTGCTAGCAAGTAGCAAGATGAAAATCATAATTTTTGCAATCTAATCATAGAAGTGATATCTCCCCAATGTTGCCATATTCTGTTAGTTAGAAGCAAGTTATTCAAGGGAAGGAGAATCCTCTAGGTAGTTACTATCAAGAGGCAGGCATCATTGGAGGCCAACTCAGAAGCTGCCTAGCAGATGCATAATTATTTTGTTCAACAAACATTTATCCATTATCCAACATGTTAGTCACTGAGGTACAACTAGGATTAATAAGTGGCTCTTATTCTCAAGATACTCACAGTCTGCCTGGGAACATGGATCAACCAATCTTTAACATGGAAAATCTTATAGTAGAGGCAGATTCAAAACCCAAATGAGAGCACAGAAAAGAGAGATGCCTTTTTTCATGAAGGATCCCCTGACCAGAATGCCATTTCACAGTTTAAAACAAACTTAATGTGTTCTAGTCTATTCAGGAGGCTGGGAAGTTCAAGATCACAACACCAGCAAATTCAGTGTCAGCTGAAGGCCCATTTCCTGGTTCAGAGATGACACCTTATAGATGTGTACTCATATGGTTGGGGGGTGGGGGTGGGGAGCACACCAGTTCTCAGAGATTTCTTTTATAAGAACCCTAATCCTATGAGAGTTGAGCCCTTTTGACCTAGTCATCTCCCAAAGGCCCCACATCTTAATATATCACCTTGGAATTTAGGATTTCAACATGAATTTTAGGGGCACACAAACACTCAGGCCATAGAACTTCTTCTGTTGGACCTCCTTTGACACTCTTGTTTCCTTAACTACATTTTTAAAAGAGGTGACATTAGAGGTGGTTCTTAAGAAATCAAGTAAGTAGAAACAGCTTTCCAAGTGTAAAACAACAAAATGAAAGATGTAGGGATATGATGCAATGTGACACATGCTAGGAATGATGGAATTACAATATGACCAGATTGCTTGGATGTGGTCAGGGATGGAGAATTATCATGGCAGGCAGTAAATCTAGAAACATGAATTGGAGTCACTGGAGAAAAGGAAAGTGAATGCTATGTCAAGATGCTTGGGCTTTGTCATTTAGGAAGTAGAGAGCCACTGAAGATCTCTAATTAGTGGAATAATATGGTGAAATGCATGCCTTACAAAGGAACTGCAGAAGCAGGGTGGAGAATTTACTGGAGTTACTAGATAAGAAGGGAGAGATAATATTTCAAGGAGAATTGACAACAATGAAAAAGAGGATAAATATTTTTCAAAGGCCATGGAGATGAAAATTTCAAAATCAGGAGATGTTTTAGGGCTGGAATTGACAGGATTATCAGATCCAGGGAAGAGTTGTGAGAAATGAGGGGGTGATATCAAAGAGCCAAGGATTTCCCTGAAATTTCTATCTCAGGGGAATAGAAGTCTCTTAAAAGAAGGACCATAGCTTAGTTGACTTCAGAATATTAACATTTTAATTGTGCTTAGGACTTGTTTGGTATTCACTGGATTGACAGGAGGATGGATGGATGGATGGATGAATAGATGAATGGTGGATGTATGGTGCATAGTTGGATGGGTAGGTAGGTGAGTCAGTGGGTGGTTAGATGTGTGGATGGATGTATGGATAATGTTGGCAGTCATCCAAGGAAATGCAAGAGGGAAGTTAGTTTTAGGGATAGAGGACAGAACGGATAGAAGGAAGTAATAAGAATCTCAGATGGCTAAGATAATGGTGGAAAGAACAAGGAGAGCAATTAGAAAATTAATCTAGTTTTTTATGGTAATCCAGTGGCTTTGATATTTCTCAATGGCAATTTATTGTTTCATTAGATTCAACAAATTTCAAGAAAGAGTAGTTTCTTTGGAGAACAAAACTAATTATTTGTGCAAATCATATTAACATTGTGGAAATTCATTCAATTTCTCGGCACTTTGTCTTAAAATGTTATGCAAAGTCTGGCCATCAAAGCCATTTAGCATCCCTTCAGTTTTAGTAAGGGACGTGGGAATATTGATTTATTTTCCCAGAAACGCAAATCAAGAAGTTCCCTCCTTTCATATCTCACACTAACCTTACCTTTAACTTTCTACCAGTGGCACAACCATAACTCTTGGCAATCCTCAAGTTTCTTGGACATCAGATTTTCTGAGGCAGTGCTTCTCAAACTTTAAAGTGCATCATCTGGAGATTTAAAATGTGAATTCTGATTTTTGAGGCCTGGCTGGGGCTTGAGATTCCACATTTCTAATAAGCTTCCAGGAAGTACTGATATTGTTGATCCATGAACCACATTTTGGGTGGCAAGGTTCTTAAGGTATCATTCAATATTGGTGACTTGGCTGACATCACTATTGTTGACACAGTTAGGCTGTCAACTGGCTTTCAATTCAAAATTTCATTTACCTCCTACCCCTGCTCATAATCTCCCTGGGTGATTTTATATTATCTATCCCTTCTCTAATGCCTCCATTTGCTCCAACTTAATAATAATATGCATGGGTAGCTCCAACATGCTGTCTTCCCCTCCTCCAGATCCCTAATGAAGCTGTCAAATAGGACCTTCTTACCACTCCCTCCTGCTTTTCCTCACTATTTCTTAGCTTAATGCTTTCTTTATAGTTCTTATATTTAGTCCTTGGTCTCTTGTTCCTTAAAGTCTTCAAACACTCACAATCGATTAAGGTTCAGAGGTAAAGGATCAAGCCCCATTTTTTGAGTAAGAATTTGGTATCTAATAACTTACAGTGTTTGGAAGGTCAACAATGTATGTGAGAAAAACAAACGACAAAAGCAGCAGGCATGGGTCACTGGGGAATGATGTTTTCACTAGAAACAAGGCAGCTCAAGTATCAACCCTGCTGCTGAACAATTGCATGACCTTGAGGAAATCACTTACCCTACCTGAGCCAACATTTTAGCAGCTGTAAAATAGTACATTAAATTTAGATGATCTCTATGGTCTTTTAAAATTAATTATGTAGAGGCCAACTCAGCCTCATATCTTCATTATATGTTTAAACTAGAAGAGAGGTTCCTAACATGAGGTTCATGGATCTCCAAGGACTCTGTGGATAGACTTCAGAGAGTCCATGAAGTTGGATGGGAGGTGAATTTCATGTTACTTTCACTGACCTCTGACTGTAAGTGAGCAATTTCTTCAATAAGGAATATAAACTATAGACTAGAGTAGTATTAGCAGTATCTGTGACTTGGTTACCGAGACGCAACAAATAAATATTATATCACATTAAAGTTTGTGTAGATATAACATTCATGCTCACCACTACTTCGAAAATTTGGTGCTTATTAGACTCTCCACTACATCTTCTTGTTGAACATGTTAGTGAAGGAGTACATCTATTTATTATAGCCCAGTGGCTGTCAATAAGGGGACGTTTTGCCCCACAGGACACACCTAACAACATCTGGAGACATTTGGGATTGTTGTAATTGGAGAAAGGAATTCTATTGGCATCTAGTGGGTAAAGGCAAGGGATGCTGCTAAGTATCCTGCAGTACACAGGACAGCTTTTCAGCAGAAATAATTACCCAGTCCAAAATGTCAAGAGTGCTAAGATTGAGAAACCTGCGACAGCCTTTTAAAAATATTATTTTGATAATTATGTTTTAGTATAATAAATTTTCTTTGTAATCCTGTGTATTTTATTTTATGCATTTACAAACGTTGTTCTTAAAAGTTGTTCCCATGGCCTTGCTAGACTATCAAAGGAAACTGATATGGTTGGGCTGTGTCCACACCCAGATCTCATCTTGAATTCCCATGTGTTGTAGGAGAGACCCAGTGGGAGGTAAATGAATCATGGGGGCAGGTCTTCCCTGTGCTGTCCTCATGATAGTGAATAAGTCTCATGAGACCTGATGGTTTTATAAGAGGAGTTCCCTGCACAAGCTCTCTTGTCTGCCACCACGTGAGACCTGCCTTTCAGCTTCCAGCGTGATCATGAGGCCTCCGCAACCACGTGGAGCTATAAGTCCAATAAACCTCTTTCTTTTGTAAATTGCCCAGTCTCAGGTATGTCTTTATCAGCAGCGTGAAAATGGACTAATACAGTAAATTGGTACCAGGAGAGTGGGGCACTGCTGAAGATACCTGAAAATGTGGAAGCAACTTTGGAACTGGGTAACGGGCAGAGGTTTGAACAGTTTGGAGGGCTCAGAAAAAGACAGGAAAATGTGGGAAAGCTTGGAACTCCCTAGAGACTTGTTGAATGGCTTTGACCAAAATGCTGATAATGATATGGACAGTGAAATCCAGGCTGAAGTAGTCTGAGAATGAGATGAGGAACTTGATGGGAACTGGAGCAAAGGTGACTCTTGTTATGTTTTAGCAAAGAGACTGCTGGCATTTTGCCCCTGCCCTAGAGATTTGTGGAACTTTGAACTTCAGAGAGATGGTTTAGGGTATCTGGCAGAAGAAATTTCTAAGCAGCAAAGCATTGAAGAGATGACTTAGGTGCTGTTAAAGGCATTCAGTTTTATAAGGGAAGCAGAGCATAAAAGTTCAAAAATTTGCAGCCTGACAATGCAATAGAAAAGAAAATCCCATTTTCTGAGGAGAAATTCAAGCAGGCTGCAGAAATTTGCACAAGTAACAAGGAGCTGAATGTTAATCCCTGAGACAGTGGGGAAAATGTCTCCAGGGCATGTCAGAGTCTTCACGGAATCCCCTCCCATCACAGGCCTGGAGGCCTAAGAGGAAAAGGTGGTTTCACAGGCCAGGCCCAGGGTTCCCGTGCTGTGTGCAGCCTAGTGACTTGATGCCCTGCATCCCAACTGCGCCAGCCTTGGCTGAAAGGGGCCAATGTAGAGCTTGGGCTGTGGCTTCAGAGGGTACAAGCCTCAAGCCTTGGCAGCTTCCATGTGGTGTTGAGCCTGCAAGTGCACAGAAGTCAAGAATCGGGGTTTGGGAACCTCTGCCTAGATTTCAGAAGATATATGGAAGCACCTGGATGCCCAGGCAGAAGTTTGCTGCAGGGGTGGGACCCTTATGGAGAACCTCTACTAGGGCAGTTCAGAAGGGAAATGTGGGATTGGAGCCCCCCCACAGAGTCCCTACTGGGGCACCTCCTAGTGAGCTGTGAGAAGAAGCCCACCATCCTTCAGACCCCAGAATGGTAGATCCACTGACAGCTTGCACCATGCACCTGGAAAAGCTGCAGGCACTCAACACCATCCCATGAAGGCAGCCAGGAGAGAGGCTGTGCCCTGCAAATCCACAGGGGTGGAACTGCCTGAGACCATGGGAACCTACCTCTTACATCAGCATGACCTGGATGTGAGACATGGTAGTCAAAGAGATCATTTTGGGGCTTTAAGATTTGACTGCCCCACTGGATTTCAGACTTGCATGGGGCCTGTAGCCCCCGTGTTCTGGCCAATTTCTCCCATTTGGGATGGCTATATTTACCCAATGCCTGTACTCCCACTGTACCTAGGAAGTAACTAACTTCCTTTTGATTTTACAGGCTCATAGGCAGAAGGGACTTGCCTTGTTTCAGATGAGACTTTGGACTGTGGGCTTTTGAGTTAATCCTGAAATGAGTTAAGACTTTGGGGAACTGTTGGGAAGGCATGATTGGTTTTGAAATGTGAAGCCATGAGATTTGGAGGGGCCAGGGGCAGAATGATATGGTTTGGCTGTGTCCCCACCCAAATCTCATCTTGAATTCCTACATGTTGTAGGAGAGACCTGGTGGGAGGTAAATGAATCATGGGGGCAGGTCTTTCCCATGCTGTTCTTGTGATAGTGAATAAGTCTCACAAGATCTGTGAATAAGTCTGACAAGATCTGATGGTTGCAAAAAGGGGAGTTTCCCAGCAAGTTTCTTCTCTTGTCTGCTGCCATGTCTCTTGTCTTCTCTTGTCTGCTGCCATGTGAGATTTGCTTTTCACCTTCCATCATTATTGTGAGCCCTCCCCAGCCACATGGGATTGTAAGCCCAATAAACCTCTTTCTTTTGTAAATTGCCCAGTCTCTGGTATGTCTTTATCAGCAGCGTGAAAATGGACTAATATAGGGCCTATGGCACAAAACATGTTAAAAACCCCTGAGTGAGGAGATAATAAAGGCCATCCAGATTTGAATCTTTTTGTTTGTAGACTAGGAAACTGAATCTCAACTACTTGACCCCCGAAGTCAGCATGACACAATAGAAAGAGCAAGGTTGTTGGAATCAGATAAGGTTCAAATACCAAGGTTCAAATGTCAGCTCCATACTTACTGCTTATAGGACTTTCCCCCAACTTAAGTTTCCTTGGAATTCATTTTTCAACTGCAAATAAGGGTAAAACTGTCTTTCACTGAAAGCAGGAGTCAGCAACTATAGCTCACAGGCCAAATCCAGTTTGCAGCCTATTTTTGTCAATAAAGTTTCATTGGAACACAGTCACACCCATTTGTTTACATATTGTCTATGTCTGCTTTTGCACTACAATGGCAGTTTGGTTACAACATAGACCATACCATACAGCCCACAAAGCCCAAAGTATTATCTTGCCTTTTATGGAAAAAATTTGCAGACCCCTGACTTGGAGTATAGCTGTGAGGATAAAGGGACAAAAGGTATGTAAAGATGTAGCTCATTGCCTGGTACCTAGTAAACATTAAATAAATGTAGTCATTCTCCCCTCTTCAAGACAGAGAGACTTTTGTGGGAAGACAGAACATTGTTCTGGGTCCACAATGTATGATTTCTTTGAACTAGAGAGGAGCCTAACAGAAAATATATAAGGATATATATATATATATATATATCATATATATAATACAACTGGTTTATAAGTAAGTTCTAAGGAAGTTAAAATGAGCCAGTAGTATATTTAAATATGATTATATCCTGCATTTATCCAAGAAGGCCTTAAGATGATTTCCAACTCAATAAATAACAATGGATTGAATAAAATCTAATTGCTCCAGAAGGTAGCATAGTGCCTGTAAGTGAACTTTATATTCAGCATTGAGCTTCCAGGCAGCCATGGTAAAAAGAAATCACGAAAAATTGTGTAACACCTGTTATAAGGAAAAAAAAAAAGTCTACTTGATTATCACAGGACAAAAGGTTTTTATCCTGACACAAATTTTAGGCATCATTACTTACAGAAATGTGTATAGACACAGTTTAGAGTTTAAAACAATAATTGAAACTAACAGAAGAAATGACTTTTAAGAATATCAAAATTCTCCTTGTCTACGCACAACCTCTTAAACCTACTTGAACAATAAGTAAAAATTGCTGCAAATATTAATAATATGGTAAAATAGCTCTGGAAAGTAAAGGGCCAGTGTTTGGGTGAGTTAATACATTTAACACAGCAGAACAGTTCTGTGTGTTTCGGAAAGAAGGATTGTTTAGTAGGAGAGAATTTGATGTCTGAGAAAAAGGCAAAATGTTTGTGCATTTGATGGTTATAACTAAAAAATCATTGTGCCCTCATTCCTCTGTAAACAGATGCTAGGAACACAAGTTAAAAAACAAAAAAACATTGCAAACCAGAGCCAGAATTAGCATGAGGCAAGTGAGGGGGGTCGTGTAAGTTCAGAGTCATATTTGATCTTTATTTAAAATTTTGATAATTCCTTCATGGTGGATTCTATGCATTGATTTTGATTTTAAAACAATACTGCATAAAAATATTATTTATCTAGATTACTGAGCTTTTTATATCCCCTTAAATTTTATGTCCAAGGCAATGGCCTCACTTCCCTTCTCCTATTCCTGGCCCATATATTCACGCTACTAAGAAATAATTTTAATAAAAATATGTTTAGGAAGGACTCTTCCCCAGGCTGAGCCACCTTATAGGATTCCTGTCACCTTTCACATGTTGATATAAAGTCTTTGTGTGTCTAAAGCAGCTTTATTCACAGAAAAGACTCTTCAGGGTTGTTTTGTTAAAATATTTATCATTTGATACATTAAAGTTAAAAACTCCAAATTCATTGCTCTCTGGCTTTTAATTTCAGTTTCTAAGAAGAGTCCAGACTATTTTAGCAACCTGTTTTTAGGGGCCTTTAAGTAATACTGGTCCAATTTACACACAACATTATTTAAATACCTTCAAAAATTAAAAACATTTTTATGAAGTATATGTGTATTCCAACAATATATATTTTTTTTTTCCTTTTTTTTTTTTTTTGAGACAGAGTCTCCCCTTGTTGCCCAGGCTACAGTGCAGTGGCATAATCATGGCTCACTGCAGCCTTGACCTCCTGGGCTCAAGTGATCCTCCCACTTCAGCCTCTGGAGTATCTGGGACTACATGTGCATGCCACCCGCCTGGCTTATTTTTGTATTTTTTGTAGAGACTGGGTATCACCATGTTGCCCAGGCTGGTCTTGAACTCCTGGGTTCAAGCAATTCCCCGCCGCATCCCCCCATTCCCCACCCTTCACCTCAGCCTCCCAAAATGACTGGCCTATATAGTTTTTCTATTAATATTTATTCTTTAAGCACGCCTATTGTCTGAATTAATTAACAAAACTTTTCCAGGTTCTAAATACATTTTACAACTCTTGTAAACCAAACTTATAAATATGGTGAAAAGGTGGTTCCAAGATGGCCGAATAGGAACAGGTCCAGCCTACAGCTCCCAGTGTGAGTGATGCAGAAGACAGGTGATTTCTGCATTTCCAACTGAGGTACCGGGTTCATCTCACTAGGGCTTGTTGGAGAGCGAGTGCCAAAGCAGGTCGAGGCATCACCTCACCCAGGAAGCGCAAGGGGTCAGGGAATTCCCTTTCCTAGCCAAAGGAAGCTATGGCAGACAGCACCTGGAAAATCAGGTCACTCCCACCCTAATACTGCGCTTTTCCAACGGTCTTAGCAAACGGCACACCACGAGATTATAGCTCGTGCCTGGCTCAGAGGGTCCCATGCCCACGGAGCTTCACTCATTGCTAGCACAGCAGTCTGAGATTGAACTGAAAGGCAGCAGCAGGCTGGGGGAGGGGCGCCCGCCATTGCTGAGGCTTTAGTAGGTAAATAAAGCGGCCAGGAAGCTCGAAATGGGTGGAGCCCACCACGGCTCAAGGAGGCCTGCCTGCCTGTAGACTCCACCTCTGGGGGCAGGGCATAGCTGGACAAAAGGCAGCAGAAACCTCTGCAGACTTAAATATCCCTGTCTGACAGCTTTGAAGAGAGTAGTGGTTCTCCCAGCACAGAGTTTGAGATCTGAGAACGGACAGACTGCCTCCTCAAGTGGGTCCCTGTCCCCCAAGTAGCCTAACTGGGAGGCACCCCCCAGTAGGGGCAGACTGACACCCCACACGGCCGGGTACCCCTCTGAGACAAAGCTTCCAGAGGAACGATCAGGCAGCAACATTTGCTGTTCTGCAGCCTCCGCTGATACCCAGGCAAACAGGGTCTGGAGTGGGCCTCCAGCAAACTCCAACAGACCTGCAGCTGAGGGTCCTGACTGATAGAAGGAAAACTAACAAACAGAAAGGACATCCACACCAAAACCCCATCTGTACGTCACCATCATCAAAGACCAAAGGTAGATAAAACCACAAAGATGGGGAAAAAACATAGCAGAAAAGCTGAAAATTCTAAAAATCAGAGCGACTCTCCCCCTCCAAAGGAATAGAGCTGGAGCTGGATGGAGAATGACTTTGACAAGTTGGGAGAAGAAGGCTTCAGATGATCAAACTTCTGCGAGCTAAAGGAGGAAGTTCAAACCCATCGCAAAGAAGCTAAAAACTTTGAAAAAAAATTAGATGAATGGCTAACTAGAATAACCAATGCAGAGAAGTCCTTAAACGACCTGATGGAGCTGAAAACTATGGCACGAGAACTACATGACGCTTGCACAAGCTTCAGTAGCCGATTCGATCAACTGGAAGAAAGTGTATCAGTGACTGAAGATCAAATGAATAAAATGAAGCAAGAAGAGAAGTTTAGAGAAAAAAACAGTAAAAAGAAACGAACAAAGCCTCCAAGAAATATGGGACTATGTGAAAGGACCAAATCCACATCTGATTGGTGTACCTGAAAGTGACAGGGAGAATGGAACCAAGTTGGAAAACACTCTGCAGGATATTATCCAGGAGAAATTCCCCAACCTAGCAAGGCAGGCCAACATTCAAACTCAGGAAATACAGAGAACGCCACAAAGATACTCCTCGAGAAGAGCAACTGCAAGACACATATTTGTCAGATTCACCAAAGTTGAAATGAAGGAAAAAATGTTAAGGGCAGCCAGAAAGAAAGGTAGGGTTAACCAACAAAGGGAAGCCCATCAGACTAACAGCTGATCTCTCGGCAGAAACTCTACAAGCCAGAAGAGAGTGGGGGCTAATATTCAGCTTTTTTTTTTTTGAGACGGAGTTTCACTCTTGTTGCCCAGGCTGGAGTGCAATGGCACGATCTCAGCTCACCGCAACCTCCGCCTCCCAGGTTCAAGCGATTCTCCTGCCTCAGCCTCCCTAGTAGCTGCGACTACAGGCATGTGCTACTACGCCAGGCTAATTTTTGTATTTTTAGTAGAGACGGGTTTTCTCCATGTTGGTCAGGCTGGTCTCGAACTCCTGACCTCAGGTGATCCACCCGCCTCAGCCTCCCAAAGTGCTGGGATTACAGGCATGAGCCACCGCGCCCAGCTTCAACATTCTTAAAGAAAAGGATTTTCAACCCAGAATTTCATATCCAGCCAAACTAAGCTTCATAAGTGAAGGAGAAATAAAATACTTTACAGACAAGCATATGCTGAGAGATTCTGTCACCACCAGGCCAGCCCTACAAGAGCTCCTAAAGGAAGCACTAAACGTGGAAAGGAAAAACCAGTACAAGCCACTGCAAAAACATGACAAACTGCAAAGACCATCGATGCTAGGAAGAAACTGCATCAACTAACGAGCAAAATAACCAGCTAACATCATAATGACAGCATCAAATCCACACAGAACAATATTAACCTTAAATGTAAATGGGCTAAATGCACCAATTAAAAGACACAGACTGGCAAATTGGATAAAGAATCAAGACTCATCAGTGTGCCGTATTCAGGAGACCCATCTCACATGCAGAGACACACATAGGCTCAAAATAAAGGGATGGAGGAAGATCTACCAAGAAAATGGAACACAAAAAAAGGCAGGGATTGCAATACTAGTCTCTGATAAAACAGACTTTAAATCAACAAAGATCAAAAGAGAAAAAGCAGGCCATTACATAATGGTAAAGGGATCAATTCAACAAGAAGAGCTAACTATCCTAAATATATATGCACCCAACACAGGAGCACCCAGATTCATAAAGCAAGTCTTTAGAGACCTACAAAGAGACTTAGACTCCCACACAATAATAATGGGAGACTTTAACAACCCACTGTCAACATTAGACAGATCAACAAGACAGAAAATTAAAAAGGATATCCAGCAACTGAACTCAGCTCTGCACCAAGTGGGCCTAATAGACATCTACAGAACTCTCCACCCCAAATCAACAGAATATACGTTCTTCTAAGCACCACACCACACCTATTCCAAAATTGACCACATAGTTGGAAGTAAAGCAGTCCTCGGCAAATGTAAAAAACGGAAATTATAACAAACTGTCTCTGAGACCACAGTGCAATCAAACTAGACCTCAGGATTAAGAAACTCACTCAAAACCGCCCAACTACATGGAAACTGAACAACCTGCTCCTGAATGACTACTGGATACATAACAAAATGAAGGCAGAAATAAAGATGTTCTTTGAAACCAATGAGAACAAAGACACAACAGACCAGAATCTCTGGGACACATTTAAAGCAGTGTGTAGAGGGAAATTTATAGCACTAAATGCCCACAAGAGAAAGCAGGGAAGATCTAAAATTGATACCCTAACATCACAATTAAAAGAACTAGAGAAGCAAGAGCAAACACATTTAAAAGCTAGCAGAAGGCAAGAAATAACTAAGATCAGAGCAGAACTGAAGGAGATAGAGACACAAAGAACCCTTCAAAAAATCAATGAATCCAGGGGCTGGTTTTTTGAAAAGATCAACACAATTGATAGACGGCTACCAAGATTAATAAAGAAGAAAAGAGAGAAGAACCAAATAGATGCAATAAAAAATGATAAAGGGGATATCACCACCGATCCCACAGAAATACAAACTACCATCAGAGAATACTATCAACACCTCTATGCAAATAAACTAGAAAATCTAGAAGAAATGGATAAATTCCTGGACACACACATCCTCCCAAGACTAAACCAGGAAGAACTTGAATCCCTGAATAGACCAATAACAGGCTCTGAAATCGAGGCAATAATTAATAGCCTACCAACCAAAAAAAGTCCAGGACCAGATGGATTCACAGCCGAATTCCACCAGAGGTACAAGAAGGAGCTGGTACCATTCCTTCTGAAACTATTCCAATCAATAGAGAAAGAGGGAATCCTCCCTAATTCATTTTATGAGGCCAGCATCATCCTGATACCAAAGCCTGGCAGAGACACAACAAAAAAAGAGAATTTTAGACCAATATCCCTGATGAACATTGATGCAAAAATCCTCAATAAAATACTGGCAAACCGAATCCAGCAGCACATCAAAAAGCTTATCCACCATGATCAAGGGGACTTCATCCCTGAGATGCAAGGCTGGTTCAACATATGCAAATCAATAAATGTAATCCATCACATAAACAGAACCAAAGACAAAAACCACATGATTATCTCAATGGATGCAGAAAAGGCCTTTGACAAAATTCAACAGCCCTTCATGCTAAAAACTCAATAAATTAGGTATTGATGGAACATATCTAAAAATAATAAGAACTATTTATGACAAACCCACAGCCAATATCATACTGAATGGGCAAAAACTGGAAGCATTCCCTTTGAAAACTGGCACAAGACAAGGATGCCCTCTCTCACCACTCCTATTCAACATAGTGTTGGAAGTTCTGGCCAGGGCAATCAGGCAGCAGAAAGAAATAAAGGGTATTCAATTAGGAAACGAGGAAGTCAAATTGTCCCTGTTTGCAGATTACATGATTGTATATTAGACAACCCCATTATCTCAGCCCAAAATCTCCTTAAGCTGATAAGCAACTTCAGCAAAGTCTCAGGATACAAAATCAATGCGCAAAAATCACAAGCATTCTTATACACCAATAACAAACGGAGAGCCAAATCATGAGTGAACTCCCATTCACAATTGCTTCAAAGAGAATAAAATACCTAGGAAGGAATTCAACTTACAAGGGATGTGAAGAACCTCTTCAAGGAGAACTACAAACCACTGCTCAATGAAATAAAAGAGGACACAAACAAATGGAAGAACATTCCATGCTCATGGATAGAAGAATCAATATCATGAAAATGGCCATACTGCCCAAGGTAATTCATAGACTCAATGCCATCCCCATCAAGCTACCAATGACTTTCTTCACAGAATTGGAAAAAAACTACTTTAAAGTTCATATGGAACCAAAAAAGAGCCCACATTGCCAAGACAATCCTAAGCCAAAAGAACAAAGCTGGAGGCATCACGCTACCTGACTTCAAACTATACTACAAGGCTACAGTAACCAAAACAGCATGGTACTGGTATCTAAACAGAGATACAGACCAATGGAACAGAACAGAGCCCTCAGAAATAATACCACACATCTACAACCATCTGATCTTTGACAAACCTGACAAAAACAAGAAATGGGGAAAAGATTCCCTTTTTAATAAATGGTGCTGGGAAAACTGGCTAGCCATATGGAGAAAGCTGAAACTGGATCCCTTCCTTACACCTTGTACAAAAATTAATTCAAGATGGATTAAAGACTTACATGTTAGACCTAAAACCATAAAAACCCTAGAAGAAAACCTAGGCAATACCATTCAGGACATAGGCATGGGCAAGGACTTCATTTCTAAAACACCAAAAGCAATGGCAACAAAAGCCAAAATTGACAAATGGGATCTAATTAAACTAAAGAGCTTCTGCACAGCAAAAGAAACTACCATCAGAGTGAACGGGCAACCTACAGAATGGGAGAAAATTTTTGCAGTCTACTCATCTGACAAAGGGCTAATATCCAGAATCTACAAAGAACTCAAACAAACTCACAAGAAAAAAACAAACAACCCCATCAAAAAGTGGGCGAAGGATATGAACAGACACTTCTCACAAGAAGACATTTATGCATCCAAAAGACACATGAAAAAATGCTCATCATCACTGGCCATCAGAGAAATGCAAATCAAAACCACAATGAGATACCATCTCACACCAGTCAGAATGGCAATCATTAAAAAGTCTGGAAACAGGTGCTGGAGAGGATGTAGAGAAATAGGAACACTTTTACACTGTTGGTGGGACTGTCAACTAGTTCAACCATTGTGGAAGACAGTGTGGCAATTCCTCAAGGATCTAGAACTAGAAATACCATTTGACCCAGCCATCCCATTACTGGGTATATACCCAAAGGATTATAAATCATGCTGCTATAAAAACACATGCACACGTATGTTTATTGCGGCACTCTTCACAATAGCAAAGACTTGGAACCAACCCAAATGTCCAACAATGATAGACTGGATTAAGAAAATGTGGCACATATACACCATGGAATACTATGCAGCCATAAAAAAGATGAGTTCATGTCCTTTGTAGGGACATGGATGAAGCTGGAAACCATCATTCTCAGCAAACTATTGCAGGGACAAAAAACCAAACACCACATGTTCTCAATCACAGGTGGGAATTGAACAATGAGAACACTTGGACACAGGAAGGGGAACATCACACACCGGGGCCTGTTGTGGGGTAGGGGGAGGGGGGAGGGATAGCATTAGGAGATATACCTAATGTAAATGACGAGTTAATGGGTGCAGCACACCAACATGGCACATGTATACATATGTAACAAACCTGCATGTTGTGCACATGTACCCTAGAAGTTAAAGTATAAAAACAAAATTTTTGAGAGAGAAAAAAAATTATGGTGCAACAAAACTAGTTTTGTTTTATACATTTCTAAATGTCCACATAAATTATTTAGATTTCAACTTGAAAAGATCACTCAATTATATACTTTATCTGGGAGTCACAAGCTATTGTCTTAATAGGCTATATTTCTCTTAACTATTCAAGCATATACAACCCCAAGTTTGTGCAGATGCCTTAACCAGGAAACATCGATACAATGTTTTTAAGTGTCTTGGTTATTTCTGTTCTCATTTTTAAAGCTTCCCAGAGTTGAAAGCTATGTGGGCATTCGGGAAGTGAAAGGCAATCTCAGTTACTGAGATGACTTTTAATTAGAGATTTTAACTGGGTGCTGAGACTTGGAATGGTAGACATCTAAGGTGATTCTTCTCATACCAACTGTGATTTTATCCCATGAAATTTGGGGTTTGCCTTCTCAGTATCCTGCAGGTTTTGAACAATCAGTGATTTCAGCCAAGAGCTCATCAGGTCCTTCTCAGGAACCTAAATGGGTTACTCTAAACCTATGTACCTAGCTGCTACTGGTAAACCCATAGCTTTACAGGGGTGCAATCATGCTGCCCAGGTCTTTGGAGGTGAATTATATACAATACCCAATCCTTTCTTCTTCTACAAAAAGACTGCAAACCCCACGTAAGTTAATCGTTTGACTAGATTCTGCATACTTTTGTTTCTGTATCAGTGTAAATGCCCCTTCTGTGTGAGTTTAAGATCTTCGAACTAGGTAGAATATTGCTTCTTTCAGATTGTCAGGCCCCACCCTGTTCGTGGACAGTTATTTCCACTCCTATTGAATTCTCTACCTGGCTGTCTAGCCTGTCACCACAACTGGTAAGCCTCTTCTGTTAGCACACGGAATTGCAGAATTTTGTTGATTCTAGAGGAAACTTGTCCAACCCGCCACCCGTGGGCCACATGCAGCCCAGGACAGCTTCGAATGTGGCCCAACACAAATTTGTAAACATTCTTTAAATATTATGAGATTTTTTTTTAAGCTCATCAGCTATTGTTAGTGTTAGTGTATTTTATGTGTGGCCCCAAGACAATTCTTCTTCCAGTGTGACCCAAGGGAGCCAAACGACTAGACAACCCTGTTCTAGAATGTTCTCCATGGCTGCTCCAAACTCAGCCGCTTGCTCTGTATTAACTGCAGAATAAGAGCTTTTCTCATTTATGCCTCCCAGTCATCAGGACCAAAGTGTAAGATGCATCAAAGTTTCCCTGGATGGTTGGTGCCCTAGGGCAGTTGCCATGAACCAAGTACAAAAAGAAAAACAGACTTTTCCAAAATTAATTCAAATGGGCATAACTCTTTTGGAAATTGTGTAGCACATGTTGCCAGGCTGGGGGGATGGGCTGTGTGTGCTATTTTAATGAGACTGCAGACTGGTTACATCTACAGCTTCCCATATTTTGGCTTATTTTAGAAAGAGCCAGAAAATGATGTTTAACGGTAAACTGCAAGAAGACAGGCAGGGAGGAGGGGCAGATGGCATGAAGTAATCTTTCTGCATTTCAAGGCATAGGCCAACTCTTTGTTAAAATATTCTTTCCAGTTTGGAAGCCCTTGGCTTAAGGGAAATTTGGAAAAACCAAGCTCATGTCCCAACCAGCAGCTCATCTAGAAAGTAAAAATGAAAACTCTAATTATCAGTCAGTCAGTGGTTTTTATCGTGCAACAGTTAATTGTTTCACTTAAAACCACTGCTGGTAACAGCTGGAAAGGAAAGTGACTGGAGAACAGGGTCATTTAAAACCATTATTTTGAGCTACAGTTTCAATGTCAATGAAAGAGTTGTCCAAATTTTGGCATATCACTTTCTAACGAATTTTAGTTTTATGAGATAGCCATCATTTAGTGAAATATATCCCAAATCGTGAGAACTGTATTTCTTGCCAACTGTCTTTTTTTTTTTTTTTCTTTTGAGATGGAGTCTCACTCTGTTGCCCAGGGGTGGAGTGCGGTGGCGTGGTCTCTGTTCACTGCAACCTCCACCTCCAGGATTCAAGCAATTCTACTGCAGCCTCCCGAGTAGCTGAGATCACAGGCATGTGCCACCACACCCGGCTAATCTTTGTATTTTTCGTAGAGACCAGGTTTCACCAGGTTGGCCAGGCTGGTCTTGAACTCCTCACCTCAAATGATCCACCTGCCTTGGCCTCCCAAAGTGCTGGGATTACAGGCATGAGCCACTGTGCCTGGCCTTGCCAATTGTCTTTATTCCTCTTCTCTTAGTAGCCCATGGGAGACTATTGTAGTGTGTCCTTATGACCAGTGTTTTCCAATTATTTGTTAGCCAGAAATTGGAACACTGAATATACTCTTCTATAATGTTAAAAATGGTGGCAAAATTTCAGGCCAACCTATAAGAGGTACCTGGTTAATATATAATATAGCTGTAGTTGGGAATACAAAGGGATATTTTTTCCCCAGTAGTCTTTCCATCTGGCAGTATATTATGATCCATTCATCTCAATCTTGCTACCTCAAAAGCAGAAGTGGCAGATGAATCCACCCAGCAAACGCCATAGAGGTGGGTCCAGCTGAGGCTTTACCTGGCACTGACCGTGTCCTCCTCCATTAAAACACTGGTACCAGGCTGGGTGAGTGACTCATGCTTGTAATCCCAGCAGTTTGGGAGGCTGAGATGGGAGGATCACTTGATCCCAGGAGGCTTCAGTGAGCTATGACTGTGCCACTGCACTCCAGCCTGGGTGACAGAGCAAGACTGTCTCTTTAAAAAAAAAAAAAAAAAAAAAAAAAAAAAGCTTATTAAAACACTGATACCTGACATATATGGCTGTTATGGCTGCGGTGGGGATTACATGTAAATATGGCAAGACCTATAATAAAAAGTTAATATTTATTAAATACTTATGAGGTACCCTTCACTAATTAAGTCGCTCCTGCAACGATGCCACAGAATGGTGCTTCCCTATGTCACAGACAAGGAACCAAAGCACAGAAATGTCAAGTAATCGGCCGAAGGACACACAGCTAGCAAACAGCAGAGCCAATTCAAACCCACACAGTCTGGCTCCAGAAGCCATGCTTTGGTCACTATAGTCCAGGGGTCAGCAAACCATAGCCCATCACCTGTTATGGTCTGGCCCAAAAGCTAAGAATGGTTTTACCAATTTTAGAGTTGGGGTGTAGGGAGAGAGAAATATTTCATGGCATGTGAACAAAGATATTAAATTTAAATTTCGATGTTCATAAATCGTCTCATTGGAACATAGCTACTCCTATTCATGGAACACAGCTACTCTTATTCCCATACATACTGTCTATAGCTACTTTCACACCAGAAATATCATGACAAAATGTTTATGACATAATGGCAAGGGATAAAAAAGAATACAGAAAGTATGATTCCACTAATTTACAAGAATGCTTAAACAAAAAATACTTTAATTATTAATAATGGATTGTAGAAACATGAGTAATTTTTTTCATCTGCATTTCCCACCTTCTCTGTGATGATCAGGTATGCCTTTTGCATTAACAAACATCAACCTTAAAATTAAGTAAGTTGGCAAAGGATCGGTTAATTTGTCAAAGAATAGAAGGGATTCTAAATAACAAAAGTAAACAGACATTTGGTGAAAGACTCTAAGATCGGGAGTTCTAACTATCATGTCCATTTTAATGACTTTTGGTTGTAAATCATTCTTGGGTACTTAAAAATATCAAAGATACACTGCAGACATTTTAGAAGGCTCCCGTATAAGTATGGACTTAATATATTTTTATGTATCTTTATTTCCCATATATATCCTTGTTAATTCTCAAACAGGGAAAAATGTAAACCTTAACTTTTATTTGTCACATCATTAGTTTCTTAATGTAGATATCCTGACATGAAATTTTGCCCCATGGGCTGTACTCCCCTTCTATGTTATTACTGAAGTGTGAGATGTCTGAAAAGTATCTTAACTAAAGATGAAGGAATTTCACTGATATCTGGGCATTATAGGAAAGGGGAAAAAAGTGAGTTTAAATGAAATGATTTTCTGAGGGATTTTAAAATCCTTAAATTGGGTATAAGGAGGGCCTTCTTTTATTAGTGTACAAATCCAGCCCTCTACATTGTGCTTTCACACCCTATGCCATTCATTGCAGCATGGTAACTTACTGCTTTCTGAGCTCTGAGGTTCAGAAAAGTTTTACTTGCCCGAAGTTACATAGCTGCAAAATTCTGGTCTGGCATTATATCTGGTTCTGCTGAAACTGTACTTCTCAACTCTGGCTTCTCAACTGCCTGGCAACATGCCAACATGATGACATCCAGTTTAGAATTCCACCCTCTACTGTCCCTTGGTTCTCACTACAAGGTGTCACTAAGGCACAGCATTCATTTCCAATGTTTTTTTCCATCTTTCTGTGGACTGATTAAATGAGAATATTCTTGGAACCGATAGAGAACTGGGCAGCTCATTGGCAGCATGGCAGTCAATAACCGAAGGGGCCATAAACAAGGTTAGGTCTTATCTAGTTGGGCCAGGCAGCAGATGTAGGTTTTAATCAAGTCAGGCCACACATGGGTTGGGGAAGTAGCTAACTCTAGCTAAGCCTGTGTTGGGAAGCTAAATCTAGGCTGGTGAAGGAAGCCAATAGGGCCCAAATAGCTAATGGGGCTTGATCCTTCATAATGAGTTCCTCCCAGAGGTGGCTCAGCACCTTGGACAGTTACCAGGAGAGTCACAGTTTCTGAAGGAGCCTGATTCCCTCCCAGGTCGATTTTTTTGGCACAACTTCTACTTCTTTGAAAAACTTCCTGTTCTCCCCTCTTTTCTCAGGGTTCTTATGTGCAGAATTGGGAGAATACTGATACAACTAGCAAAATGAGCTGCTTCTGAGGATATCCACACACATAAGATTTCCCTGATTATTAGACAGAAAAGTCACCGCTTCTAGCCAGAAGTGTGTCTAGTTCCATCAGATTGGCTTGTGTCACGAAGGGAAATATCTAGTTATTGTCTTCCCAGAACTCTTCTTTCCTGGGCCAGCTTATAAGTACTAACAACACAGACTCTTCTTTGCAAGTTATTGAGAGGAAAAATTGTCATTTAATTCACAGAGTGGATTCCTAAAATGTGCACACTCAAATATTCTCTATTTCTTATGTTGATATTGACTGTTCTCACTTTCCCATAAAGTTAGATTATTCAAATCATAGATCTTCATTTACATTCTATAGCTGAAGTTAATGTACCTTTTCTTGATTAATTCTCAAAACAAGTTTATATTTTGTATAAGATCTCTTTAATATGAAAGCTCATAGTGTATCTTTATAGATAGGTGTATGTTTTCTCTGTAAATTTGCCAACCTCTGCATCTGGTTCAGAAAATGGAAGTTCTGAATCAGAGCTACAAAAAGATTTAATGGGCTTCATGCTGCTGTTAGCGGCAGTATCCAGGCACCAATAGACCAGTATTTCCCAAACTGTGTTTTGCTGGACACTAGTCTAACAAAAGCTCTGTGAAAGGAAATTCTTCCAAGGAAGAGAAGTTTGGAAAACTCTGCCTTACTTTCTACCTTTTTGGAGAATCGCAGTGCTCATTAGCATTATGTGTGTAAGTAAAGAAAGCTTTTTCATGCTCCCAGTTCAGCATTTTCCAAATACATTGGACACCATAACAGTTTTTAAAACTAGTAGTACTCTGATCTACTATTTACCATAAAACCCTTTTCTAGATGTAGTCAATTGTCAGAATGTCATTGAGGCAACCAACATATCTAATATACAAAGTTAGTGAGATTTATGTCTCCTAACCTGAGAATCTATGACTTTTTGTTATCCTAGCTTAAATATTTACATATGTGACAGGGTCAATCCTAGAATCAAAAGAAATCATATTTATGTCTTTCTTAAGTACACACTTTGGAACTTGGAGAAATACTTTTCTAACAGAGAAGCAAGTAATTAGGTGTAATTACACATTGGAAAGTGGCAGGTATGTAGATAGAGGCCTCAAACACACGGATCCTTTTAACCATAATTAAAGTATATAAAATTGATAGACAATAAATTTTATTATAAAGTTCTGTGTTGAATATGGAAAATAACCAAGCCAAAATGTAAAAAAAAAAATCCTTGGACTGACATCATAATGACCTTAAAGATGTTAGCATGCTCTTTGAAGAGTAAAACTCTTCTGAATATTTAAAAAGATCATGATATCTATTTATTTTTCCCAGGAAAGAGTGTAATGATTTATTTTGGATTCACTGAGGTATACTGCTACTGAATATTTCAGAATAGCATGCCAAGTGCAAAAACTGTAGTACTGTTTGCAGCTTCAATTTTGAAAGCACTTTTCCAACCCATTTATTAAAGAGTATCCATTTTCTGAGCCAAATGATGTAACAAAAAAAATTGTTCTCTGTATATACACAGCACTTTTTTTTCTTTTGGACCTTGGGTACAAAAGATTGATTTAATAATACTCCTCAATTCATAGAACATAATCATACTTGATCCTCATAAGGCTTTCTGATACACGTACTCATATATACATTTATGTACATCTATGTGTACTTACTTTCTCTTTTAGAGTGTATATAAGAATATAGCAAATATATTCATATATATGCATCCATATTAATATATTCCCTTTTATATTGTAAATATATACGAATACATAAAATATGCATATGTATATATATATCATACATATGCATTTATGTGAATACATATGCATATTTTATTTTTCTGTCTCCTGGAGAAACACTGTTTCATATATATTCTATTATTTTTATGTGTCCTTGATAAATATGTATAGTTTTCTGAGCATGTTGTCTTAGTTTATCATGTAAACATATTTACATATATAATGTTTCTTTTTTCATTCAATACTATAGTTTTAGAAATAACTTTTGACTTTGAAAAACTGCAAACATAAACCAAGTATGCAATGAGAGAAGAGTACACTGAACTCCCATATGCCCATCATGCAGTTTCGACAATTATTAACTCATGACTAATCTTATTTCATCTATGTCCCCACACACTTCTCTCCTACCTATACTACTTGACACAAAGCTTAGATATCATGTCATTTTATCAAGTATTTAAATATATATATCCAAAACATATAATGACACTGAAATTATCATACCCCCAAAAGACAGCAATTTCTTAATACTACGAAATTTCCTGTCCATGTTCAATTTTCTCCCAGTGGCCTCATGGATTTGTTGTTGTTTTTGTTTGGGTAAATCAGCATCCAAATAAGAGCTATACATAGCAACTGATTGATATGTCTCTTGAATCTCTTTTGATTTCTGGAATTTAATTTTCTTTCCATATATTTGTTGAAAATCTATTTGGTTTGTTCTGTAGGTTTTTATCTCTGGATTTTATCTCATACCCATGGTGTTATTTAGCATGGTCCTCTCATCCTGTATTTTCTGGGAATTGGTGGTTATATAGAGAGATTTAATTAGTCTTCTGTTAATTTTTCTTTCTGAGGGGAGAATATTTCATTGGTGGTATTGAGTACTTCCATTTGGAAGCATAGGGGGTGTCTGTGTGTGTAATGTTAGCAGCCATTGATGCTCAGTGCTTAAACATTAAGTTACCAGGTGATGGGAAATAGTGATATGCTAATTCTATCATTCCATTTTCACTTAGTAACTGAAAAACTCCCCCTCATCAACTCTTTGTTACATTGACTACAGTTTGTATGAAAGGTAGAATAAATGGTTGAGTCTTTCCCTTTATTCAGTAGTTTTCAAAATAATGAGTTGGTTCCCTAGCATCCCCCAAAGGTGGCCAATGATGTTTTCCTACGTTATTGTGAATTTGCTTTCTGGTATAACAAGATATTCCAGGATCATTTGTGCATTTCCTATCCCAGACCCAGGATCAGTCATTTCTCCAAGAAACCCGTTGCTTGTAGTAGCAAATGGTATTTAAATCCAAAATCTGGGAGCTAGCAGTATTTATTACTACTGAGTTGTTCACTGTTCTTCAAGGTCTTTTTAGTAAGCAGTGTTAGGAAATATATACTTTTTACAATAAACTACATTATGATTTCATATTTCCAATTCAAATTCAGGATTGTAAGATTTTTATATAACCTCATTGATCTTACATCTGTATCTATTTTTCCAATATCTCTCAGCACCAATATAAGTATTATTTTGCTTCCATCCCCTAAATCATCCAGTCTCAACATAATACCTCAACACCAATAACAACAATATATATTGAAAATGGTTAAATATATTTTGCAGTTCTTTTGTCCTTAGGGTATATTCCACTAGGGATGTTTATTCAAATTGCCATGCTTCAAATTCACTTGAAATGTTTCCTTTCTTTATACTTATGTTACCAGCTCAATTCACAGATTCTTTTCACTTAGCTTTTGATTTCTAAAAATGTGCTTCTTAAATTTAATCTTGCTCTATAACTATGTAAAGTATTTACCTGGTTCCAAAGTGAAATCTATAAAACGATATTTATTCAGAGAAGACTAACTTTTATCCCTGTCTCTTCCCCATAGGTAATATTGTATTTTTAATTTTTATTCTGTCATCCCATTATTTTTAAACATCTATGAATATGTCTGTGTATATATCCTTTTTGAAAATAAGCTGAGTGCAATGCCTCGTGCCTGTAATCCTAGCACTTTGGGAGGTGGAGGCGGGAGGATCGCCTGAGCCCAGGAGTTTGAGATCAGCCTGGGCAACATGGAGAAACCCCATCTCTCCAAAAAATACAAGAGTTAGCTGGGCGTGGTGGCATGAGCCTGTAATCCCAGCTACTTGGGAGGCTGAGAGGTGGGAGGATCACTTGAGCCCAGGGAGGTTGAGGCTGCAGTGAGCCATGATTGTGCCATTGCACTCCAGGCTGGGCAACAGAGTGAGACCTTGGAAAGTAAGTAAAGTAAGAAAGAAAGAAAGAAAGAAAGAGAGAGAGAAAGAAAAAGAGAGAAAAACAAAAGAAACAAAAGTATACAAAATATTCTTTGCTCTACGTTGCCTTTCACTTCACAGTATATTCTGGAGATAGCTTGCCAATGGTATATAGAAGTAGTCCTCACTCTGTTTTGCAACTGCAGAGAATAGCAATGTACATTTGGGTTGTTTCTAGTCTTATGCAACTACATATAGTGCCATGTGCCACTAGTTTTGTGAGATCTATCCATATGCCTATATATATATATATATATATATATATATATATCTAATCCACTAATTTATTTGCAACAACATACTTCATGTAGCATTTGCCTCTCCTCTGGCCCCCTCCCTTTAACAACCTTCAACTCCCCTGCTACTTACTCAGGTCCCCAGGTCTTTACACCAGTCCCCCACCCCAGCCAAAGCTGTAGGTGGCACTGTCCAAACAAGGCGAGGTCCTGCTAGATGGCATAAAACACCAGCTCTGTGAAAGCTGGAGTCTTTGTGGGGTCTGTGGTTTTGCCCTGATTCTCATGAAGCGAAATCTTCTCCTGAAGCAGGTACTTCAGAAGAAACTATGTAATTTCAGTATCAAAAATAGCTGTGCTTCTCATAAATGTTGTGAGTTTATTTTATACACAATGTGAATTATGTAAATGGCTAGAATTTTCTGCATTGACTTCAAGAAAGTTTGGTGCCTAATTTATGACCCACTCATAACAAGTATATGAAATTTTATGGTTGTATTTTTTCTTGTTTTCTTAAACAATCAACATTATGGTGGACATAGGTTTTGTTTTTGTTTTTAACTGTTAAATCACCCTAGTTCTACAAAGCGCAAGTCTTGCTGCAATGTACCCATTTTGTATCCAGCCTATGTCAGCATTCTAGAACATATACAAACATTCCATGTTATTCCATTAAAGTGAATATTTACAAACATCATTGCCCTTGAAAAATGTTTGTCTCAATAAAAAATACAACCTAGGAAAATCTGCATATGTATAGTATAGTGTTTTATATAGACTATTGTTTATATATAAACATAATTTCATTATCTAGCACCACTAACAAATTATATATGATATGGAAGGGAGTTTTTCTGGGTACCTGGAACTAATATCCAAAACATAATCCACTAATGCATTCAGGAGCTACTGAAATGCAGATGATGGTGGTTCATATGCAGAGAGATTTCCAAACAATGTGCCTTCCAAGGCTGTCTGGGTCATTGTTTGTGAAACTGTAGCCATGACCTATTATTGACTTATGAAGTCAATTCAATAAGTCACAACCAGCTTTAAAATACCACCTAGATTAAAATAGAAAATACAGTACATTGTGTATAAGTATTCTTTTGGAAAACTTTTGTTTCACTCTTAACAAATATAGATGTATATATGCACACTGGATCAGAAAGGAAAATTCATATCTTTGTTTTTTTTGAGATAGGGTTTCACTCTGTTGCCTAGGCTGGAGTACAGTGGCACGATCAATAACTCACTGCAGCCTCAACCTCCCAGGGCTCAGGTGATCGTCCCACCTCAGCCTCCAGAGTAGCTGGAACTACAGGCACATGCCACCATACCCAGCTACTTTTTGTACTTTTTGTAAAGATGTGGTTTCACCATGTTGCCCAGGCTGGTCTCCAACTCCTGAGGCTCAAGTGATCCACCAATCTTGATTGCCGAAAGTGTAGGGATTACAGGTGCGAGCCACCATGCCTGGTCATGTATGTCTTCTTGTAGGAGGCAGTTAAGAATGTCGGAAGGGTCCTGCTCTGGGGGGCCGTAGGTCCCAACCCATCTCACCCCCTGACCACTCCACTCTGCTTCATCTCCCTGTGGGCTCCTTTCATTCTTTTTGGTACCAAAACTACATTCAGAATAGCCACCTTCTTCTTCCCTTTTCTTTTTGTTACTTTTCCTTTTTCTTTTTAAAATTATGTGTGATGACTCTGCTTGTCCTCTTAGTTTGGGACAAAAAAAAAGAGTTCTAAAATAGTCTCCTCTTGTCAATGGACCTCTACCTCACCTTCAGCTGCCATATAACTGGTGAGTCATAGAATGTCAGGGTGGATTTCTGGCCCCTGCGTCTTTTCTACTGTGTTTATCTGTCCACACAGTCCAAAGGTTGTTTTTCTCCTGCTTTTTTGTTTAAGTTGGGTTTTATGCTCTTATAGCTGTCAAGAGACTTAATTATTCTTTTATATATTTTTTTGAGATTGGATATATAAATTCAATAAAATAGCTATCACTCTTTCTTTTACTGTTATTAAAAATCAAATTGAGATACATCACAAAAATATATTGTGGATAGCTTAAGATAAACTGATGGATTCAGAAGCATTCCTCTTGTCTAAAACTTTGCAGTAGACAACTGACCTTTTACCACCAAAATCCAACAAGAGAGATGGAGGAAAAAGTAGGTACTTAGAGGCAGACATCGCCATATATTAACTAAATAGTCCCTCAGGTCAAATCAAGTGCAGTCTTCTACAAAATACTCAAAAGCTGTCGGCTTTACAGAGGAATTTCCAGAAAGCAGTAAGATTCTGGCATCCTATTAAAATACCTAGAGTACTCTGTGGATGGCTTGAAATTAAGCCTAGTCTAATGTATCATTTTAACTATACTGTAATTGGAAATAACAAAATTCACATGAAATATGCCATGCAAAGGTTTACCCACTTTTATATCAAATTAAACATGCCATTTTTTTCTTTCTTTTTATTTTTTAGTGATGGGGTTTCACTATGTTGCCCAGGTTGGAGTGCATTGGTTATTCAAAGATGCGATCATAGCTAACTGCAGCTTCAAACTCTTGGGCTCAAGCAGTCCTCTTGCCTCAGCCTCCCGAGAAGATGGAACTACAGGCACTGTGCCTGGCTTGAATTAAACATTCTAGTTTGATTAGTGTGGTGGGTAGAATTCTGAGAAGGCACCCAGGATCCTTGATCCTGGTATAAATACCCTGTATAATCCCCTCCTGCTGAATATGGGCAGGACCTTGAACATGATAGGATGTCACTTCTATGATTATGTTACTTAGCATGGCAAAGGTGGAAAAATTGTGAGATGTAATCAAACTCCTGATCAACTGACATTAATTTAATCAAAATGGAGATTATCTTGGGTGGGTCTGCCCTAATCAGATGTGTCCCTTTAAAGAGACTCCAAGCAGCAGAGACCCTCTTGCTGACCTCAAAGAAACAAAAAGTAATGTTATGCACTGCCTACGGAGGGGGGTGGACTCTAAGAGCTGAGGGCTTCACTCCTACAGTCACAAGGAACTGAATCCTTCCAAAAAGCACTGAGCTTAGAAAAGAAACCAAACTCCAGATAAGAATCACAGCCTGGCCAAAAACTTGATTTTAATTTCATGAAACTCTGACCAGAGAACCCAGTTAAGCCATGCCTAGACTACTGACCCACAGAAACTGAGATAACAGATATGCCTTGTTTTAAAGCCCTATGTGGTCATTTGTTACAGCAGCAATAGAAGACTATTACAATTAGAACCTCGTTAACTCTCAAAGGGTCATAAATGTTAGACCCAAAGGATGCATGTGTAGGAGCCAATGGAAAACTTCCCCTTCACCCTCTGAAGGTTCTCTGCAAAAACAGCTCACAAAAGACAAATTAATAAGAGAAAGGGTATACAAGTTTGTTTGTTTATTTGAGACAGTCTCGCTGTGTCAACCAGGCTGGAGTACAGTGGCGTGATCATGGCTCCCTGCAGCCTCGACCTGCTGAGACTACAGGCACACACCACCATTCCTGGCTAATTTTTGTATTTTCGGTAGACATGAGATTGTATCATATTATCCAGGCTGGTCTTGAACTCCTGAGCTCAAGTGATCCGCCCACCTGGGCCTCCCAAAGTGCTGGGATTATAGGTGTGAGCCACTGCATTCAGCCAGGGCATATAAGTTTATTAATATGCATGGGGAGAACCACAGAGTGATTACCCCAACCCTCCAATGGGGTTCAGAAGTTTATATACCATCTTGAGGTTACAGAAAGAATAAGGGCTTGGATCTTGGCGAAACAGGTTATGGGAGGGAGAGAAGAGGTAGCAAAGGTGGTCTTGTTGTGTAGATGAAACCTCACAGGTAGCAGCTCTCAGAGAGAATAGATGGTGAATATTTCCTTTAGACCTTTGAAAGTGTCAGACTCTCAATTAATCTTCCCTAGATCCAGACAAGGGAAGGCTTCGAAGAAAGCCTGGCTTCATCAATGAAGATTTTTCTCTACAGATGCAAATCTCCCCAACAAAAGACAGTTTTTCAGCTATTCTTGTATTTCCAGCTTTTCTGAATAGCCATCTTGAAATATGTCAAAGGAGTATATTTTGGGGTGAAACATTTTGGTTTCCTTCTCCCTCTTGGGTTTCCCAAAATACTGAACTATCCCCATTGGAATATGTTGAAAATGTAGCACTTAGAAAATCTCTCCCAAAGTTTAAAATCAACTGAACATTTCCAGGAAATTCTCCAGTCCTATCTCCATAGTGCCCCATCTCTCTAAGCACGTGATTTATTCTAAGTGTTACATGAATGCTGGACCCCCCCTCCCCAGGTGGGCCCTGACCTTTACCTGGCTATTGTGCACAATCCCTTGGTGGATCTCATGAACCAGGGATTTTACCTGTTCAGAAGGGGGCAGGACTTAGAAGGAGAAGGCAACAAATTGGAAGCCTTCTAGGGATCTGATTCTGTGACACAGAGTGAATTTATTTCATTTTAACAGCATCTTCTGAGTTAGGCATCTTTTGCCAATTTTGGGAATGAGACAACAGATTCAGAGAGATGATGAAGTCAACCACAGCATATTGTTAGTATATGGTAAAAACAAGATATGCAGTAGGTCTGAAGGATTCCAAAAAGCAAGTCTCTTGCCACCACATCATGTCCAATTACAAATGTACAGCATGTCAAACTTCACACATTCTTCCCCAAAATCTCCAAGTAAATCATTCACATGTGATAGTAAGGCTACCATTTGCACATCCCTTCATGGGCTGCAGTGAAAACTGTACGTGTTTCATTTGATCCTCACAAGGTTGATTGCGCATGCAAAACTGTCATATGCTTTTCCCTTGAGAAACAATGAGGGTACATTATCTGGAAGTGAAAAAGTATAGGGTCATGCCTAACAAGTCATTGATAAAAAGAAAAAGAAAAGAAAATGGCCTACAGACATTTAGATGACCAATGTTCTTTTTGTAAATGCAACAAATGCATGCAAAAGAAAGTAATGCATATATTATCTGTCTCTGCAACTGTAAGGTTACAATGAAAACCAGGCATTTTGTGCTTTTTAATTCAAGACATATCCCCAGGAAGTGATCTGACTTTAAAACATAAACTATATTTGCTAAATGATATCTGTTACAGCATCATAGATGTTGACTCTTTTCAGAAGTCATTTTGCATTCAATAGGAGACAGCAGGGGGAATGCATGGATTTTTTTTTTCCCCTCCACATGAAAAGGCTAAGCAAAAGCAGTATCTTTCAGGAGACATCAGTGATAGTTACTAAATGAGCTTATTCAAACAAACATTAAAATAACCTCCAGCTGGGCAGGCCTATATTTCCAGCTATTTGGGAGGCTAAGGCAGAAGGATTGTGTGAGGTCAGGAGTTCGAGGCTGTAGTACACCATGATCATGCCTGTGAATAGCCACTGCACTCCAGCCTGGGCAATACAGTGAGATGCTGTCCCTTAAAATAAGAATAAATAATCTCTAAGTTCCAGGCATGGTACTGATTTATATGTGTTATGCTTGAATTTTATATTGGTGTCCACATTTTAACTAGGAGGAATCAGTTAAGTGTCAGACCTTCCTATTTTGAAACTGCCAAAATTTGCCTACCCATTACCCAAGATAATTCTTGAGCACAGAAAATTGATTTGGGCTCTATACTGTGTCAGATTTAGGTTAATAACTTTCATTGGCTGATTTAGAATTAAATATGCCTTCTAGCAAATCAGGAGTACATTTGAGAAAACAAAAGCACAAGAGAAATATTGGAGGAGTAGAAAGAATTAATTGTAGAAAGGATTAGGTCAAATGGAAAGAGTGAACAAGAATATGGGAGGTGTGGGGAAGTGACAAAAGATTTTTCTAGTTAGGGCATGATCATACACTATGTAGAAGTCTTCATATAACTCTTACTGGGGCCAGGCGTGGTGGCTCACGCCTGTGATTCCTGCACTTTGGGTGGTCAAGGCGGGCAGATCATTTGAGGTCAGGAGTTTGAGACAAGCCTGGCCAACATAGTGAAACGCCATCTCTACTAAAAATACAAAAATTAGCTGGGTGTGGTGGCAGGCACCTGTAGTCCCATCCACTCGGGAGGCTGAGGCAGGAGAATCGCTTGAACCTGGGAGGCGGAGGTTGCAGTGAGCCGAGATAGTGCCATTACACTCCAGCCGAGGTGATAGAGTGAGACTCCGTCTCAAGGAAAAAAAAAAACAAAAAAAACTCTTATTGGAGAAAGAATCAACCTTCCTTAAATAAATATTAACATAATAAAATATTTTTATTTAATAAAACAATAAAATAAAAATTGTGTGACAAGGGGAACTTGTGACTTTTGCCTGGTTGAACAATTATTTTAAATTGTCAATTTAGGGAAGAGAAGAAAGTTGATGTCTTCAAATTATATTTTATTCTGTGAAGAATAAAAATGTCTACTGTATTTTCAATATGCCCTCTGTTTTCAGTCCAGAAAACTCAATGTTTTGTTTAGAGATGCAATAAAAGACTTTTCTTTTACAAATGTCTTACAATTACAGACTACATTCAGATAGATGATTTATTGAGTTCGGGAAGTGAACAGAATCTAATGGTAATTCATGACACTTTTTTCAAAACCTACTGAAAAAATATTGGTTTAGCTCTCACAATAAAATATTAGACATTATATACACAGTTGGAAAGTGTTCTCATTTAAATATAAAGGTTTGTGATTCCATAATTAATATTTTTCCTTTGTTCAAACCTGTATTCAAATACTTCTGCTTTCTCATCTGAAGCTTTTTTCTTTAATTTTAGAGTTGCCCAAACTACATGAAACAGAGTTAAGACCCCAGAAACATGCAAAAATGAACAGCCAGGATTGATGGAGGGGAAAGAAATCAGCAAGAAAAAATTTAGAAGGGACCAAAAAAAAATTAGTTGCCTGAGGGCCTTTATAGGTATTGGCTAGACTTTACAGCCATTTGACTTCATAATGACACTTAATTTTAAGAAAAATTTAAGTAATGCATTCTTTCTTTAAAAATGAAAAAAAAAAAAAAAAAAAAACCCAGCAACCAGCAATGGTGTAACTTTTGGAAAAGCCTGCTAGCCAAACAAGAAAATAAAATTTTGGAGCTTAAAGTTTTATTAGCTTAAAATGTTTATTTCCAACAGTCCTTAATAAATTATTGCTGAATCTTTATAAATTTGGCATGACATGTGTCTGGACAATTGGCATGTGTATATTTTTTCATCACTTCCTAGCATCTCAGAGTAAGGGTTCTCCCTAGTGTATGCACCTCCCCTCATCTTTTTTTTTTTTTTTTTTTTTTTTTTTTTTTTTTTTTTTTTTTTTGAGACGGAGTCTCGCTCTGTCGCCCAGGCTGGAGTGCAGTGGCGGGATCTCGGCTCACTGCAAGCTCCGCCTCCCGGGTTCACGCCATTCTCCTGCCTCAGCCTCCCAAGTAGCTGGGACTACAGGCGCCCGCCACTACGCCCGGCTAATTTTTTGTATTTTTAGTAGAGACGGGTTTTCACCGTTTTAGCCGGGATGGTCTCGATCTCCTGACCTCGTGATCCGCCCGCCTCGGCCTCCCAAAGTGCTGGGATTACAGGCGTGAGCCACCGCGCCCGGCCCCCTCATCTTTTTTGACAGCTCTACCAATAATTTCTAGGTCCAGTGGAAATTTTGAATGTTATTTATCTATTTTTACTTTTCACCGACATTGTGGAAATCAGTACGTCCAAATGTCTAAACATCTCTCCAGATATTTCCACTTTTTCAATCAATTGAGGACTGATAAAATTCAATATATTCCCAATAAAAACAATAAAAAAAGTTAAAACATGTTTTCCCATTGAATCCCATGTTCACCTTGGATGTGTATTCCTTAGAAAAATTCCTTAGCTATAAGTCATAATAAATTACAAACTTCAAAATCTTATATTTCACCTTAAGGAATTGTCTGCCTCTATCAAGTGATACTTAGTTATATTTAATTTTCCTACAAGGTGCTAAATGAATAATCAAGTCACCTGATTTTTAACACAACCACTTTGAACATATTTATGGACACTTATTCTATGAAAAGCACTATTCTAGGTCCCATAAAAGATTTTTAAAACTACCCTTCATTCTCAAAAAGCTTAAAACATAGTTATCATAACCATAAACTAACCGTATAAAGTAGTTTGTGATGTGTACCAAATGCAGAAGATTGGCAAAGTGTTGCGTGTGTTTGAATAAGGGATCGTTACAATAGTTAATATTTATCTGGTACAGGCACCATGTTTTTTCCACCCTGTCAACAATCTTATGGCATAGTTTTATTAGTTAGGAGTCTCCTGGTTGCAAGTGACAGAAACTCTGACTCAAACTGGCTTAAGCACAGAGAGGGTTTTGTTGGCTCATATTCGGGGATAGCAATAGATCTAATAGCTCTCACTGACTCTATGACAATTAGATGTTAGGCAGCAATTAAGCCAAAGGGCGAGCAGACATCTCTAATTGTAGCAGGTGTGTGGAAACTGGGGAGATTTTTTTCTGCTAGACATCAGCCTACCCAAGTCTACAGATGTCAATCCTGCATTCACTCATCAAATGTTACTTGGGACCAATTCAGTCTCTTGAAGTAAGCCAAATTTATTCAAGGGATTCTAATTTCATTTACCACTACAGTTTAATAATTATGATTTAGGCTTAAAAACCTACATCCTGCTTAGATGAACCTGTGTATATAAGTCAGAGCCTGAGGTGGGTTGGGTATTCCCCAGAGAGGTTTGAAAATAAATCATATTCTTTCTGTAACTTAAAAATACTTTTTTCTTAAAGTTCTATGTTCTTATGAGGATTTCCTCTATTTAACAAGGGTAGGTCCTAATTCACATGATATAGTCAGCCTTTGTGAATATTCTCCACTGTGGTATTCAATAAATTTACCTATATTGTAGCTTTTTGGTACTGGCCATAGTGAACCTGTCATTTATGGCCTATTTCCCTCATCCAGACAATTATGAAAATATTGGCAGTCTACCTACCTGAGAGGCTTCCTTTTCATGATCTCTGAGGAACTCAGTGTGAAGTAATTTTAGCTCCTTGAGAGGAAAAAATGTGCAAAAGAAGTACAAAGTGCTATGATTAATTCTTTCATTGTTTTCAAATGGTGTTAGTTGAAAGCAGAAAATGAATAAAACACAGGAAATTGACTTGAAAACTCACATAAACGCACACTCAGTGAACTGCCCTTGCATGCTGAGACCCAGAGCGCTTTCTACTGAAAACATAGATTTGGCTAAAATCTGTCATGAGGCTTGTATAGGCAGAGACAAATCTTAGTCTGCTTTCTATTTGCATCCAATAAAATAAAGACATTTAAAAACATTTTTTGTTTTAATAATAGAGAGGGCATTGTCTTGCCGTGTTGCCCAGGCTGGTCTCAAACTCTTGGGCTCAAGCGATCCTCCTGCCTCAGCCTCCCAAAGTGCTGGGATTACAGGCATGAGCTACCGTGTCCAGCTGGTAAAGACATTTTTTCCCAGTGAAAACTTGGAGCTCAGTATGTTTGATGTTTCTCATTAGGGGTGATGTTAAAAATATTTTAACAACAGTTACAATATGGGCACAGCCAAGTCAGGGGAGATATCTAGCAAAAACAAAGTAAACCAGTGGTTGCCCATGGAAGCATAGGCCTGATTTCCTTGGAGCATGGGCTGTCAATGTTGAAACTGAAACTGTGAAGGGTCTGAAATGTTAACCTAGTTTCAAGCTAACAAATTGACCTGTCACAATTTTATGCATGTAAGTGTGTACACACACACACACACACACACACACACACACACATACCAGACCTCTGAATCAGAGACAGACTGCTCACAGAGCTTTTCCCAAAGCCCTGGTTCCTCCCAGAGCAACTCAGTGAGATGTACAGGAGAGGATCTCTGGAATTATGAAACCCAGAGCTTATATAGGAACTGCTGGACCATCTGTCCATCACCCTTTGTGGAGAAAGAGGGTGACCGCTGGTCTGAATCATAAACACAAATTCTCTCTGGGAAGTAGAAGGAAAGATCTCTACTCACCACCCTGGAAGATAAACACAAGGCTCCAGGGAAAGGTAGGACTTTATATTACTGCCAAGGGCTCAGTCTTTAGGGTTGCTATTCAGTTGCCTATTAACCAGGTGCCAGTACTGTTTTCTTAGAAAGTCTCAACCTTGCAGAAACGTGAAAATATTCATGATGCATTATTTCTCAACACACAACTTTACCTGCCCATTGGAAACCCTTGGAATTTGGCTTTCCCCTCAATGCTGACTGGTCTGGAATGCTTCCAGAGTATTTTTAACTCTAACATGTCCTTATAATTGGGTTGAGAAACACTGCTCTAAATTTCAAAGTAATGTTAGATATCATTAGGGACTGAATTGGTAATAACAGCACATCTTTAAGATGATTGTTGGAGGACATTTGCTTTATGTCTTAGTTCAGACTGTTATAAGAAATACACACTAAACTAGGGTGACTTAAACAATGAACATTCACTTCTCCCAACTCTGGGGGCTAGGAAGCCCAAGATCAAGGTGTCAGCAGATCCAGTGTCTGGTGAGGGCCTGCCTCCTGGTTTGTAGTTGGCCATCTTCTCATTGTATCCTCACATAGCAGAGAGCAGAGAGAGAAGAAGCAAGCTCTCCCATGTCTCTTCTTATGTGGGCACTAATCCTATTTGTGAGGGCTCCATACTCATGACCTAGTCATCTCCCTAAGGCTCCACCTCCAAATTCTATCACATTGAGGATTAGGCTTCAACATACCAATTTTGGTGGAACACAAACATTCAATCCATAGCTCTCTACATGAGATTTACTTTCCAGACTGGAATAGGTATGCCGCTTTAAACATTTATGTAACCAGAGATTAATCGACAGTTTTTAAAATCTAAATGACTCAGATTTTTATTTTACAATAAAATAATGACAAATGATGACACATAAGCCAGTAGAATTTATTCCATTTGGCAATGAGGAATTCTTCAGCCACATGTTATTGTATAAGGACACTATTGAGCTCTACACATAAGTGCAACATTTTTCCCCAAAATGACTCTGATCTCAGAACCTGAAGTTTCACAATTTAATAGTTAATTTCAACAACAGGTACTTAGTATAATAAGTGAACTTTATACTCAGTAAGTCATTGGAATTGTAATCAATAAGCAGGATCAACTTCCAGGTTAAGGCTCGTGATTCCTATTATAGCCCTGATTAAATTGTAGGAGTCATTCTCCAACAAAAGGAAGCAGAGATCCCTGGAGAAATGGCTGATTATGAGGCTGGAACTGGAAAAATACAAGATGAGCCTACAACATCTCATAGTACTACAAGGTAAGGAAATGCTTGAGAGAGAGAGAGAGAGAGAGAGAGAGAATGTATCAGAGGGACACAGAAGCCAACCTGAAAAGTTCTCAGTGGCCAAACTTGGAAATTTTGAGTAACAAAATAGTAGCATGGCCGGGCGTGGTGGCGGGTGCCTGTAATCCCAGCTACTCAGGAGGCTGAGGCACGAGAATCGCTTAAACTGGGGGAGGCAGAGGTTGCAGTGAGCGGAGATCGTGCCACTGCACTCCAGCCTGGGTGACAGAGAGAGACTCAGTCTCAAAAAAAAAAGTAGCATAGTATTGGATTATAACCAAGTGTAAAAATTAAATATACATGGCTCCATACTGATATAAATAAATGATTTGATATAAAAATTAATAAGACAGAGGGAGAAACAAATCTTGCAGAAAAATTCCAAATAATTTATGTGGCTACTCCTCCCCTCCAGGAGGTGGAGCTTAGGCCCACTCTTGAGTGTAAGCTACACTTTGTTACTTGATTCCAAACAGTAGAGTATAGAAAGGGGTAAAAAATATATATAGCTTTACAACTGAGAAAGCTGGCAAGCACTACCTTAGCCAGGGATCAAAGTCAACATCACCAGTGATAAGTCATGTTGATAGCAGACACCACTGACATAATATAACAAGAAGGGCACATCACCTCTGTGATATTCTTTACAAAAATCCATAACCTAGTCTAATCATGAAGAAAATGTCAGCCCAACCCAATTTGAGAGATAGTCTATCAAATATCTGACCAGTACTCCTCAAAACTGTCAAGGTCACAAAAAATAGGGAAAGACTAAGAAATTGTCACAGACCAGAAGAGACTAAGGAGACATGACTACTAAGTGCAATGTGGCACCTGAAATGCATCCTGGAACAGAAAAGGCACATTAATGGAAAAACTGGTGACATCTAAGTCTGGAATTTAGTTAATAGTAATATAACAATGTTGGTTTCTTAGTTGTGACAAATGTACCATGCCAACATAAGACATTAACAATGGGGGAAACGGGGTAAGGGGTGAACTGGAACTCTCTGTGCCATCTTTGCAACTTTTGTACAAATCTAAATTTTCCATAATAAAAAGTTTACTAAAATGATGAGGTGAAGCTTTAACTCATTTGTTCTAAAGCACAATTTTCTTCATCATATTAGTCATTTTAGGGCCGGGCACTGAACAATTAGTGGTAATGATGATGAATTGGTGGCAGGAAGGATTTCTAAGAAACAGTTTTAAATATAGGGGACATGAAAAGAACAAAATCTTCTGAACACCTAGAAGGTAGAAACTGAAAACTGTGTGTCCTATAGTAAGGCCCAGTGTCTTCTACAGAATGTCTGGCTACAGAAACGAATTATGATTAAAGAGATAATGTGAATACAATGGGCCCTTGAGAACTGAAGGAAATGGAATGCAGCAAAAGCGGAAAAAGAACTGTGACAGGCTCCACCTCCTCCATGATCTTGCTCAGGTTCAAGTTTGCTTGTCCTAGACCACCCCTAGACTCTAACAAACCCTAGGGAAGACTCAAGTCTTCCAGTCAATTTTTAAATTCTTGTCACCATGCATTTTGTTTTCTGTATATCATTTCTGATGTTACCACCATGACTGCCCCCTGAGTACTCAATGTTAATATGCTTACATTTCTCTTACAAAAAAAAGATTCACTTCATAGCATCACAATATCACAATATAAATAGGATTTTCTATTGTGTGATTATTTTCATCAGGCCAACAGAAATGAAATGAAGGCAGAAGAAACATTGTCCCCATGTAATTTAAAGAAAACAAAAAGAAGATCACTGAAATGAACTGTCTTAAATTTCTAAAACTTGAAAATTAAAAGAGCTAAGAAATTATTTATCGAAACTATTTATTTTGCTTTTCTCTGAGGAGTGCAAGGGTGAATTTTTTGCATAAAAGATTACGTTAATAACTGCCCACTGCTTTTTGGTTTTAAAACCATGACTCTTTGGGGAACATTTTTTGAGGAGTTTTTGGGGGTCATTTAGAAAGTAGCAAAAAATATTATTTCCCCAAGATCACACACCAAACTGGCCCTCACAACTCAGCTCTCAGCGAAGAGAAAACTACCTTTCTTTTCTCATTTGTACTATAAGGATACTCTATTGGATATAACTCAAAGTTCAGTGATAGAAAAGAGAAATTAATGTTGTTTTCCTTCATTCCATTTCAATATAATTTTCCCACAAAGATAGGTAAGTCATTATACATTTTCCTCTTTGCCCTAGTGTGGGGAAAAAAAACACTTTTTTTCCACACTAAATTCTCCTCCCTCAGTTTCTGCCATACACAGCCATATTCTGAACCACTGGTGATTTTCATTGTCTAAATTAAATTATTGTAATAAATACCTGCTGTATTCCTACCATTCTGTACCTAAGGCTTTGGGAGCAACAGATTTGCACAATACTTATTTTCTAAGAACCCCTCCAATGCTGGTTGTCCCAGAGCCACTTGGATTTAAGATAAGAGTTTTATTTAAAGTAACATATCTGTGTCCCTTTGTGATGTTTCTGTGACATGGCATTCATTTTCCAGGAAGATCTAAAAATCTCAGCTCTCTGCAAGCATTCATTCATGCATACATGCATTTATCTATTTCTTAAACACTTAGGTGCTACTTTGTGGTAGGTGATTAGGATTAAAAAATGAATAACCAATGAGCCCTATACTGAAGAGGCAGATAGATAAGAAGATAATCACAATCAATGTGGCCAATGCTGAACCAGAGAAATGAGCAGGAATTGAAATAGTTGGGTAGATGGGGTGATGCCTACATGGTGAGCAGGGGTTCACTTTCTGTAGATAAGCCAAGGACTTTGGGGAAAGAGGGAACAGCAGGGATGACCAGGCTTCTGACAGGCCTTAGATGTTTCCTGCACTAGGATTGATGACCCTGGATCCTAGTGAGGTGCTATGCAGAATGATGGTAGAGAGGACAGTTTGAGGCAGGTTCTGAAGAGCCCTGTATGCTACCAGAAAACCCTGAACTTTTTTCCTATATGCATTTTGAGCCAACAGAGATGTTTAACCAAGAATGTTACGTGGATAGTCTCAGGTTTTGGTAACATCTGCATTCCATTGACTGTTTCAAGGATAGCCTAATTATGTGTATTTTTTAATAATATCAACATTTCTAGAAAGGTTTACTGTCTAAAAATTATCTAATGACAATCACAAAATGGAAAGGTTTCTTTGCTGCCCTCTACAGGCTTCCAGGGCTCAGTGCTTTGAAAAAAATCAGCCTTGAATGGGCAAACACACATCTCATTTTGTTTGGCAAGAAAACGCTAACAGTAGGAAAAGTTTAAAATAGCCAAATTAATGTATAGCAAGTAGAATGACAAATACAGAAAGGTACTGTGTGCTATTGGTGATCCCTTGCATTTCAAAGTCTTTTAACTTGGAGTTCTATAGTTCAAATAATTTTCCAGTATATTTATCTAAGGCTCATAATACTTTATAAATCTTAAGTTGACAATAATTATTGTGATTAATAATTGTTACATAATTTAAACAGATTAAGGTGCAAATAACAAATTTAAAAGGCCAATTGATAAAATATTTTCATTACATATGACTAACAAAAGGCTTGCTTTATTTTTGCTTTGTTCTATTAATCTCGAAGAGCTTTCCATATCAACACACAAAGAGCTCTTCCTCATTCTTTCTCAGTGCTTCATAAAATTCCATTGTATATGATTTTTAAATGATAAACTTTTTATGTCATTAAAATATTTATTTAAGGATCCACCAGAAATGGTAAGCATTGATATCTTGTGGGCAATGGGCCTGGGGTTTGGGGTACTGGGACAAGACCCTTATTTTCCATTTTATTGTCTTCTACAGTATTTGAAATTTTCTCCTAAAGCATCTTTTACTTCCATAATTATAGAAAGCTGTTCTAGGATTATAAATTAGCAGTGAAAAGTATGGAATTACTTGATTTCTAGTCTGTGACTCAGACTATTGAATATGGTTCATCTACAAGGAAGATACGCATTTCAGAGTTACATGTTCTATAAAATCACATCAGCTATGGTTTGAATGTTCCTTCCAAAACATGTGGAAATTTAACTGCCATTGTGATCGTATTAAGAGGTAGGACTGTTAAGAGGTGATTAGGCCATGAGAACTGTGCCCTCATGAGTAGATTAACGTTGTCATTTGGGAGTAGGTTTTTTATTACTAGAGTAGGTTGCTATAAAAGTGAGTTCTTCCTTCTCTTCCTAGCTCACTCTTGGGCCTTTTATCATGGATGACTCAGCATGATGGCCCCTTTCAGATGCTGACACCACGCTCTTGGACTTCTCAGCCTCTAGAACCATGAGTCAAATAAATTTCTGTTCATTATAAGTTACCCAGTCTGTGGTATTCTGTTACAGCAACATAAAGCAGACGAAGACAACATCTAATTTTCAAATTTCTAAGCTATTAGAGAGTGAAATTTCAGAAAACTTCAAATAAAAATTTTGATAAAATTTCAGTATAGAAAATTATGCTAATACAAAGTTGTAATTAATATTAAAATGCTTTTAAGCTGAAAGTCAGGAAACCCAGAGTTCAGATTTTTTCTCTCCTTAGGCATTAAGATAGTTTCTTCTCTATGGCTCAGGTTATCAATCAGTAAAATGGGAATTATTTTATTCACCTATATCAATAGGAGATCAATATTTTTTACCCACTATTCAAAGTCAGTAAAAAATTAACTTGGAAACTTAGAAAAAATAGTTTTAAAAAACCACACTCTGTTTCTGTTTTCTGTTAACTTTTACTAAGAGTTTGTGCTTATAGACTAACACATAATTTAATTCAAGTATGCTTTCTTTCAGTCTAGTTACACAGAAATTTAATTTAAAAACAAAAGAGGTATCAGTGGAAACAGCTGAGCGCTAGTAAAAGTGCTTAAACCTGAGAAATTTTAGAAATTGCTTTAAGTGGTTCAATCTGGAGGTAAATGTCTTCAGTTCGGGAACTAGCATTTTAGTGTATCTACAGCAGTACTTGGTATAGCATTAGTGTGACAGGACTGCCAGGTTCCTAAATCTAGCACCTCCTATGTAGTTCTGTGGTTTTGTTCCTCCTTCCAGCTGCCTTGGGTTCAAATCAGAAGGTGTCTTAAAAGAGCTCAAATGTGGAACACACTATGCACCAGGTAAATTTAAATGGCTTTCATTACCCTCTGTTTGAGTGTTTGCCTTATATTCTTCATTAATTGAATAACTTTGTAGTTGGCCAAGCACTTTTATGTTGATATTGTATTGGAGTACATGTAAATTACCCAACAGTTGCTGGGAGGTGAAGCAACCTGCCTGAAGCAAGGCTAGAATTGCAGCCCAAGGCATCTCCTGTAATTCCTTTGCCCTTTCCCCTGCATTGCCAGTGCCTCAGGGCAGCATCCAGTTCCTAATCTCCCTGAAAAGACAGAACTCCACTCTCTGAACTTTACATATATTTATTTTATTTTATTTTATTTTATTTTATTTTTCTGAGATGGAATCTTGCTCTGTTGCCCAGGCAATGGCACGATCTCAGCTCACTGCAACCTCTGCCTCCTGGGCTGAAGTGATTCTCCTGCCTCAGCCTCCTGAGCAGCTGGGACTACAGGCACCCACCACCACACATGGCTAATTTTGGTATTTTTAGTAGAGATGGGGTTTCACCATGTTGCCCAGGCTGGTCTCAAACTCCTGACCTTGTGATCTACACACCTCAGCCTCCCAAAGTGCTAGGACTAAAGGCATAAGCCACCATGCCTGGCCACATGTATTTATTTTCTAACACCACAGTATCAGAGAAGTACTGTTATCTCAGTACAGTAGTCCCCCTTTATTCATAGCAAGGGTTATGTTGCAAGACCCCTAGTGGATGCCTGGAACCGAGGATACTACTGAACCCTATGGATTCTGTTTTTTCAATTTAATAACTGAGAAGGCCACTAAGCGACTTAGGGGCAGGGAGTGTATACAGGGTGGATCTGCTGGACAAAAGGATAGTTCTCCAGAGCACGGTAGAGCAGAAACATTGTGAGATATCATCACGCTACTCAGAATGGCAAGTAATTAAAAATTTAGGAATTGTCTATTTTCTGGAATTTCCCACTTAATATTTTCAGAACTTGGTTAATCTCAGGTAACTGAAACCTCAGAAAGCGAAACAGTGCATAAAAGGGGATTACCATAAATAAAAATAAATGTTATTTTTGTTTTAAATGTCTCTAAGTGATCTGCATCGAAACCTAAACTTTGAGGTAAGATTCTCTACCCAATCTTTAAGCCTGAATGGAATTTATTAAACTACTGAGCTCTTTTCTCCCACAATGAATAATTTACTCTTCAGCCAGGCATGCCTGTGAAATACTTAAGTGAAAGCTACACAAATGATCACAACAATAAAATTCTTATTAACTCACATATAAAACATATTATGGTATTTGCAGCTAGGTGTTGCTATGGCAACAGTTAAAAAAATTTTTTTAAACATTTGTCACACTAAATGAAGTATGGGATGTACTTTTTTGTTAACTGTGAATTTACATGACCTGCAACACGACAATGGCTTAATGGGAGCTAAACAAAGGGTGCAGTTTCCCCTCCCTCTTCCTGCCTGTTTCCCCTTTCTCCTAGGAGCCATTTCAGGCTTTCTATCTTGATTAACTGTGTCTTAGTAATTGGAGCTTACAGCTCAGAACAGTAATTCTGTCCCATAATTGTAGATGTTAAATTTTAATTCTACTCTGTAATTGGCAATAATCAGGCCATGTTCTGGCTTTTCTGGAGTGCTCAATTAGAGGCCTGTGGCCTCCTCTTTCTTCCCCTTCCAGCAAAGCATCTATTCTTGACTCATCCCCATCTGAATGATTGTGTCTATAGTTAAAAGATATGATAAATATTCTTAGATTTGGAAGACTTTGAAAAGGAGTATCCTAATTACTATTGTTCACTTGATTGAAAATTTCCCAGCTCTAAAGCTACATTCTGTTAAACATGGGGTCACTGAAGCTTTCATTTGCTTCAAAAAAAGGTCATTTTATGTGGTCAGCAGCTAACAGTATAAAATAATAGTAATTTTATTTCTATTTCTTTTAAACAAAGAGAACTTTTTCTAAATTAAAGAAAACAGAAAAGGAAAACATAAGATTAATTGGGTTTTCACTTAGCATATTTCTGAAGCAATTTGCCTTCCCTTAAAAAGACAGTTTCTCCAAGTGTGTTATTATTCAAAATACTCCTACCCAAAGGTTTCCCTAAGAAAGGAGCCCCTGTTTTTAAAATGCCCTGCATTATATACCGCTTTGGGAGGTTTGCAGTATGTTCTAGACATTTAAGACCTCTGATGATTCCTGCAATAACAAACGCTATTTGGTTTACTTTTAACTTTTCAAAGCTTAGATTAACCCATTGCTTCCCAGATAACTGTAAGACACTGCTTTCTTGTGACTTACATTGAACTGTGCTTATAATTCACTCACCCATTTTTAAGTCCAGAGCTTCTACTGTATAAACATATTAAGGTAATCATGTTAGGGTTCTAAAAATTCCTGAAAATGCATAATTAAAGGGGAAATGATTAAGTTCCTTTTTAAGAAAGCAAAATAAATGCTGCCTTTAGAAAAAGACATGCTAAAGCTTGTAAGATTAAAATTAAAAATAAAATCATTTTTTAATAGCAGAGTTTCTCAGCCATGGCTCTATTGACATTTGAAGCCAGATGCTTTTTGTTATGGGGGTGTCTATCTTATGCACTGTAGGATGCTAGGCAGCATTTCTGGCTTCTACCCATTACATGCAGTAAGGGAGGGAAAAATGGCTTCCCTCCACCCTTCTACATTCTTTGACTATACTACGAACTAAACTGACATAAGACAGATTAATAGGAGAAAAAAATAGGTAATTATGTACATACGCACAGGAGTCCCACAAAATATGAGAGTCTAAGAAGAGCCAGGTAATTGAAGCTTATATAGCATCCTGAGCTACAGAAAGGAATAGTGGCTTGGGGCTTCTCTGGGGAGGTGGCATCAAGTCATGGGCAGGTGAGAGGAAGAAATGTGTGGTGAATGAAGCTTGTCTTGCTGTACAAATAAAAAGTCTCTCAGGTATAAAACTTGTCTCTAAGCAGCCCTCTTTCTGACACAGATACTTTGACTAATGTAGATTTCCTTTATAGATGTAATTTTTTACAAAATTTTTACCAAAGGACAGTTTCATCATAGCGACTCTTATGTCTGCAGTTTTTCAGAATAGCCAGCTCTAAATATGCTAAAGAAGTATATTTAAGGGTGACATATTCTGATCTCCTATAGTCATTTTTTGAGTTGATGTATCCTGAGCCCCAATAGTTCTTAACGTAATTGAGGGGCAAGTCCAAGAAATTTTCAAAGAGAACACTGATCAAGTGCTTTGGCTTTGTACCTTTAAAGCACAACAGAGCTCTGCCTGTCTTATTAAAAAGGACTTAAAAAGGAAATTTGACTTTTATTCTTAGGTCACTGGTTAATAGCTGCTCAAAAACTCTTCTAGTTTGAAAACTCTCAGAACAAAATGAAGGATAAAAAAGTAGACCAGACCTATGTAGAAGGAATCTTAGAGTGAAGTGGGTAGACCAGCATGCCAGAGACTTCCTCAGAGACCAAGTCCCCAAAACTGTGATTGCTTCTTAAAGACTAAATTCATTTACAGTGGTAATATGGAGCCATGGAGGAAAATTTCACTTTTCAAGACACTTTTTCCCTGACTCCAGTCCCAGTACATATTCTCTTGCGTTTATAAGTTTGTCACTTAACGGGGGTCCATATAGTCTTAACTCCCTGGTTGAGAGACATACTAGAGCAGTGATTCTCAAAGTGTGATCTAGGGACCTCTGGGAATACTGAAGATCCATTCAGGAGATCCAGAATGTCAAAACTATTTTCACAATACAAAGATGTTAGTTGTCCTTTTCACTCACATTCTGTCACAAGTACACAATGGCGTTTTTTGGATGTGTGATCTCACAAGAGACTGAATGCAGAAGCAGATATGAAAATCCAGCTATCTTCTATTGAGCCAGACATTAAAGATTTTTTTTTTAATGTAAAGCAGTGCCACTCTTCTAAATTTTGTTTTGGAACATATATTTTATAAATATGTTGCTTATGTTAAAATATAATGAGTTTATTTATTTTTATTTATTTTTTTGAGACAGTCTCACGCTGTCACCCAGGCTGGAGTGCAGTGGCATGGTCTCAGCTCACTGCAACTTCTGCCTCCCAGCTTCAAGTGATTCTCCTGCCTCAGCCTCCTGAGTAGCTGGGATTACAGGCATGTGCCGCCATACCCAGCTAATTTTTGTATTGTTAGTAGAGATGGGTTTCACCATGTTGGCCAGGCTGGTCTTGAACTCCTGACCTCAAGTGATTCACCCACCTCAGCCTTCTAAAGTGCTGGGATTACAGGCGTGAGCCACCACACCTGGCCTATTATTGTTATTTTAATGAATTAGTAAGTATTTAAAATTTTTTCTCAGTTTTAATTCCCAACATGGTAAATATCAATGGATATAACCCATTTATAAGTGCTATGCTAGAGAATGAGAATATTCTGTTAGACATGTGTGGAAAGGGAAGGATCAGACTAAACTCCATGGAATCTTTAGCATGGTGGAGCCTTTTATTTTTTTATTTTCTATTTTTTGAAACAAAGTCTCACTTTGTTGCCCAGGCTGGAGTGCAGTGGCGTGATCTCGGCGCACTGCAACCTCCACCTCCCAGACTCAAGCAATCCTCCCACTTCAGCCTCCCCAGCAGCTGGGACCACAGGCACATGCCACCACGCCTGAATAATTTTTGTAGTTTTTGTAGAGACAGAGTTTCGCCATGCTGCCCAGGCTGGTCTCGAATTTCTAAGCTCAAGTGATCATCCCACCTCGGCCTCCCAAAGTGCTGGGATCTGAATGGGATCATAGGCATAAGCACTGTGCCCAGCCCGGGGTATTTTAAATACACATTGAAAGGTAGATGTAAATTTCAGGGCTGGGATTTATAAACATCTTCAACCCAATAAAATGCCACATTGAAAATTAGGCTTTTCCTCTGACACTCTCCTAATCTCCTGAGGTTGCTCATTAAATAAGAACATCTATGAAGACTAGTCTCCCTTCCTGACAGCTTTTGTATCAGTCTTCCCCTTCCATGAACTCGTTAAAAGAAGCCCTAATTTCAGGAGAGAGACTGCCAGTCCCTTGGCCATCTGCTGGAAATGACAGATCAGGGAGGTCCCTTAAGTGATGCCATTCATAGAGAACCTATTTGATGTACATGATTATTTGAATGCTATTAATAAAAGAAATAAAAAGTGTACTTTATCCTGAACATCATAATTTATTGTCAGTCTTTTCATGAATCTATAAGGTCAACTATCCTCTTGTTTTCCTCATCTGTTAAGTAGATCATAAAAAAAATAAGTAGTAAATTCACATTTATAAGTAAAGGTCTTTTTTTTTTTTTTCCAGAACCGTATCTTATTTCCCCTATGACCTTTGCTGTTGCTCGGTCCTAATAAAATTGAGGCCCAGGTGGATGATGCTAACATTCTTAGAATCAAGCCAAGTTAGAGCTTCAAGGAACCTTTTAGCATTGAATTCAGTGGTTCTTGAATTCCCCTTTGAGAACCTGTTGACAGCTAGTAGCCCTTTCCCCCAGGAAGATGCATATTGTAGGCAGAATGATAGCCCTCCAAAGATGTCTATACCCTCATGCCCCAAATCTGTGAATATATTACATTACATGACAAAGGACAGTTCAGATTGCAGATGGAATTGAGGTTTCTTATCAGCTGACCTTAAAACAGGGAGATCATCTTGGATCATCTACACAGATTCAGTGTAATCACAAGGGTCCTTAAATGTGCAAGAGGGAAGCAGAAGAGTCAGAGCGATATGAGGTGAAAAAGACTTGATGGGCCATTGCTGGCTTTGAAGATGAAAGGGGCCCATGAGCCAAGGAATGTGAGCAGCCTCTAGAAGCTGGAAAACACAAGGAAACAGACTCCCCCCTAGGGCCTTCAGAAAGGAACCAGCCCTGCCAACACCCTGATTTTAGCCTAGAAAGACCCATTTCAGACTTCGGATAAATCTGTGTTATTTTAAGCCACTAAGCTCATGGTAATTTGTCATGGCGGCAATGGGAAACTAACACAATGCATAACCATGTCTACATATCCAACTTTGTATACAGTTCCAGGGAGGACTGACCCCAGGGTAAGGGCTTCATGATGTGTTCCAAAATCTCATCCGATGGATGTCAGTAGAACCCAAACCCCTTGACTTCTGATCGCCAAAGCTCTTTGTATATAAAAGAAAAAACACTCACCTTCCTACAGCCAAGTTCAGAGTTAAAATGGGCTATCGTTAGATGCTCTTCTCTAATAATAATAAAGCCTTTGACTTCAAGTTGGACCCAAAACATTTTTAATGAAACTAAAATAAGAAAAAGAGGTTTAATCCAGACTTGTAATTGATCATGCTGAAGTTGGAGAGGAAACATTTAAAAAATTCTGAACAGAGCCCACATTAATGCAGATCCCTGAGATATGTCTGGGTCTGTGAGGACACAGGAGGCAGTCATCTGTCCAGAGAAATTTATATTTATACCATACCACATCCTCATCTGCTTAAGGCCTGCTGGCTCCATTTGTGAAACAAGAAACCTGCCAGTCTTTTCTTTCAAGACAGTACCCTCAGGCACTCTTCTGTGAGAATTCAAGCAAGGAAAACAAATCTTTTCTCAGGGTTGCAGAAGGCAGGCTAATAGTAATGGCAAGATAAAGTGGATGTTATTGCTCAGAGGGCACCTTCCTGATGGGATCCTGGGGTATTCGGATGGGGCTCTTTCCACACCCCATGGTAATCCACTGCTATGAGTATCATTAAAGGCTTAGAAATTATCTTTAGCACATTGTTTATAAACAAAAAAGGAAACAGAGATCATTGAGGGTAGAGTATTCACCATTTTTTAGCCATTTTCTCTCTGCCGTAGGGAAAGGTGTAGGAGTGGGCATTCACTCTGAGGACAGTTTAATGAGCTGTGTCTGTCACCTGGACTGGTCAGAGGTCTTTGAGGGACCAGGAATTCCTGAATTCCATGATAGTTGTCAATTTAAGGCTCTGATTACTGTTACATTGCAAATTCATGGATCTGAATTCTGAGGCCCTTGAGAAAAAGAATTATGTGTTTTTCATCATCCCACAGTAGCAAAAGCCTCATATATAGTGGGGGCTCAGTAAATGTTTATTAGTTACTGGGGAGAGATGACACTTTAGTTTTAATCCACAGCTGTTTATTAATTCCAACCATTGCGTTAGGTGCTCTGGATTTCTAAAATAAATCACCAAAAGAACCTTCCCTCCTGGAGAAGGCTACGGTCCAGAGTAGATGAGAGAAGATCCTTATGCAGGCAATGGTAATTGATCAAAATATGATACATGCAATGGGAGAAGTAGGAAGAAAGTGAGGGGGGATTATGGAGTGGGGAGATGCTATTTCTAGAGTGAGGCTTAGGAAGGCTTTTGGGTAGAGGCTTCATTTGAATTGGTGTGGGTGGTCTGTAGGATTTTTTGAGATGAAGATGGTGGAAGAGTTATGCCTCAAGAAGAGGGCAGTGTGGGCAAGGAGATGAGAGTGTGTGGGGAGCCTGAAGCCAGCAAGCTTGGCTAAATCTAAAGTGATAGGAAGGGTGAGGAAGAGTGGGTTATTAGTCATTTAAACCCAGTGCAACCTAAGAGAGTAGCTTGGATGGGACCAAGGGCTAAGGACAAGAGGCCATAGCTGATAAGGAATGGAGGAAGGTGCCCAAGAAGGCAGGGCTTGAAAGCTGGGGAACCAAAAGAAATGTGCCTGAACATAAGCTAGACCTCAGATGGCTGGCAAACTGGAGTGGATGCAAGAGTTTCAGGGCCATTGAAAAGAAAGTTCTACATCTGTCCACTTTGGAGGCTGCATGCAACACTCACATGCCTACCTATTGGGGTATTATTGGGGTCTTAGTCAACTTGGGCTGCCATAACAAAATACCAACGATTGGGTGGCTTAAAAGATAGACATTTATTTTATCACAGTTCTGGAGGCTAGAAGTCCATGATTAGTGTGCCAGCATGGTCAGTTCTAGGTGAAGGCCCGCTTTAGGGCTTGCAGATAGCTGCCTTCTTGCTCTGTCTTCACATGGTAGACAGAGACAGCAAGCTCTCTGGTGTCTCTTCTTATAAGGGCACTAATCTCATCATGAGGGCCTTCCCCTCTTGACCTCATCTAAACCTTATTATGGCCCAAAGGCCCCATCTCCAAATATCATATTTGGGGTTAGGGCTTCAACACAGGAATTTTAGGGGTCACAATTCAGTCCACAGCACTGGGTCAGAGGATTATGCCTGGGAGGTCCCAATCTAGCTGCAGTGGCAGCAGAGAGTAGGACTGCTCACCCGCTGGTGTTGCCAGTAAGATCAGATTGCAGTGAGATCTTTCTAGGATGTGCCTTGGTGACTAGTTTTATGTTTTTTTTATCCACTGTCTACAGTGGGTCATTATCAGATCTAAGTTGGGGCACAGTTTTTTGAGGTGATCATGATATTGAACTGACAGACTCACACGAAACCCCAAATGGATGTAAATGTAGATATAGATAGAAAATCCGTGTCTATTGTATAATTATAAATGTCTACACCTAACTTGTATTCTGAGATATATATATACATACTGTATAGTGTGTTTGTGTGTTTATGTTACTGTTTTCGAACCCTTTTTTATTATCTATACCACCAGCAAAAGAAGCCTTTTTAAGTATTTTCTATTAATTGCACTCGCTAACATTTTAATATCGCAAATATGCTGCATATAAGTTTATATACTGTATGTGTATCTGTGCTTTACATATAGAAAGAATAAAATTTTTGCCCCCCAAAAAACAATTTTCATCCTTGTTGGAGCAATGCTGTCCCTATTGAGAATGCATGATATATATATGTAGATGTGTATCTGTGTCTATGTATGCATGTGTGTGTCACCTTACTGCACAAAAGAGTTTAGGATGCCAAATTAGATGTTGTTTATGCATTCACAATGGAAAATGTAACTTTCCAAAGGAATGAATATTCCTGTCTTCTATCCAGGTATCAGGAAAGTTGAAGTAGTAAATGGGGGTGAAAAAAAGAAACTGCTTAAAGAGCACTGAGTCAAAAGAAAATAAATTGGATAGTCATGGAGAATATTTCATCCAAGGTATAGAAATGCCTGGAATAACTATCTCCCACCCTAACACTAAAACCTGACTTTAGTGAAAAAATCTATGTAGCTCTGTAATATATAAAATGTTGCTGTTTGATAGTGCTAAATGAATTCTCAAAATCGGTTTTTTCCATTCTACTTTTTCTAGACACTCTTCAGACCATTCTTCCAATTTTATAATACAACTATTGTCTCAGACTTCTTACAATGCAACTGAGTAGCTTATAGCCCTTGAGAACATCTTAGTTTTCTTAATTGGATTAGACTGCAGACTCTAGCCTATCTTCAGGGACACATTTCAAAGCCATCTACTAAGGAGAGTTACTTCAGTAGATCCATTATGTATTGTTTTGAGTCATTTCAGCTTCCGGGACAATCGGTTTCTGACCTTGTCTCTAAATCCTTGTGGTCCCCCAGTGGAGCCCACGTGCAGGGATCGTGAGTCAGGGACCGGACTGGGCATGCTCTGTTCAGCTTGCTAGCAGATGTTTAGCTTTCTAGCTCCATTGTAAAGTAGTAATGCTTTTCATATTTTATTTTTTTAAACCCATAGATTTTTTTTAGACAAAAATCAATTTCTTGATTCATCAGAAGCTGATTATTGAGTTAGTACCTTTTCTGAATTCTTCCTGGACAGAAAGTTGAATCCAGTTTGCTTCATGAATGCTTTTTTACAGTCCAAAGGTATTGACAATAAACAAAAGAAAACCGAAAAGACTTTCTTGTCACAGCTCCAGAAAATGATGAGATTGAAGGAAAGAAGACATTAAAACTAAGGGATAAAATGTCTTTGGAAAATAAAACTTTACTCCATTAGAAGGAAAGCTATTGGAATAGGTTAAAAGTTCAGATTACAGATTTGTTTAAAAATAAAAATGAATTTCCACTTCCAGTATGGCCAAAGAAGTTCCTACCAGACTGATCTTGCATAAAACAACTATAAACTCTGGACAAAATAAAAAATATTTAAATACCACAAGGCATTGAAAAATGAACAAAAGCAGTTAGATTCAAGAGGGGAGTTGACACTTGGAAGAAAGGAATGACAAGAGGTAAGTTTACCAGTTTTTGTGGCTTTTAGTCTAAGGCATGTCACAGTTGGCCCCATGTCCAGTGGCTAAAACTCTAATAGAAAACCTATAGTTTTTCTGGCCTGAAGAACAAGGGGCCAGAGTTTGGGGCAACCAGTCCTGCTGGAAAATAAAGAGAGAAATCCCATAAAGGAGAAAGCCAAAGAAGATGTACCCTTCATTCTCTGTACAGTAGTCTCCCCTTATCTGCAACATACCAACATCCCCCAGTTGATGCCTGAAACCACAGATAGTACTGAAACCCTATATATACAATGTTTTTCCTATACCCATGATAAAGTTTAATTTATAAATTAGGCACAGGAAGATTAACAACAATAACTAATAATGAATAGACCATTTATAACAACATACTATAATAAAATTATGTGAATGTGGTCTCTTTCTTGCTCTCAAAATGACTCACCCCTTCTCGTGATGATGTGAGATGATAAAATGCCTACGTGGTGAGATGAATTGAGGTGAGTGATATAGACGTTGTGGCATAGCTTTAGGCTACTATTGATCTCCTTATGCTACATCAAAAGGAGGATCACCTGCCTCTGATGCTCCTGGATTATTGAGCCATGACACTGTTGACCCTAGGATGTCAGGAGCAGACAATGTCAATGACTAATGGGTGTGTAGTATATATAGTGTGAATACACTGGAGAAAGGGATGATTCACTTCTTGGGAGGGATAGAGCAGGATGGCATGAGATTTCATTAGGCTACTAAGAATGGTGTACAGGTTAAAACCTATGCACAGTTCATTTCTGGAATTTTACATTTAATATTTTTGGACTGCAGTTGACCACAGATAACTGAAACTGTGGAAAGCAAAACTGCAAATAAACGTGGACTACTGTATAAACTCTGCTCAAATCTCTGGCTAACTCCTGAACCACACGTGTGCAAGCAAGCTAGAAGCAGTCTAGCTAAAGATAAGAAAACCAAACTGAAATTTTAGCTAATGCCTAAAAGACAGTATGCAGTTTGAGTCCAACCAAATTAGTTGATTGAAATTCTGTTATGTTTCTCTGAAACAGTCTCCACAATATAACATCACAATGTCCAGGATATAATCCAAAATCACTTGGCATATAAAGAAACAGGAAAATTACATGAACCATTCTTAGAGAAGATAATCAATAGAGACCAGGTGCAGATGAGCATAACCATCCTCAATGACCTAAAATATATGTGTAATAAATGAAAAGATAGGCAATCTCAGCAGAGAACTAGAAATTATTTTTCAAATTGAAATTTTAGAACTGAAAGATATCTGAAAAGTAAGTATAACATGATTAAGATTCATATAACAATATATACTAGTGCTTGAAAAACAGTCAAGAAGAAATTTTGCTTAAACTAATGGCCAAGAATCATTTATAATCTGTTTATTAATTTTAAGCAAATAAATTCTACCAGAGTGGTATCCAGTAGGTACTTGAGTGTTTGAATAAATGTCTTACCAGGCCTCGTGTAGCCTGTCTCTCTGTCCTCATGTCCTGCTACTCTCCCTCGGCTCGTCCTCCTCCCGCCCACTGCCTGCTTGTGATTCCTTGAACATGCCAGGCACCCTGCAGCCTGAGGCCTTTGCATTTGCAGTTCCCTCTGCCAAGAATGCCCTTCTCTCAGGTATCCATGATTCACTCCCTCTCTTCCTTCAGATTCTTGCTCAAATGCCATTTTCTCATGAGGCCTTTCCTGCCTCCACCTCCCACCCTGCCATCTGACACTTCTTTATTCATTTCCTATGTTATTTTCCTCCATACTTCTCATTAGCCTCTGACTTGGTGTATATTTGATCTCCATATTTTACTATGTCTCACTAGAATGTAAGTTCCCATGAGTGCAGGGATGTGTGTATGCTTGTCTGCTGTCTCTGCAGTGCTTAGAACAATGCCCGGCACATAATAGGTTATCAAAAATATTAAATGCATGCATGCAAGAATTAATGAATTATCTTCTTACATCTAATTATACAATATGCTATAATCATGAATTAATTGCCATGCTTTCACTATATGCCCTTCACGCAGATATTAAAGTAGATCCCTGAAGATGGTTGCTTTCTCTTTGTATTGGTTCCTTTCTGAGACAGAAAATGTAAGTAATAATAACTGCCTGATGAAAATAGTCTTCCAGTTTTCTTCAGACCATCCATGTCACCAGCAAATTCATTTTCCAAGGCTTAAAAACTTTCATGGCTTCCCCTATTCAGAATGTGCTTCACATCCTATCTTCCAAAGCTCCATGATATCGCCCTTGTCTCAGGTTGCATACCTGAGACAAGGATTTCTGGCAAAGTGATTTATTAGGAAATTTCGCTGGCAAACTCCCCTGTGGGAGGAGGGAGGCAGGACAGGGAAGGGAAGGAGACTGAGCAAGGGTGCAACATCCAGAAAATCCCATGAAGAGGACTTCTGCTCAGCCCTGCAGGAAAGCACTATGGACAGTGAAGGTCACACTTCATAGGTGTCTCCATCTCTAAGGACAAGAAGCTGGAGTCATTCCACCCCCTTATCCTCCTACAGGCTCCTTTCTTTTCATTGTAAATTTTTTCCAGCTCTCTGTGCACACAGGCAAAGCAGCCCAGTGCTGTCAGCCAACCAAGAGACACAGGTGCTGGCTGTTGGGAGTGAAAGCCCCAGAAGGCAGCATGTAGTGAAACAGTAAAGGGATTCTGGGAATACGGGCGTGCACAAAACACTGACAGCATCTGCTGCCTTTTTAACTGGATTCTTACTACTTCCCGGTTGCAAAAGTCACTCATTGCTCTTCCTTCTATGCCTTTGCTTGCAACTCGCCTGCCTTCCCTCTCCCACCATCCAACTGATCCTTTAAGATTGATTTCCTATGCTCCCTCCTCAATCAAGCTTTTCTTGGATTTCAAAACCCTGTGGCACCCTCATTTCTCTGAATCTTCATTATGTCTTTGACCCTGGCATCTGCCACCACCTCTATTACTAATCTGCTATTGGTCACTATGAGAACATATGCTCATCTGTCAAGAGTTTGCATTCTGATTACTCAGCTCCCTTCCAGGGCAAGAATTCTGCAATTGCATGACTTACAATATTCTAAAGTGTATTAAAATCATGAATACATTTATCAACCCTCATCAAATTGTAAACTTCTCAAGGATAAGAATATTTTGTCTTTTGGGGGAAAGGGATGAGAGCCCCAGGCCGGCTGAGACGGCCGGTCCAGGGAAGCTCCGCCAGTACTGGGCACACTCACCGAACATGGCTTCCAGCAGCCGCGTCTGGACCTGGAACACCTCTGGATCTTTCAGGTCTTCGGGAACTTTCACCCACGGCAGAATATTTCTACGTGCCGGGAGCGTTCCCATATTATGATCCTCATAACCAAAACCACGCTCCAGCGCAAGCCAGGCCTAACCGCACCAGCTGAGCCTCAGTGCTGGTAAAGCCTCGCACCTGGCGGCCCCGCCCCCGGCCCTGGCCAGGACCCTGAGTCTGCGCGCCCCGCCGCCCTGTCTGCGGTCCAGCTGGTTGCCATCTCTGCCGCTTCCCGCGACCTCAAGAGAGCCTCACCCGGGCCCAGCTGTCTGCAGGTTAACTAGGGTTTCCACCTGCATTGACCTGTGTCTTTCGCACCAGAATCTCCTGGGCTTGGGAATGGCTGGGGGCGGGGCGCTGTTGACTCTTCTAGGGAACAACCGGTGGGGCCTGAACCTCAGAAAGCGGGCGTCCAGGCTTGAGGGTGCGAGGACCACCCAGTAGCTGCCGAATCGAGTTCCTGCCTCACACGTTCCAAAGGAGGGTCCGTATCCCCTCGGCCCTAAGGAGCAGGACCCGCGGCTCCACTTTGCTGGCAACCTGGGCAACGTCCTGGGAACTCTGGAGGAACTCCTGCCATTGAACAAAGAGGAAACCGAAATTCGGAAATTGATTATCTTACATGAAGGGATTAGCGTTCCTCAAAGCCCCTTGAACCTACCCGGATTTTAAAGCTCACCTGTGCCCTGCCTGGGCACTCGGGCCAAAACCGGTCCAGCCTTCTGGCTCGTCTCTAAATAAATTTGGTTTACTCGTTTTTTAAACATAGTGTTTGGAGCGATGCACTGGATTCACTAGTTGAGAGTGTGATTTCACTGTTTTATGGCTTTACAGATGGTGATGAAGCTGGCATTTCCAGTCCTGGTAACATCTAATATCCCCTCAGCTGTCCATTATTGACGGCTTCTTAAGGCGGACCTCTTCACACACACAAAACAACTATGGGTTCTATTGCAACCACCAGTGTAGTTAATTTAGAAAACGATCATCACTGCTAAAACTATCAGATGAAGACTGTTGAGGAACTAGATAGTCACAAGGTTTGGAAGCCCTAGCCCACATATTATGAATTACAAAGGAGGAAAAAAAAAGAACGTTCCTTTACAATAGAGACTTGGAAGAAGCCACCTTAACCCAAGTTAGCATCACCAATAATGGGAAAAATGGACTTCTGCTTCGTCAATATCTGAAAACAAAAAGAGGACTGTTTTATTACTTGACTAAAGAGACTAAATGCTGTGTGCATGGTTCAAATAATTCTGAATCAAAGGTGAGGGGTTGCATTTCAGGAAAAGGAAGGAAATTTTAGTATACCCTATATTGCAAAGTAGTATTAGAAACTTCTAGAGTGGAATAAGTGTACTACAATTATGTATAAGGTCATTATTCTCAGGAGAAACATGCTAAAGTATGTGGAGTGAATTGGGTTTCTCTATTTTTATTTTTTTAATTTAATTTTTTTGAGGCAGAGTCTCACTGTGTTGCTCATGCTGGAGTGCAGTGGCACTATCTCTGTTCACTGCAACCTCCGCCTTCCGAGTTCAAGTGGTTCTGCTTCAGCCTCCCCAGTAGCTGGGATTACAGGTGCCAGCCACCATACCCAGCTAATTTTTGTATTTTTAGTAGACACGGGGCTTCACTATATTGACCAGGCTGATCTCGAACTCCTGACCTCAAGTGATCTGCGCACTTCGGCCTCCCAAAGTGCTGAAATTACAGGCGTCAGCACCGCGCCTAGCCAAATAATCAATTTTTTTTTTCTTGAGGCGGAGTCTTGCTCTGTCATCCAGGCTGGAGTGCAGGGCGCGATCTCAGCTCACTGCAACCTCTGCCTCCCAGGTTCAAGCAATTCTCCTGCCTCAGCCTCCTGAGTAGCTGGGATTACAGGCCCCTGCCACCACACCCAGCTAATTTTTGTATTTGTAGTAGAGATGGGGTTTCACCATGTTGGCCAGGCTGGTCTCGAACTCCTGACCTCCTGATCCACCTGCCTTGGCCTCCCAAAGTGCTGAGATTACAGGTATGAGCCACTGTGCCCGACCATAATCAATTTTCAATTTCCCATCTCCCATTCCACCTGCAGCCCAAGCTCCATTTTTCCTGTCACCCAGACTCTTATGAAAAATAACCCTCGCTTCTACTTCTGTATACCTTACTTATTCCTAAACACATCATTCCATGGTACCTTCCTTTGCATTTCAGCAAAAGTCACTCTGGACTTGCTCCGTCCAATACAGAAGTCACTAGTCACATGAGGACTGGAAATGTGTCTAGTCTGATTTGAGATGTGCTGTAAGTGTAAACTACATGTAAGATTTTGATGACATTAATACCAAAAAATTAAATATTAACAATTTTAGATTGATTATATGTTTAAAAAAGAATAATATTTTGTTCTCTGAACTACAGCTATGTCTGCTGAAAATTGGGAATAATATATCTAAATCTATTTCATGAAATCAGGAATAATATATGTATAGTGTCTGATACATAGAAGACTCTTGAAATAGATCGATATATTGGCATATCTTTGTACTTCAGGAAGAGCCTATTCAGAGCCTATTCAGCCTTGTACATTAGAAGCATTCAAGAAATATGCATTGTAGAAACAGAAACTAAAGGCCAGATGCTAGTTAGTGGCAAAGGCAAGCCTCTTCACACTGCATGCTGTGACCTTTCTATTCCTCCATGTTGCCAGAGCCAAGAGTTGATTAAATACTGGACAGCTGGCTTTGGCCAAATACTAAAAGAGCTAAAACGCACATGGAAGTTATGTTCAATCACTTAGGACCTCCACCAACCACCTGGTTCCAAGACAGTCCACTTTTAGTCTCAGCCACTCCTAAAGCTTGTTCTTTGCTGTCATTAAACACATAAAGTATGGATCTAATGCCGAGGAGATAGTACCCAGTGGTCCTCCAAAAAGTGGCAGCTTTAATATCTGATGTTTGCATCTTGCTGTTATTATTTATTGCAGAGTTTAACATTCATCATGGTTGGTTGCCCACTGCAAGGTTTGATCTGGATCAGTGGCTGATCATTCTTAATTTAGCTATTGAAATTAATAAGCGGACCATGCAGACATAAGCTTTAGCTGTCACTTGTTTGCTCACTGCTACACAAAAGTGTGGAGACCGGAAGCTAATTCTACAGCAACGATTCTCCTGCTCAGAATCACAAACACAATTTATTATACCCAGAACCTGCCCAAAACATTATTATAAAACCTTCCTCAAGCAGGTGGGATTAATTAGATCTTCCTTTCTCTCAGGCTCTTCCTTTATAGACACTCTTCCTTCTCCTTCCTTTTCCCACTCCTTTCCTTGGAAAAGATCATGTGAATAATGGTACAGGAAATTTGATCATTGTACTTTGCAAGGGAGCTTTCGTTTCCTTTAAGGATTATCCTTACTCCCAGGCAATGCTCCAAAGAGGCACTGAAGAAAATGAGGGAGATTCAGAGAGAAAATTAGCCCCTCAAAGGGAAATATTTTAATGCTTTTTTTGTTTTTTTTTTTGAGACGGAATCTCACTCTGTCGCCCAGGCTGGAGTGTAGCGGTGTGATCTCAGCTCAGTGCAACCTCTGCCTCGCGGGTTCAAGTGATTCTCCTGCCTCAGCCTCCCAAGTAGCTGGGAGTACAAGTTCGCGCCACCACGCCTATCTAATTTTTGTATTTTTAGTAGAGACAGGGTTTCACCATATTGGCCAGGCTGGTCTCGAACTCCTGACCTCGTGATCCACCCTCCTAGGCCTCCCAAAGTGCTGGGATTACAGGCGTGAGCCACCGCACCTGGCCTTTAATGCATTTTTTATTGTGGTAAAATATACATAACCTAAAATTTACTGCTAGTTACATTTAATACATTCATAATGTTTTGCAACCATCATCACTATCTAGTTCCAGAACATTTTCATTACCCCAAAATGAAACTTTATAATCATTAAGCATTTATTTCCCATCCCCCTTCTCCCCACCCCTAGCAACCACTAATCTGCTGTCTCCATGGATTTGCCTCTTCTGGATGTTTCATATAAATGGAATCCTGTAAGATGTAGCCTTTTGCATCTGGCTTCTTTCACTTAATAACATATTTTCAAGGATCATTCATGTTGTAGTATGTATCAGTACTTCATTCCTTTTTATGGCTGAATAATATTCCATTATGAGTGTGTGTGTGTGTGTGTGTGTGTGTGTGTCACTATTTGTTCATCCATTTATCCATTCATGCATATTTGGGTTGTTTCTACCTCTTAGTTCTCATGAATAGTGTTGCTGTAAACGATCATGTACAATTTTTTGTTTGAACACCTGTTTTAAATTCTTTTGGGTATATACAGTACCTAGGAGTGGAATTGCTGGGTCATATAGTAACTCTATGTTTAACTTATTGAGGAATTGCCAAACTTAACACATTTTTAAAAACCATTCTGGCCTGGCCTGTAGAATTCTTCTTATGTCTTTAATTTGAGTTCAGTGGTGCATAAAAGATAGCAATTAAGATAATTGGTTTTTTGTTTGTTTATTTTTGACACGGAGTCTTGCTCGGTCTCCCAGGCTGGAATGCAGTAGCATGATCTCAGCTCACTGCAACTTCCACCTCCTGGGTTCAAACGATTCTCCTGCCTCAGCCTCCTGAGTAGCTGGGATTACAGGCATGTGTCACCATGCCCGGCTAATTTTTTTGTATTTTTAGTAGAGACGGGATTTCACCATGTTGGCCAGGCTGGTCTCGAACCCTGACCTCCAGTGATCTACCCACCTTGGCCTCCCAAAGTGCTGGGATTACAGGCGTGAGCCACCACGCTCAGCCTGAGAATTGTTAAATGATGAAGGAAACTTCATGAAGTGCAAAATGGCAGGGCCCAGGATTTCCTCCCTTTGGGTATAAGGTAAGAATCTAGCAAATACCACATAATACACCTCATGATGCTGTTACTGATCAGGATGGCTGGTCCATGTCTGTGAAGATCTGAATTGAAAACGAAAGTTTTTTATGTTCAGTATGTAAGTCGATAAAGGTGACATTATGACAAGAATCTTAAGAGTGGGATATATAAAATGTTTTGGAGTATTTTACAACTATATCATAGGTTTGAGCATAGCGACAGAGATAATGAGCCTTTCCAACTATATTTCACATTTCAATTTGCTTTCTTTTCCACCTAGAAATAATCCAAATGATTTTGCATGATATAGACAAGCCAATATATTTCCAATTCACTGTATCCCTTTTGTAATGAAATCTCCCACGCCACAAGGAATGCCAATTTGCTTAAAACATCAGTTGCTTATCAGTATATTTCAAATGCCTCTTAATTTAAAATTCTTTTTCTGCCTATTTCAAATGTGTACGTGTATAAACACATGCACACACATACATTTTTTTCTTTTTTTCCAGTGAAATAAATAGAAAACCAAACACATACATACATTTTAAAGGAGAATCATATGCCACTTTTAAAACATCCTGACACCAATTCTCTTATGAATTCTGTAAGAATGTTTGGGGATCATTATTTATCTTCAGTTTTTATAGAATAAAGGGTTTCCTAAGTCGATATTATGTAAATATTTGATTGAAGACACATTGAAATAATTCAGATGACTTTCTGAATATTGTCAGATTATGTTCATAATATAAACACAGGCATTTTAGTGTCACTAATATTTGATAGATTTGAGTCTTAGAGCCTTTGAAAACAATTTTATTCAATTTGTTTTAAATTAGGCTAATATTGAGCTTGATTTTTTCCTTTAGGCCAAAACCAGGTGGCTCACTTGTGGCTTCTATTGTCTAATGATCATATTCAAGAAAGTGGAAATACCATTATCTGAGGATCAAGCTACTGTTCATTCAATCACTTACTAATAAATTCTCAGAATTCAAGGAAAATGCTATGGAGAGAGAAACTGCTCACAAGTGGGAACAATCTCAGATTTTAATATATCCGAAACTGAATCCAGAAAGCTTTGCATTCTATTTAGCAATAATAGTCACACACAGAAAAGGTTTATCTTTTCATGTGGCATGGGTAAGATTAAAAATATTAGCAATTATATTATTATCTATAAACACCTAAATTTGATATCTACAGAGGACAAGTGCCTAAACTCTGTCTATCCAACCTGCATTTTCATCCACTTTCAACATATTAAACACGTTCTGAGACATGCCTATGAAAAGTGAATTGTGGCCTTTCCATGCTTAATTTGCTGCTTAATTGTGCATGATTTTATAATGCCCATAAAATAATACTTATAGGCATAACATTCCAAGGCAGCCTTTTTCAGAAAAGGAGAGTTCGATTTATCTCCAGATGTTTCTACCAAACATTTTCTTTTTTCTTTCCTTCACCCTTCATTCCCACTTCATTGTTGTGATTAACAGCGCAAAGCTCCGTAGCAGAAATTCATCAACTGATTCCTTCCACCTACCAAATCCACATTTTTCAGGTCTCAATTTGAGACATAATGAAAGTCTACTTTGCATAATTATCATATGAGACTATCTATAATTAAATGATGAAATGTGGTTATGCTCCAGTGTGTAGACGAGGCTTTATATGAACTGAAACTGCAAAGGTTTATTTATCTGCTTTAACTTTCATCTGGTGTTTGTGGAAGAAAAACAAAAACAAGCAATTTATTTCCAAAGGAGTTTAGGTCCCCAGTGGACACCTTCTTTTTTAAAATTTCAGGAGAGAAGGTGATTTCTTGAATTGAGGAATAACTGGAGACTTTAATATGATTTCCTCCTCAGCGTCAATAAATATTGCTCACAAGCTTTAAAAAATGCTAATTATCGACATTGCATTTTGAGTTTTGCCTTAAAAATATTTTCTAAAGATTTTAGGATAGCTTTTTAAATACCTGTAGAAAAACCCTTCTTATTATCATGCAAATTTAAAGCTTGGAAAAAAGCCTTTCAAAAGTTTCTCACCTTCATTCATAGTCTTGATTGATTGCCTTTCCATTTCTTCTAACTAGACAAAGTAAAGTTGACTATACCAAGTTTAATATGAAAACAATGATTCTAAAATTTATTCAAGGCAGGGAATAGCATCTCTGAGATTCTTTGTGAAACCCCATGAAGTATTGTTGAATTGAACCTTAAAAACAAAATAAGTAAGCTTGTCTAAATTATATCCTTATTTGCGAAGTATTCTTTGCACACAATTATATGCCATACACTGTCAGAGACTGAAAATAAAGAGATGAATATTAAACAACCTTCAAGGAGTTCAGAATCCAGTAGTATTCCATTCTAAAAGTGCCAAGGCTGCCTCTATCAGTGATTCACTAGGACAAATTCTGGAGTAAAGCTCCAATTTAGGTATGTTTCATCCACTGGCCTTTCCCACCCTAAATGTTGGGAAAAGGCCACCAACATGAAGCATTTGTGCTATTGACATGACTCTGAAAAGAGAGAAGCTTCCTCCAAGAGCCAAATGAAGAAGGAAGTTTAAGTATTAATCTTTAATATTTCCCTAATAATATTTTGGAAAATCATGCTCTATCATTTTTGCAAATGTGATGATTTCACATATACAGTTGACCCTTGAACAGTGCAGGAGTTCAGAGGGCCGACCCCCAAAACAGTCAAATATTTGTATATAACTTTTGACTTCCTCCAAAACTTAAATACTAATAGCCTACTGTTGACCAGAAGCCTCATCAATAACAGCAACAGTTGATTAGCACACATTTTGTATATTATATGTGTTATATACTGTGTTCTTACAATAAAGTTAGCTAGAGAAGAGAAAATGTTATTAAGAAAATTGTAAGAAAGAGAAAATATATTTACTATTAATTAATTGGAAATGAGTCATCATAGAGTTCTTCATCCTCATCATCTTCATGCTGAGCAGGCTGAGGAGGAGGAGAAAGAAGAGGAGCGGTTGGCTTTGCTTTTCAGGAGTGGCAGAGGTGGAAGAAAATCCATGTATATGTGGACCTATGCAGTTCAAACTCATGTTGTTCAAGAGTCAACTGTACATCTATATCTGAGGTCAGCAAACTATGGCTCAAAAGCCAAATCTGGCCCTCTGCCTGTTTTTATAAATAAAGTTTTATGAGAACATCAGCCATGTTCATTATTTATACATTATCTATGTCTGCTTTGTGCTACAATGGCAGAGTTAAGTCATTGTGATCAAGACCAGATGAGCTGCAAAGTCTATCTGGGCCCTTTACAGAAGAAGTCTGCCAAACCTCGATCTAAATAACGTGCTTAATTTTGTATTTCTAGGCTTACCAATTTTAGACCTTATCTACTGATTACTTACTCTGCAAGATAAGGGCTAGCTCAGCTGCACCATACCCTACCTCCTTCTTGCACTTGTTGAGGCTCAGGACTTGATACCTCAAAGTATGGTGCCTTGGCATGCTGAGTACTTTGAACTAAAGAAGATTGGAAGGACCTCAGAAGCAAGGTCTCTCTGACTTTATCCTGCCCTTCTGTGTCCTGCCTCTCTTTCTGTCCCGAAGAGAGTCATAGAAACCAGATTTCCTCTTCTCCAAGACAGGTCGTAGGAACCAGAACCCATCTCCCACAATGCAAGCCATAAAACCTAGAAAGGTCACTGTCTCCCTTCTCCCTTGAAGACCTTCATTTTGGAGGAGTCCTGCCCCATACTCCAAAGGAAGGAAAGCTACAGAGACAGGTCAAGAAGTATCTGGACAGACAGGCCTTGGTGGGTTTTTCCCTTAGTCTATTACCATTAGATCATACCCTTTTGTCTAATCACATTGCTACATGACTCTCTATTCTTCGTCGAACCTAATCATAAAAATAGACAGTATTCCCTGGGTCTTTGGGTCTTCATTAATGAAGGTTCCCATGTAATATAAAATGTTGATTAAATACATTTATGTTTTTCTCTTATTAACCTATCTTTGGTTATAGGAATGTCAGCCATGACCCTTATGATGGGCGAGGAAAGGTATCATTACCTTTCTGCCCCTACACACTTCTCTTTCTCCAGTGTAATTCTGTAACTGCCAATTAGCTTTGTAATTTTAAATGATAAATTATACATTTCTTTCTTTTTCTTTCTACTATAAATAGCATGTCCTGATATTAGTAATTCCACTTAGTGAGATGAAAATATAATTCTTGTACCCTTCTTGCTTACTTCCCCTTATCCTTTCTTTTTCCACCTTTTGTCTTCCATAGTTAGTCTTTAATAATACAATGGTTGAAAACATTCACAATTGTTCCATAACCATTACGATGTCTTTCATGCCTTATTTATAGGTTGATTTAAAATTTTTAAACTCACTGGAGGGTTTTTATTCTTAGTACTAAGGAAATATTATTCACCGTATAGCTAATTATTGCTGATTATAATGCCTCTATTGAAAAGGGATTTTTGTTGTTTTTCTAGCAGTCTCTGACAGTTTTTCATTTTCTCCCTTGCATGTCCTGTGTTAAAAATGCTTTGTCCTTCTTAAAAATAGAGTCAAATCTCTGGAACCACCTTCTTTCCCAGGCACCTTTCTCCTCAATTCTTCCTCCCACTCTAACCTGGGTTGATGACTTCCTAGGCCTCGTTCAAGACTGGCATCCTTGATTTTGCTTCCTTCTCCTCCTGTGTTGGATCCATTGCTTCCTTAATCCCATGTCTTTCTATTTCTTGATTTTGTTAGAGCACATCTTCAGATCACTTGCTTCAAAAAGATGTGTGGGAAGTAAGCGTTCTAAATTTTTGTGGGTCTGGAAATGTCTTTATTCTGACCCCTCACTTAACCTAGAAATCTAGATTGAAAATGATTTTTCCACAGTAGCTTCAGGGCAAGCTACATTGCCTTTGGGTCTCCAGGTCCCACAGTCAAATAATGATCTATTCTCATTCATTTATCCTCAATGTATCTTTTCTCTCTACTGTTTTAAGGATAATTTATTTATCTTTGGTATATTAAACTTTCATTGTGATGCTTCCAGGTGTAAAGACATTTTTATTGTCAAGCTCTCAGGCTGAGTTTTCAGATCATTCAGCTCAGGGACTTTTCAGATTCTTTTTTAAAAATAATTCCTTTCTCATTATTGTTCTCTGTTTTCTGTTTTAGAAATTCCTATCAATTGTTTATTGGATCTTCTGAATTGATCATCTATAAATGTTTTCTTTTCTCTCGTGTTTTGATACTTTGTCTTTTTACTCAACTTTCTGGAAGATTTTTAAAATTTTTATCCTTCAGGCTTTTTATTGAATTGAATATGAAATTGTTTAATTTCTAAGAATATTCCCTCGGTCTCATGTTTCTTTTTTTTTCCAGTGAAGTGCTGCAGTACACAATCTAAGGCACATGGCTCTATCCAGTTATCTTATACAATTTAGGCCTAGAAATGAGTTTGCTGAGACACATAATATATGCATTTTAATTTTGAAAACTTATGATAGCCCTTCAGAAACAGGTTGCAGAAACTTACACTTCTAATTCTAGGGAAGGGAAATGATACATCAGAATTTTTGCTTTGCATTTATTAATGAGAATGAGTGTCATTCAGAACTACCATTTGTATTATTTTTATCTATGTGCCTGGTCATGTACTTCATTTTTTTTTTAATTGAGTTGCCTTTTCTTTTTGAATTCTACAAGTTCTTTATTGTGTATATTATGTATTTGTCTGTTTCATATGTTGCAAATATTCCCTTCTAATGTGTCATTTGCTTTGTAACTTTGCTTATGCTTTTGATATTTTAAATTACTGTGTAATTGAACCTGTTTGTGTTTTCCTTTGTAGCTTCTGGGTTTCACATTATGCTTAGAAATGTCCTTCCTACTCCTAGACTCTAAAGGTATTCTTTAGTAGTATTTTCTTCTAGTGCTTTCATAGGTTAAATGTTTTACATCTAATACATACAGGAAACTTGGTGTATGGTATGTGTGTGAATCTAGCTTATTGACTTTCCACATAGATACTGTATTTAGTTAACCCCATTTATTTATTTATTTATTTATTTATTTTTTGAGATGGAGTCTCACTCTGTCACCCAGGCTGGAGTGCAGTGGCGGGGTCTCGGCTCACTGCAACCTCCGCCTCCCGGGTTCACACCGTTCTCCTGCCTCAGCCTCCCGAGTAGCTGGGACTACAGGTGCCCGCCACCACGCCTGGCTAATTTTTTGTATTCTTAGTAGAGATGGGGTTTCACCGCGTTAGCCAGGATGGTCTCGATCTCCTGACCTCGTGATCTGCCCACCTCGGCCTCCCAAAGTGCTGGGATTACAAGCATGAGCCACCGTACCCGGCCAGTTAACCCCACTTTAAACAATAGTTTATTCTTTCCCTGGGATTTGAATTGCCCTCATGCTTTAGTTTGTGACCATTTCTATTCCATTGCACTATTTACTAGTTTCTTTTAGAGAATGTATTGTTCCGTAATGTAATGGTTCAGTGGGGACTCCCTTCACTGATACTTACTAACTGTCCAAAGTCCAGTTACTTTACCAATCTGTTCCTCAACTGTAAATGACTGTAAGAATAACACCCACCTCATAGGTTCGTTGTGAAAATGAATGTGCTAATACATATAAATAATTGAGAGTAGCTCTTGGAAGGCTCAGTAAATGTTAGCAGCAGCTGCTGCTGTTAAGGTAATGGTTCTTTTCTCCAGGGCCTAGCACAGTGCCTGATTAAACAAATCCAACTGAAAGGTTAGATAACATGAACGTCAATTATTGAAGAGAATTGAATGTCTTCCTTGTGAGGAAGACAGAAAGGCATAAAGAGCTATAATGCCCTTTTTCCAAAAGTGAAGATGGATGGGGCAAAATCTCCCAGAGTTTTATCCTGGGTCATTGATTTGTTTTCCCCACGGCTTGTGTGGCCCAGAAAGTAAGTCACACTAATAAAGGTCGAAAGCAGTTTTCAGCCTTTAAATGGAATTAAATGAATACTATTATGACAAGTTAATTAGATACCCATAAAACTGCTAAACATATGTCATTAAAAAGTCCATGCTCCAAATTTTGTTAAACATCAATTATGATCATAAGAAATCTGCATCTAGTAAAGTGGATACTGCTGACACATGTTAATTATTCTGGAAAATAATTGAGCTCTTTAAAAATTTTACTATGCTATTAAGCATGTATGGCCTCTGAAAATTTGAGCTATTGTGAGCTTATCCAAATGAATCTAACAATATAAAATGAAGTAAAAATGTTCTTTGAGTTCTCTTAGTATGACAAAAGGCAAACACAAATTATTATTTTGAAGGGTCCATAAAATAAACTTGGTTTGAACTCTAAATGTTCAGGTAGGAAAGTTGCAGAGTCTCAGCAACTCCAGTCTGTGTTAGAGTGGCCACAGCAAAATAGAATAAAACAATGAAGAGCTGTTTTCTTTGTCCACAAGATGACGGTACATCACTTCTCAACAGTGCAACAGAAGGAAGGAGTTTTGAAATGCATGCCTCTAATCTATATGCATTCCAATTCTTGACAGTGGTCTTGATTTATGCCAATGTAATGGGAAATGTTAATTCAAGTCATCAAATTGTTTATCATAAAGAATTGCTATTGCTGCCCATAAATTGCTTCTTATCTGGGAACTCAGATGCTCAAGAAAATCACCAGGGAATTAAAAAGATATAAGAGGCTGGTGAGAGTGACTGCAAATTACAGGCTATATGAGGGTCGGATACCTGATTCATCTCTTGAGCTCTTTCTCTGGGTGTCTCTCACTGAACCAGTGCTTTTCCAAGTGTGATCCTGAATTCTGCACCAGAATCACTTGGAATGCCTATTAAAACAGATTCCTGGGTAATGCTGGGCTCACTGGTGGGGAGAATTTCAGTACGATTTAGGTAAACTGGGCCTGGAAAATGAAATACTTTTAAGCAAATAGCACCAAAATTGATGTCAGGGATGCTATTAAGGAAATAGCATCAAAATTGTTGTGCTTTCTTTAATTACTTTCATATTTGTATTTTGAAATGAATATAGGTAATGGGAAATTCATAATCTTGGAAGACAGTGCTCATTCTACTCTCAGTGACTATTCTCTTCTCCCTGCTGAAATAGAAAGCCTTCCCTGCTTGAGTGGGTCTGAACAACTAAGTCCTCTGGTTTCCTCCCAGTTCACTTTCTCTTGAGGTTGACCTTGCTTATCAACACCTCTAGCTTCTAGCGGGAGTGCACTCTTGAAATCACAAGACTACCTCCAAGTGTCCAGGAAAGACCATTGACATGATCTGAAGATCCCTACCCCTGGATCCTACCCAGTATCTCAGAAGTCAGGGTTGAGAATACAAACTTTAGCTTACTGCTACATAGTTTTCCAATGTGGTCATACCATTTATTCTCCAGGAACAGATTTTGATAAGGGTATTCAAAGTGTCCTATAGCATCTCTAGAATTCAATTCACAGTGGCTTACACTCATGTGGATAGCATACTGTTTACACTGATTATTATAATACCAAACAGAGCATATAATTCAGGGTATTTATTGTCTCTATTACTTGTCTTTTTAATTTATAATCACTGATAAGTCTCAATCTAAGCTTCAGTGTTCCTTGGGAGCAATGCCTATCTGGGGTTGATGGTAGGAGGGAAGGTTGAGAGCTACCAGCTCTGTTCAGCATCTCTATCAACCCATGGGTGTGACTTGATTATTATTGCCTCTGACACATTAGAGTATCATTAACATAAAAGTCATCTCTTAAACACATTAAACTGAACTCAATTAACAGAATTGATTACCAGCCTAACTGTAGGGATTTTGCAGCTTTAGGGAAACTGACAAACATCTTGCCCTTTTAGATCCTACAATCACATTCACAAAGCACGGTCAATAAACATTTTGCCAGCTCTCAATTTATCGTCTTTAACGAGGACAAAAATCTCTCTGGGTGGATGAACTGGCTGTTGATAAAAGACTAATTGTGGAAATGGTTTTCAGTAGTGGTATTGACAAATAGAACTGAGTCCTTGAAGGATAAATTTGACCATGAATTAATGGAACCTGTCTTGGATGTTAATTTGTACAAGCCCTAATAGATCTTTGATTTATTGCATCTCATTTTCTGAAGTGGAAAGCATGACTGGAAAAATGTATCAGTCTAGATGTATAAACCTCATGGTCCTTTGAACTGTAACCCTCAAAATGAATAATATTCTGATTCATAAATAACATTAATAACGTGTGCATTCCATTTAATGTTTAAGAACTCCATTAACCTTAGTTTCTAAGATATTCCACTTTTTCCATTGATAATCTCTGTTTAGAAATTATCTTCTAAAACCTGAAGGCATTTGCCAAAGTCCCATCTAGCTCTCAAATTTGGTGTTCTTCTCTCTCATAAATTTTACTATAGGTCTGTTGGTTTTGCTATGTGGTAATGTTGAACAAAGATAAAAGTTTACTGTGAAAACTTTGACAGAGAGACAAACAAAGAGAATGTCTCAGTTGAGATAAAAAGAGATCTCATTTCATTTAAATTAGGCAACATCCTCATTGTATTTCAAGGTCCGTATGTGGAAAATATGTCTTATCCGGAAAGGAATGCTTATTTAATAGGTATGTGTTTTTCAGGTTTTGTTTTTAATTTTTTGAGAATGTTGGTGTATATATTAGTTGGTATATTATAAACAAATCCTAGTTGAATAACTGATCTCAGTGCTGTTTTTAATGCAAAAGTATTTATTGTTCTTGGAGAAGAATCAGAAAAGAAGCTGAAATGAGATTTTTCACTGGAAGCCAGGAAGAGGGGACTCCCCATCAGTGCCATCCAAGGGGCAGGTTTGTTTCACGGCACCTACTAGATTTCTCCATGAAAGAGTGAGATATGGTGTGTGAGTGACTCAGAGTCCTGTCAGGAAACAGGTGGATGTGGGCACAGATAAGGAAACTAGTAAGTCACACTGAGGCACCAGGGACTAGCAGCAGCTGGGACCTGTTAGCACTTCGAGGTCTCAAAAGGAAGGAGTAAGAAGAATAAATAACCCATCTCTCTCTCTCTCTTCCCATCCTCATTCTCTCCTGCCAGCACCTCCCATTGTTTTGCCCGAGCAGGAAGCCAGAACACAAGGATCCCATGTGATGCAATCATAAGCGTGAAGCTCTCAGGGCACCAATGCTGCTGGTGGGGTTGAGGGCAGGGAGATGAGATTCAGTTCACATGTACAAGGCTCAGAACAAGAGAAACACAAGCAAAACCCAAAACAGAAAAGATGTGTAAAGTTGGACAGTCTAAGGAAACTGAACTCTTTAGGTAAGGGCTAGAAATAACAATTTCAATGCAGAAAGATCAAGAGATCACAAGTTCTTAATTAAAACAACTGTTAGCTCAAACCTTTGATTCTGTAATTTCCTTACCAGCCCCTTTTAACTTCCATCAGAAGTTTTTAGTTATCAAAAAATGAGCCTTTATTATGTAATCACTTCTTAAAATTATTTACGTAAAGATTATAGAATTATGAAATTTTCAAAGTGTGGCCAATCAACTCTCCAAAAATATCTCTTTTATCAAAATTAATTCGTGTTTGACTCGTGTCTTAGATCGGGATTTCTGTAACACATATTCTTGTAGTTTATATTTACCAAAACCATGGGGTTCTTTTCACTTTCCGAGTATAAAATTATAACGTAAATTTTCAAAGAATACATGCGGACTGGGAGGACATACAACAGCCCCTTAAGATGGGGAGGAGACCTGCCGTGTCTTCAGCCCTCCTCCTCAACTACTGCCCTAAAATATGGATACAATCCAATTTGATAGAGACAAACTCTCAGGCCTAAAATGATTATTTTAACATGATTGATAAAGACTTTGCTCATTGTTATCAAGCTTTTGTTCAAAAATGTATTTTCCTGCAGGTAAAAAAAAAACATATGAGTAATCAATTAAGAAGAAAAAGCCTGCCCAGCCATGCAATAATTATGTTCTCTGTAAACAATGGATGTTGACACCTGAGAAAGGTTTGGGGTGGTTACATTTCCAATCCCCAAAGGATTCAATCTATCAGAGCCCAAACAAGAGCACATGTAAGAACTATCAACCAGTCTGTCTCTTCATCACTCAAACCTGGGGCTACTCTGTTTCATCCCACTTGCTGTGGTAGGATTAAACCAGCAGGATGGAAATATGCCATTCCCCACCAGCACTCTAACTTCATTTTTAGGTTTCTAAAAATGCCACTGAATATTTCTGAATGTGAGAGTGGGGCTTTTCAAGGGCTGTGGTGAGCTTTGTGATATCAATGACTCTGTCCATCACATTTGAATATGTAAAACACCTTTTGGGCTCACACCAGAAGTTAGGAACCCTCTGGATCATACAGAACAGAAATCCTTACATTTTTTTTGCTTTTGTAGTCCTGTCACTAAAAAAAGTTTTGAACATGTACTGCCCCAAATGTGTATTAATTTATTCATAATTTATATATCTGTACTACTGTAAATAATATATTATGGAGAATATAAAATATATGTTAAGAGGTGTTGAAATGAAGGTAAAATATACATTTTAATCACTCAAATATTTTGCTATCACTGCTGCATTAAAAAATCAATATTTTAAATGATAAAGTGGTCAAGGATGCTGATTTATTTTTGAACATCTTGGTTTAACATTTCATTGAGTAAAAATGTGAAGGTCTGGTTGCAAGTTCAGCTTATTTCTTTATTTGGTTTTAATCATTGTCATTGGAGGAAAAAAAGAACTGCAGAAACATATGAAGAGGCAAACGGACAAAGTATGGCTCCAACTTGCTTACTAGATCATGAAATACCATTTTTCAATCCCATCTATGCAAGAGATTTTGTTGACATTCGTCTGGAAAGTTTCCATCTCCTTTGATGTCCGTCAGCTGTTCTTACAAACCAAATGGAAGATATTGCCTTTTTATTATATTTAACAAGTGAGTTCACAATCCACTGAAATGCTTCATTTGGAAGATTGTTAAACAGGTTAGACAAATCCATTTTCAAGTTTTCAAAGACTGCAGTTTTTATCTATGCATATTTGCATAATTTTCAATAAAACAATCAAATAACTGTTGTTATGTCTAAACATCTGTTTCCCTACATTCAGACCACAATCCAAGTTTATTTTGACAAACTAAGTTGCTTTCTCACTCTTTGCTGTATCTTCTTTACCCTGAAAAGACAACTCTTTCAGTTCATTGTCACCAGCAAACCAACAACCCCTTTGTCAGACAAAAGATTTTCATAGCTGCTCGACTTTATTTTAATCATTTTGTTTCAAAACAACCACACTGTTGATATCTAAAGTACTTCAATTACCCTGGAAGCCTCGTTTTGTTCTAGTCAAAGCTACTACTCCATTGTTGTATATTTTGCTATATTTCGTGCCAGTATCATAGGATTCTAAGAATTGTCTTTTTATAATAAGTTCTGGTATCCTGTAGGGCTAGACAACCATAGCATTTTTCTTGTTTAGAGTGTTCTTTTATAGCATTATGTAAAATTTAGAATTCTCATTGTTGAATTTTTTAAAAAAGGACTATTGAAATATCTTTATTGGATGGCATTAAATTTGTAAATTAATTTGGAGAAAACTAAAATTATCACATTTATTCTACCCATTAAAAAGAAGCCTCATTTATTTCAAAGCCTCCTAAAATTCTCCAACAAGATTCTTCTAAACATTTTGTGATTTTAAATTTAATTGTTCTGGATTGTCTCGGCTTTTCAAGTACTATGTAAGTTTCCAAGCTTGACTAAACAGTTCTAAATCTTTAAATGCTCCTGACAGTGTTGTGGGAATTGACTGACAGTGGCCTGTGGAATTGATTAGCGGAGGTTAAATTCTTCTGAACCCACAGTATGCGTATTTATGAAGGCAAAAAGCATGCAATTCACCATGTTATGTGAGCTGAAAACACACGATGTGCAGTTATGTGTGTTCATATAAAATTTAACTCATTTCTAGTGAAGGGATTTGATTTGGCTCTTTTGATCCCAAAGGACAGAGGCAGTAGTTCCAGATGCAGAGAAGGTTTAGGATCCTGATTAGTGAGGGTTCCTGGATCTTCTGTCCTGATATTGCTCCACAGAGTGGTCTCTCTCCAAGTTTAGTAACTTCTCTTCCAACTCCCATCTTCGTTCCAACAAAGATGGTTTCTGTTTTCTCATGTAGCACATATAAATCTTATTCCTAAACTCATGTGTGCGATCGTATTATATTCCTGCTGGTTGGCAATTCAAATGTAATCATGTTGAATATTCACAAGTTCTGGGAATCTTACACAGAGAAGAAATTTGAGCAGGGCTTTATGGTTTCAACCCACATTACGTGCTCCTAAGATACCCTGATCCAAATCTGTGTGATCCCCTGAAGTTCACTGACTGCCGTTTCTTAGGCTCAGACTTAAGTCGTGGTGCCTTGCCGGGCATCCCACCAAGCTGCTTCTCCTGAAGTTGCTGCCACCTCACAGGGGTCTTCTACCCTTGCTTCCTCAGCCAAGCTGCTCAGACTTTCAGGAAACAAAAGTAGGAAAGAGTTATAAGCAGTCAACTTTTGCTTTGAGCCCTGATAAATACATCACCCCTAAGGCAAGAGTCTGCAAAAGACCTGTCTACTTTATTAGACCTGGGAGTGGAAAAAACCCAATGAGAACAAAGCGAAAAAATATATATTTTCAATATATTACTTTACCACACACAATATCATCATTTTGACTCACTGGAAACCTAGAACTAGGTTCTAAAATGCCTCGTGACCTCTCTCCGTTGTAACCTATCAACTTTAACAATCCATACTTTGCTTTCTTTTATTCTTCCTACTGAAATTCTTGCTCTGAGGAACTCTGGTTTACATAGATGAGCACTTTTGGTCAAAGCTTTCCATGTTAGGCCCCCTTCCAGGCCACAGCAGGGATTACGAATTTTGCAGCCCTACTGTGCCCAAGCCCAAATCCAGTCAGGGATGTGGGAAGATGCTGAAGAATAGACTGTGGGGTTCCTGTGGCTGCCATGCCACCAAGGATAATAAGGGGAGAAGTTTCCTTTGGAGGTGTCTGTGGTGTTTGTCCAATGTAACATACTTAGTCATGAATGACATGGGGAATGAAGTTGGTGGAGAAAATCCTTTTGACATGTGGAACTTCAGGGTATTTATTAATAAATACTATTTTAAGCACTATTTACAGACTAGATGCATGAGCTTTTGGTACATACCAAACATCCCCCAAATTCAGTGTCATAAAACCATCATCATGTCTTATCCCTTATTCAGGTAGCTGATCTAGGCTTGGGGGCTGGGCAGCTCTGCTATACTTAGCTTCTCACTGAGGTGCAGGCTCTGGTCATTCTAGAGAACAGGCTGAAAGGGCAGCAGCTACCTTGAGAAGGCCTTCTTGTGACGCTGGTGGGCAGTAAGAACAGATGCCCAAACAAACTAGCATTTTTTACTTGACACGTCTGGGCTCCATCATGGGACATGCTTAGGGCAATAGGATGTTAGCAGAGCCAAGGGGCAGAGAAACATGTACTGTGTATAGTGGGAAGGTACTGGAAAGGAATGTGGCATCTGGTGGCAAATCATGACCTAGGGAGCAAATCAAGACTAAGTCAGTCTACCACACAGACCAGTGCTACCAAGATAAGAGCATATATTGATGCTTGGTCCTCTCTTGTAATCATAGCTGGTCATCCCTGAAACCTAACACCAACGATGACCTCAAGCATACCTTAGGCACAAAAATGTTTATACTCCATAAGTAGTTATACCTATCTGTGATCCAGTCTTAACTACCCAGGTAGCCTACCTGCCATTATCTTCCCAGATTCTTTAACCTCCGCACCAAAGGTAACGGCTTCTAAATTTGGATTTTCCTTCCAGAATCCTTCCACTCAGCACATATTTTGAAAAGGACTTTGCTGGCTTTAATGAGTGCATCAAAAACTGGAATGACTTCAGGTTTTCACACAGCATGCTTTCTACTAGTCAAAGCAATTATTTGTGACACATTGGGTGTATCAGTGTTTTATTTCTGCTGAGAAAGAAGGGCTCCAAGAGTTCAAGGAAAGCCCTTTCCTTTTGTTATGGGGAGTTAGGCAGCAGGATTTCTGTCATTCCTTTTGAAATGAAATCTGTCAGAAACAGGAAGATTGCTCACTTTATCTTGATGGACATATTTTCCATTTCAATTAATATACTCTGTATTTTTTGGGTCACAGATTCCTGGCCTATCTGTGTGTTTTTTAGAGAAAGTTGGGGACAGAGGATGGAGGTTTGAATAGCTCATCAGTTGTATACTTCTAGTCTCAGCATCAGAATTCACTGACGCACGTTCAGCAGGTAAAAAAAAAATGTTGCTTTTTCAGCTCATTAAACAAGGACTCAAGTGTCTTTATTAAAAAAAAATATTGCAAGTACAGGGCCAAAAACTGCTTGCCTTGTTACAGAGGGTCAAATGATGTTTCATGGGGAACATGCTAGTAGGCTTGCATTCTTACTGGAAAAGAGACGGGGGTTGATTATTTTTAGGTAATTTATTCTGAAAACACAACCTGTTGAGAGAGAAGATGAGAATGCCATTGGAAGGTTATCCTCAACATGCAAGCAAAACAAAAATAATAAAAAAATCATTAGCAAAGATGACAACACTAGACCAAGCAGTGACCACACAGTACATATTTGGTTGTGTTTCAAGCCTTATTTGGGTAGAGGAAAAAAAAAAAAAACCAATGAAGAAATATAGGCCAATGTAAGACTCTGTTGACACAGAGAATGGCAGCATCTGAGGTTGAAAGGACGTATGCCTGTATCGCCCCTAATTATAGAACATCATCAGTGCTTCTTATTTCCCTCAAGACTCAGGCTTGCCCCCGGCACTATGTTCAATGGTCACTTAATGGTCTAGAAACATGGTTGAGAAAAAACATATTAACAGCAATCCAGTCACCAGAGCACCTGGATTTTCTCCTACCTTCTTTTATTCTTTCGTGTTCTGGTACAGTCTTGCCTTGTGTATATCAATGTATGTTTGTATTTATTGTGTCATTGCATTTGATAGGATTTTTCAAATTGAAAGCCTCAGAGCTTACGTAGGATTTGTGAGGCATTTTACTAAGAAAGTTGGGCTGCAAGTATTTTAAATGTTATTGAGTTTATTTTCAAATTTTAAGACTGACTGAGTTCATAATGTCTGAAACGGACTCCTTTCTATTCATTGATCTCCAGAGAAGAAAATAACAATCAATACTTTGTTTTTAACTTTTATTTTAAGTTCAAGGGTACATGTGTAGGTTTGTTACATAGGAAAACTTACGTCATGAGGGTTTGTTGCACAGATTATTTCATCACCCAGGTATTAAGCCTAGTACCCATTAGTTGTTTTTCCTGATCCTCTCCCTCCTCCCACCCTTCACCCTCAAGTAGGCCCCCGTGTGTGTCGTTCCCCTCTATGTGTCCATGTGTTCTCATCATTTAGCTCCCACTTATAAGTGAGACCATTCCAGCCAATGCTTTTTGAGTGCTTACTATGTGCTTACATTTTGCTGAGTGCTTTATGTTTATTCATTCAGTTTTCACAAGTATCTTATGAACTTGTTATGATCATTGTCACCATTTTACAGATAAGAAAACTGAAATATAGAGTGATGGAGTAATTTGTGCAGGTCACGTCAATAAGAAGTAGGGGAGCCAGGACTTGAATTCAGGCAGTCTGGCTCCAAAGTCTCTCACCAAACGATCATATCAGTTCTCACGTTCACACTGCACCTGGGCATTTATTTGTTTCTTGTACAAACTAGAAAGTGTCACCTACTTGAAGAGACAAATGTCTCCCATAATGTGGACACATCAGGACACGAGAACTGCATGCTCATAGGCAACATGCTCATAGGTATCTCCTCACTGGGAACGTCTGCTGTGTGCAGGAAAATGGTTCCAGAGTAGAAGTCCCACTCCTGGTCTATCAGGGTGGCCTCCAAATATATTAAAAGCACAACAATTTCTGCGGCTTCTGCCACTCTCACCCTGGTCCAAGCCACCGCCATCAGGGGTTGATGTAATGGCCCCTGAAATGCTTCTACCAGTACCCTCTCCTGTCATCAGCAGGGCAGCTGGATCACATGTCTACTTGTTCCACTCAGAACAAAAGACAAAGTCTTTCCAAGAGCCTGTGTGATCTGTGTCCCTCCTTCCCATCACTTCTTTACTCCTCACCACCCTGCCTGCAACCCCACATCCTTATCTGCGCCACTAGCCTTCAGATTGTTCCTGGGCAGGTTCACGTCAGGCACGTTATGCCTCAGGACCTTTGTGCTTCATGGTCCCTGTGTTGGAAGTGCTCCCCCCGAAACGTTTCCTGTTCCCTGCTGATCATTACAGCACCTTCACCCACCCACTCCACCCACTCAGCTCTCTATCCTTCCTCCCTGCCTTATTTTTCTCCCTAGTGTTTATAATGACTGGCTCTTCCATCTATTTTACTAATGTGTTAGTTTCTTCTTTGTCGCTGAACACTAGCGTGAACACTTTCTTTTTTGTCTGCTTTCTTTCCCAGTGCAATCCCAGAAATGAGAATCCAGTGGGCGTTTTACGAATTGACTAAATGAACAAATGAGTGCATTGTGGAGTTGTTTTGGAGAATTAAGTAAACTAGCATATGGAAAGCATTTGGAACAAACAATGCTTAGCATGAAATTAATGTTTAATAAATGTCAGGTATCAATAAAAGAATAACATAATAGTTATTGAATGAATGATGCATTAGATACTATTACTTGTTCCTGTGGTAGGAAGAGGGTAATCAAGCTCCAGAAGTTTTAAGTATGTTAACGTACATTTACAATGGTTGCTAGAGGAGATAATCAGGGACATCATTTGTGTCCTCTTTTCCTATTGTCTGGAGGGCGTACTATAATCCATCCTTCTCTAGGCAAGAGAGTGGCTCTCAAACTTCATTGGACTTGGGAATCACCTGCAGAGTTTTAAAAAATTGATCCTGGTTCCCATCCCAGATATTCTGATATGGTTAGTCCGGAGTGTAACTCGGGCATTAGGAGTTTTGAAATGCTCCCTGAGTGATTCTAATGTGCAGCAAAGTTTGGGAATCACTGCCTTAAGCTTTTCACAGAGCTAACAGCAGCAGAAGGAAAAGCCTTCCTCAGTCCCTCTCTATGCTTGGAACCGAGAGTTGCACCAACCTCGGTTCTAAAACACGTGTGACCATTAGCAAGTCACCTAGCTTCAGCAAGCTTTACCTTCCTCAATTTTATGTCTGCTGTGGAAAATGGTGAAAACTCAGAATTCAGGGCCAGGTTCCAAAAATGTGAATTTTCCTTCTTCCCTCTCTCCCTTCCTTTCATTCTTCCTTCCTCCCTCCCTTCTTTTCTTCTTTCTGTCCCCTCTTTCATCTGGAGGTAAAAGGACAGAATTGTTTTCAGATGTGGCTCAAAAATGGCTTGCTCTGAAATGGTGCTTTCTTACAGAGGGGACCAGAGAACCAAAGTGTCCACCATGCCTAGCTGGCCCCATTCTTCCCCAGGCATACCCAGCCATGCCTGTTTCAGCTTCAGGAGGGATCAATGTCTGAAGGTCAAGTTCCCACCCATTGGGGTCCACTGTGGGAGTATCAGAGGTCCTACTAGTGTCCTGGGTTCCAGCCCTGGCCTCCCCACTTCTTCCCTGTGTCTTAGTGCCTCCCAGCCTGGGGCCTTGTCTGAGGCTCCTACCCTGGTCACTGGGGCTCACACTGCATTGGTTTTGCTGGCTCACTCAGGGTCTGGAATTCTGTCCTCTGACACCCAGGCCTCTCCGTCTGATCTCCTGCCCACCTGAGTTCTGCCCACCTCTCTTCATCCATCCCAAGCATATACCATATCATGGTAGCTGCGTCTAATCTCTGGGTCCCGAAAAACACCTGCACCCACCCTATAGTGCCACCAATCTCAGCCTGGACTTTTCTATTAATAGAATGGTGGTGAGACACTGGGGATAGCACAATACTGGGGCCAGCATCACGGGTGTGTGACCCATTCAGTGACACAGGACCCTGGGCTGGGTTTCATGTTCTGCTGTCTTGAAATTAGTCATGTTTGAATGAGAGGCTCCACATTTTCATTTTGCACTGTTTCTGCAAATTATCTAATGTGCCCCACACTTCAAATCAGAAGACCTGGTATGGATTGCACCTGGCTTACACCTGAGAAAAGCGTGACCTTGGCCAAGTTATTTTTCCTATCTTGGCATTTGCAAAGAAGGAATGAGTGGGGTAAAACTGTCTCCATCGTAGGGGAATTTTAAGAATGAAATAAGGTAACAGATGAGTGTTAGCACATGGTGCACAACATGTTAGTTCTCAACTAACACTTCTCTTTTTCCTACTGTTCCACCTCCCAAGAAGCTAAGTCGAAAAGACACTTCCTTTCTGTTTAAAATGGATTTTAAATGTTTGTTTTCCTAGATAGTGATATATACCTAAAGGAAAGATCTTAGGAGTTGTCATTGATCTTACCTCATTCTTATTAATTATGCAGAAAGACAACAGGATTCCTTCTTTGCTATCTTTCTTTATTACATTGAACAATATGTTGTCCAGATGGCATATAGAGTAGCATCTTCCAAGATATTTTTAAATGATCTTCTTTTACTTATTGAAGAAGATTACAGGGAGAGAAATTTGAATTAAACCCGTGTCATTGAAATAATCTTAGCTTACATTACATTAAGGAGATTTCTATTATTCAGACTAATAACTTTTCCCCAAAAGAAGGCTGCCTTGAACAATGTGCATGAGTGAAGACTTCATCAAGAGTCATGGGAGTGAGTCTTTGGCCCAACCCTCTGGCATACCAGCCATGGGCCCTTAGTGACAATAAACTAGTATTTTGATCTCAGTTTTCTTATTGGTAAAATCCACAAAATAATACCAGTTCTGCCCTCTCATTCTCAATTTGTGTATCAAATTAGGTATTTGTGGAAGTATTTTGAAAATTTTTGAATGCTATACAAATTTTGAGTTGGGATTATTGATAAGACTTCTGAAGTTTAGGTGTTAATGAAAAGATTCATTTGAACCACTTGAAAATCTTTCCGGAGAACAAATGCCAAGAGTTAAGTTCTCAACTTCTTTGGAAATGGAGATGTGTTTGACAACAGGATAGTGTGTCACCACCAAAATAATCCACTTCAATTTTACTGCGGCCAGAAGCCATAGGTATTACCTTCTAAATGTCTGAAACCCTCTGAGGCTGTTTCTAAGCATATCAGTTATAACTTAACAGCTTTTCACAAAGAAATCTCTTTTTCTCTACTTATTAATTCAAGTACTAATTGAGAATGTACTATGTGCCAGATACAGTTCTAGGCACCTGAGATAAATCAGTGAATAAAACCAAGTTCCTTGCCCTCATAGAGTGTATGTTCCAGTGTATAGAGCAAAACAACAAAAATAACCATAAAATTAAGTATACTGTTGACCCTTGAACAACATGGGGCTTGGGGCGCCAACCCCACATGCAGTCAAAAATCCACGTATAACTTTGGATGCCCTCAAAACTCAATTACTGATAGCATACTGTTGACCAGAAGTCTTACCAATAACATAACAGTTGATTAACATATATTTTGTATGTTATATGCATTATACTCATATACTGTATTCTTACAATAAAGTTAGAGAAAACAAAATGTTATTAAGAAAGTCATAGGGAAGAGAAAATATATTTATTAATCATTAAGTAGAAGTAGATCATCATAAAGTTCTCCATCCTCATTGTCTTTACATTGAGTAAGTTAAGAAGGGGAAGGAACAACAGGGGATGGTCTTGCTGTCTCAGGGGTGGCAGAGGAGGAAGAAAATCTATGTATAAGTGGACCTGTGCAGTTCAAACCTGTGTTGTTCAAGAGCCAACTGCATTCTACAGCACGTTAGCATGTGATTAGTGCTGTGGGGAACAAAGAAGTAGAAGGGCATAAAGGGGATCAGGCATGTTGGGGAGCAGGGTTGCATTTTTAAAATGTATGGCCAGGACAGTCCTCTTCAAGGTCATATGTGAGCACAAGCTTGAGCGAGGTGAGGCTGGGCCATATGCATATCTGCAGGATAGGCATTCCAGGTTCGAGGAACAGCCAATGCAAAAGCCTGAAGCAAAACTGGCCCAAGTAGGCCACGAAAGAAGCATGACTATGGGTCTCCCCAGATCTTTCTCACTCTCTACCAAAAAACAGGTTTTGAAATTAAAGAGAATATGATTGCCAGGCCAATGCCTAAGACATACATTGATGCCTTGTTTCTCTTGTATGTGCTTTCTCCACAGTCACATGACACAGGCAATCCCTTTTGACGACCCTCGGTTAGAGAGCTGCCAAATCATCCCTCCGGCTCCTCGGAAGGTGGAGATGAGAAGGGACCCCGTGCTGGGATTTGGTTTTGTGGCAGGCAGTGAAAAGCCAGTGGTCGTTCGCTCAGTAACACCAGGTAAGCACCCAATCCCAGTTCTTGGTTTCCTGGGAATGTCTGCCACACTCTGCCAGAATAACTACTGTTCAGTTTCATAAGTGTCCAGGCTGTGAAAGCTGGATATGTTTTTCCAAAACCTGGATAGAGTCACTTCACCAGAGGAACAGAAATGCTTCCTCAAACTAGGTTTTAAACTGCCAAATCCATCATTATCACCAGACTCAGGAAAATACTGAGCCATCATCTATAACCATGGAAATGAATCACTTCTTAACTTATGAATGCAGACAAGAAGAGGCAGGCCCTGTACTGTATTACAGTAAGCCCATGATGAATTCCTTAGTGAAAAAAAGGAGGAAGTGGTTACAGTAGGATTTAGTCATAGGGGTAGTTGGATTATTTCACAAGTATGCACTCCCCTCCCTTCTCATTAGAGGCAAAATAAAGGGAAAACCATACTCCATTGCTGTTGGGCTGGATCAGGTGATTGACAATGGCCAACGGCATATTAGCAAAGATGACATAAGCAAAGGCTTGAGACGTGCTTGTGCAATTGAGCTTGTTTCCTGAGCTTCTGCCATGGCTATAAGAAGAGAGTTTTTGGCTGGGTGCAGTGGCTCACGCCATAATCCCAGCACTTTGAGAGGCCAAGGCTGGTGGGTCACTTGAAGCCAGGAGTTTGAGACCAGCCTGGCCAACATGGCAAAACCCCATCTCTACTAAAAAGACAAAAAATTAGCCAGGTGTGGTGGCGCTTGCCTGAAGTCCCAGCTACTCGGGAGACTGAGGCATGAGAATCGCTTGAACCCAGGAGGGAGAGGTTGCAGTGAGCTGAGATTGTGCTACTGCACTCCAGCCTGGGCAACAGAGTGAGACCCTGTCTCAAAAAAAAAAAAAAAGAGTTTTCCCCAGGTAGCTGTGATCTCTTCCATATGAGCCCCATAATGAACACACGAGGCAGCAAGCCTGCAGTGGGGAGCCAAGTACAGCCTCATCTGCAGTTTGGTACACAACTGTCCAGCTAAGCCTAGCTGAAATCAGCCAGCCTGTGGTTATCCTAAAGACCCATAAGCATGAGAAGAAATGATCATTGGTCACCTGTTGAGCTTGGGGGTGATTTGTTATCCAGCAGATGCTGACTAATACAGTATATGTCAAATCTTTAAAATTCTACAATATGATTAGATAATTAATGTACTTTCCCTCAATCTTCGTATTACAGTATACAGATGTTCCGCTGTCAACACAGCTGAATACAGTGGACTATGATGCAATCGCCTGAAGTGGGCTGCCTTTACCTTTCCAGAAACAATGTGCTTTTATTATTTATTTATTATATATGTATTTATATGCTTACTGTAATGGACTCATATTGGATTTATTTTCAGAAAAAAAGGGGAATTATCTTCCATGCCCTTTCTTCATAGGATTTTGCAAATCAGTAACAGGATTCAGCAGTAAAGTACTACACTTAGGAGCACAGACTCTGGCATCAGACTGCCTGAATCTGACTCCTACCTCTGCCCCTTTTTAGACTTTTTAGCTTCCATGTTAAATTCCCTGCATTTCAGTTTGATGTAACTTCTCTACATCTTCTGTATAATGGGGATCAGAGTAGTATCTACCTTGTAGGGCTATGGAAAGGATGCAATAAATTAGAAGAGTGCCAGGCACATCCTGGTCATTCCATAGATGTTTACTTTTATTGTTATTGTTATTTAACTCTAAAATGTTTGGCCAGTTGAGTGTCTCAATTAAGGGAAACGAAACTCAAGTAGCGTCCTGGTATAGATTTTAAAATTTGGTTTCATTTTTCGTTTTTCATTATTTTGACATAATATGCCCCAGGGCAAGCACCACAAATAATTAACCACTTTAGACTTGTGCTATCTGCTAAACTTTTTTATTTCATTAAATGTAGATCATATTTTAGTTCTCTGTGTAAGATTGTTGAGCTCGACACAATTGAGAATTCTCAAAACAGATCTGTTGCTTCTTATGATAACATGCTTTGTAAAAAAAAAAAATAGAAACAATGTAGATAGTATAGAGGAGAAAGTAAAAAAAAAAATCACCTAAATTCCTACTACCAAGATATAGCCATTATTGATGTAGACAGCAATAATATGTATAGTAGATATAATTCCGTGCATACACAAACACACATATGTAATACATATGAGATCATATATTTTACACATACATAATACATATATATAGATGTATGTATGTATATGCAGACACATTTTTTCCTAAATGGAATAATATTTGGCATGCTGTTTTATAATATTGGGATAATCTAACATCTCTGATTATGAGATTCTCCGAAGTATGTGTCTTCCCAGGAGCTGAATGAAGATTCAAGTCTTATTTTTTATTTTTTGGTATCATCTCACTGTTTCTACAACCTCTCTCCTTCCTGGCCCTCAATTCTCCTTAGCTTCAAAGACACTAATACCTACTCTTACACAATTTTGAGAAGAGTAGAAAAAAGGTAAAAACAAAGGTCAAAGAGTACTATTTCCAGTTATTGTTATGAGTGAAAACATTGGTCAAACAAGCTGTGTCTATCATAAAAATGACTCTACAGAAGTCCCAAGTGATTTCAGTGCGTGACTAGATTTTCTGTAGTAGGCAATCCAGACTTCAAAGTAAAGGCCATGAGACAGTTCTCTTGAAGTGTGCCACTGTTTTGTATTTTGGATGGGACAGTGTGTCTCTTCTCCAGAATTCTTGATTAAAGTTGCTTGATTAGACAAGAATAGTTTCATTTGATCAAAAAGCATGGGTCAAATATAAGAGTATGTTAATCTGAGAGTGGTTTTCTTATTAGAATAGTTAACATTCGTCCTTCAGTTACTTTGAAAGTTTTTCTGTATTTGATCAGCGTTTGATTGCTACCCATTTGTTTGACTGAATTTGAGTGATTACTTGCACATAATACTTATAATAAGTTTCCCAAGTGGTTTTTCTGAGTTCCTTATGTGTGCAAACACTGAATCCCACATCTGTAAAATGAATATTTTGTATCAGTAATATAAGGACATGTTAAGTTTCTCCTACTCTCTTACTTCCCGGAAGGAAGACAAATTTATGCTACAGCTTGAATGACACATATGCCTCGTATCTGGGTGGGTAGAGAACAACTGAATTACTTTCAGTTCCATGTTCTGGGTATGAAGTGTTCATTTCAATTACTAAATGAAGTAATAGCAATAATATTTGAAAGATAGCGTTTCAGCTGCAACTATCACCCAGAGTCAGACCTGTGGAAATATAGTTAAAATTATAGTACCATATGCTACCGTATCAATATTTGGGAGGTAATTGCACATGTCTAGAGCTTAATTCAGGTAATTGTTTTTATATCTTACTTAAATATAGATGTATGCTTCACTCAGATGTGGTTTTAAGTTTATGTGTCAAGAAACCTGGCAGTGACTAGGTTCTGAATTATAGGAACAAATTCAAAAGGGACATTCACCATTCTGAACTTGGAAGAGTCCAAGCTAAGATCTAGTCCGTCCTTCAAGTCAATTCTTTAACCTGTGTAAGCCTCAATTATCTCATTATATGGAAGGCATTATAGTATTCAGTGAAGTTACTAGGCCAAGAATTTAACCCATTGCCTGGTGCATAATAAATGCTGAACAAATATTAGTTTCCTACTCCCTTCTTGGAAACAACGGAAAGAGAAAAGGGCCAGGCACAGTGGCTCAAGCCTGTAATCCCAGCATTTTGGGAGGCTGAGGTGGGAGGATTGCTTGAGCCCAGGATTTTGAGACCAGCCTGGGCAACACAGTGAGATCTTGTCTCTACAAAAAGTAAACAGGGCCGGGTGTAGGGGCTCACGCCTGTAATCCCAGCACTTTGGGAGGCTGAGGCGGGTGGATCACGAGGTCAGGAGATCGAAACCATCCTGGCTAACACGGTGAAACCCCGTCTCTACTAAAAATACAAAAAATTAGCTGGGCATGGTGGCGGGCGCCTGTAGTCCCAGCTTCTGGGGAGGCTGAGGCAGGAGAATGGCATCAACCCGGGAGGCAGAGCTTGCAGTGAGCCGAGATCGTGCCACTGCACTCCAGCCTGGGCGACAGAGCAAGACTCCATCTCAAAATAAATAAATAAACAAACAAACAAACAAAATTAGCCGGGTGAGTGGTGTGTGCCCATGGTCCCAGCTACTCAGCAGGCTGAGGTGGGAGGGTTGCTGGAGGGATGCACATGGAGCTGTGAGGGAGGAAGGGGACACCTGCCTAGCCAGCCAGATCAGCTGAATCAACCCTGGCGATCAATGGGGCAACAGATGACACAGCCAGATCACCTTCACATCCGAACACCCTTTTACTGAGATATCTTACGATTCCCCACAGTATGCTGTCTCCCTACTTGTAATAAGTACATAAATGCACCTTTGTTTGAATCCAGCTGTGCCGAATTGTTGCAGCTTTGGCCACAGGGTATCAACACAACTGATTGGCTACCTGTTGAGAGAATAGCTCCTTCTAGGGGCCTCACCACACACACACACACACAATATGGCCTGTTGACCAGCAGCATCAGCAGCACCTGGGAGCTTGTGAGAACTGCATTATCTCACCCCGCACCCCCGCATGGTAACAAGATCCCCAGGTGATTCACCATAAAGTGTGAGAAGCACTGCTAGACTGAGTCTCGACCTTGCTTGCAAAGTTTTAGAAAAATGTGGATGCCTGGGTCCCATCCCGAAAGATTCTGATTTAACTGGTCAGGGTAAAGCCTGGGCCTCAGAATTGTCCAAAGAACACCCAAGTGTGGTTGGGTTTCGGTTTTGCTGATAGCACCATTTGCTCACAGTGAATCATGATCAGGAGAGGAGGCTTGGGATAGGTTGCTAATGGTCTTCTCACCTGTGCTTCATTCTATTTGTCTCCAGGTGGCCCCTCTGAAGGCAAGCTGATCCCGGGAGATCAGATTGTAATGATTAATGATGAACCGGTCAGCGCTGCACCCAGAGAGCGGGTCATCGATCTGGTCAGGTGAGTGACTCATTCACCTGTGTCCTGTTCTGCTTTGAAGGCTGCTGCACAGCTCTGAGGTCTCAATTAGCAGAGGAAGAGCCTCCTGTGGGACAATTTAGGATGGAAATGCAAGCCAACACATACACATGGTTGAAAATGCTGCTGACACTGACCTGTAATATCAAAACACATACTCCATAAACACAAAACTCCTAATTGTCCACTCTCTGTTAACATTGAAGGTACATATGCCTCAGTTTAAAATTTTTATGACTCCTATATCCAAAGGTTCATTTTTTCCTTCCAGAATTACTAACACATTGATTTTTCATAATCAGGGAGATCAAAACACAATACCTGAATTCAGCACAAAGTGATGAGTAATTTTATATACATAATCCCATGGATATACAAACATACAGTTCACTGATACTTCATATTTGACTAAGTGCTTCATTACTGAAATTTGAGATTATCAACTGTGGCAATAGGATAATTAGGTCAAAGCTAAGAGTTTACAAAATACAAGTGGTTTATTGGTTTAGTTTTATTGTAAATATAAGTAGTTTGTTATGTGATATTCTTAATGGGGCACCAGAAAATGTATTTTATGTTATGTTAAAAAATATTGGTCAAGAATCCCTTTAGAAGCCCACTGGAGTTATACCTCCTTAGTGAATTTAAGGGAAAAGAGTTCTTTAGAAGTTTTTTAAATGAAGAAGCTGGGCCTATCATATGAATGGATCCATTCATTCTATGGGAGTGTTGAGGAATAAGGAGACATGACATTTGTCTTTTATAAACTCATATTTTCAACCAAGATTGAAGCCAAAGCTGAGGTTATCAGAACACTTTTCACTGAAGAGGGGATTTCCTAACATTTATGCTCACTCATTACGGAAAGTGTTAGGTTGGTGCAACAGTAATTGCTGTTTTTGCCATTGAAAGTAATGGCAAAAACTTCAATTACTTTTGCACCAACCTAATACATCTGTACTTTGGGAAAGGCACTAAGTGGAGTATTTCTGGGGTCTTTCAGAGAAAGTTTCTTTCTCAAGCCTAGTTCAGCTTTTGCTTCACAAAGAGGTTCTGGAGGGTCAAGCACTCTTGGAAGAACTGGGAGAGGAGCAAAAAGAGAAATAGAAAGAGAAGGCACTTAAGAGTAAGCAACCATCCTAGTTTTAGCATGTAAAAGGCCCATGTCCCAGGGAAACTCTGGAATGGTTGGTCACTGCTATGGTCTGAATGTTAGTGCCCCCTCAAAATTGTTATGTTGGAACCTGATACCCAGTGTGATTGTATTAATAGGTGGGGCCTTTAGGGAAGTGATTAAGTCATGAGGTCTCTGCATCGTGAATGGGATTAGTATCCTTATAAAAAGTTGAAGAGAATTGCCTTGCTCCTTCTCCCATGTAAAGACACAGTGACAAAGTACTGTCTTTGAGGAATGTGGCCTTTACCAAACACCAAATCTACTGGAAGATCTTGGACTTCACTGCCTCCAGAACTGTGAGAAATAAATTTCAATTATTCACAAATTACCCAGTCTAAGGTACTTTGTTGTAGCAGCTCAAACAGACTAAGACAGTCACTCTACTTCAGTCTGGGCTTAATGGAGTCTTCCCAGATGGCTAGAAAAGTCATACTTGTACTCCTGGGGCATCCAGATCTCCAAGGAATGGTCTTACACAGGAGCAGACACTGAGACTTGTGTCATATTCACTATGCATCGGGAACAAGACCTGAGAATGTCTCCAATCTTTCTATGGACAAGGGGAGCCAGAATATAGAAAGACTCTGTATGTAAGAGCCCTTGGGAAGGAGCTGCAGTGTTCATCTGGAATAACTTCTCTCTTGAGATGTGTGTGGGTGTCAGCAGGGGCATACCTTATCTAGGCAGGCTCTGAGCCTTCTATCGGCTTGCATCCTGGAATGCCATGTTTGGGCTTGATGGCAGAAGTTGCATGGATGTTTTGTTTTCCCCTAGGTGCGCACCTCTGTGATTAGTCCTATTGATTTTTGTGCCTGGAGGATGATAGAAGAAATAAAATATCTGTGTTTAGGTTGGCTGTGACTTAATTGCCTGCTGCAGGGCAGTGACAGAGAAAAACCTATCTGAAAGTGTGATCACTTCCTAGCAGTTGTTCCAGGGACTTTTAGAAAGATTATTTCCAAGAAAGATATTTTATTTCTGGTTTAACGCTTGTAGAAGAAAATGGCATATCTGTAAAAAAAGCGCTCTCTATAGAACTTTACATATAACAAAATGAACCAGTTAAAAGAGAGGATGGCAAACAGCTCCAAGTTCAAATCCAGCCTGCCACGTGTTTTTGTAAAGTCCATCAGCTAAGAAAGGTAGGTTTTTTTATACGATTTTTTAAAAGTTGAAAAAATATATTTTGTGACACATGGAAATCATATAAAATTCAGATTTTAGTATCCATAAATATTTTGCTGGGTATAGCCATGTTTGCTCATTTGCATTTTATCTATGTCTGCTTTCCTGCTACAATAACAGAGTTGAGTAGTTGCAACAGAAACTGTCTGGCTCACAACCTTTTCACTCTTACTAAACCACAATGTTAAAATAATGTATGTCTCACTAATGAAAATGATCACACATTACAAAATATTCCTGTGCCTTCCCATAAGTTTAGTCATCTGTCTGCCATAATGTGTACTAACCTAAACACTTAGCTCTTGTAAAATAATCCCCTTTTTACTGGGCTCCTCAGCTGATATATGTTTTAAGGTCTATATCTTACACAAGATAAATTCCCTTTCTGTATAATAAAAAACATCCCGTTTTCTTAGCCACTAAGGAAATTTGGAAAAACACTCATCATTTTGATAACACTGTAAAATTCTCTCTTTAAAAATTGGCATCCATTTGCTGGCTTTAGTGGTGTAGTCTTGTTTTGTTCCTTTTCCCCCATTGCAGCATGTGTTCATGGATCATTTTTTGTTCCCAGATCCATTTGTGTTTCTTGGTGGATTATTTTTCTTATCATTTAGTTACTCTATTATGGAAAATTATTTTTTTCTTGAGAAAATGAAAGAGTTTTGCAGAGACCAATTTACTGCTATACTAACAACATTTTGGTTTTTTCATGTAGTCTCAAAAAGCTATAATTGCTGCACTGAAATTAGATGAATTCTGTTCACTTCATAGTCTTCTAAGTTGTTAACTCTAACTCAGACTGTATAATGGTGTTTGAGGACTAAAATCTTTGAAGAATCCATGCCCTTTACAAATTACCATATCTTTCTTCTTTAAAAGTATCTAAGGATAATTTTCTTTTCACAATTAGACTAATTAACTGAAAGCAGTCTCCAAAATTTTATTTTTAAAAAGTAAGGAGTATTATTGCCCATAGAAACATTATGAATTGTGCCTTGCCTTCCCACTCCCACGGCTAGCCAGCCCAATTAAATTCATTTGACTTCAACAAAGAATTATTGAGGATTAACAGACATCATATAAGGCACTGAGCATGTATAGATACGTAGGCATGATTCTTGCCCTCAAGGAGAAGAATTCTAATTAATTTCCATATATTTATGACTGGACAATGCTGTTGGCGAGGGTAGTATTTGGTAGGAATGTTTGGTGGAGATGGATGGTGTATTAAGGGATATTATTGATGCTGGTAAAGAGTAGCCATCAACGCGAAGTGGAAGGGCAGGTTTATGCATGAGAAGGGAGTTGTAAAGTAGATCTTTCCTTTGACCCTAGAAACCCCAGACCTTCTTGATGGACACTCACTTTCCAACCTGCAGATATTGAAAAAAAAACCATTGCCTAGGTGGCTGTCCCGAATCACAACCTCAAAATTTGGTCCTTCAAGGCAGCAACATAAATCTACTAACTCCTGTTAGAATGGGTGCACTAGATTTTTTGGATTAGAGATGCAACTGGGAACCTGATAAATGCCATAGACTTTTCCCTCCATCCAGAGAAACCCACGTGTATACAAAGTTCTGCATACAATATTAGAATGGTTTTTGACTCCCTAAAGTTAGTCCCAGTTTTAGAGCCGGGGCAGCAGACTCTAAGAATGCTGTCTCTCTTCCTCCCCTTCTCCCCCTTCCTCAGTACCAGATGCTAACATTGAAGAGTCAAGCTTATAAACAACTTGCTCTTATCCTTTTCTATCAAAGCAGTTGAAGTGGAAAATTGCCCATCCCATAATAAGAAGGTACACTGGTCAAACTGGAGACTAATTCCCCTTTCTCCCAACATCTGTAATAGGGCAGCTAACTATCCCTCCATCTGCCCTTCTCCCACTATTTATGTTGATTATTCCTACTAATCTAATTGATGAGCAGTGTTATAGTTATGGCTATTTATCTACAGAGGGTTGCTCACATCTGTCAGACATGTCACCCCTTCTATACTAATACCCTGGGAATTGGAGAGCTTTCCTGGGTAGCGGTAGTGTTCTTTCAATAAGAAAGTAACTGTAATAAGAAATAAGAATAAATGATAGGGGAGTGACATTAACAAGGTGGCAAAATGAGGTCCCCCACTGGTATCCCCCATAGCAACTATAATTTGGCAGCCACCTATGGACAAAAGTGGCTTTGTGGGAGTTTTGGAATCCAAGTAGGTCACTAAACCCTGGTGGAGCCCAAGACTGAGGAGGGCCATTTTGAGAAGGCAGACCCACCCAGGCCTTGGTGGCAGACTCACTGACTATGATCCCAAATACAGACCCAGAAACAACCACATCCCCCCGTGGAGTTGGCTACAGCCCTGTTTGGCCTTAGTCCTACCACTGGCATTATCCATCAAGGGACCCGGGAAGAGTCATACCTACCTTGGCCTTGGGTAACAGATCTGCTGACCTTGGCCCCAGTTGTGGACCCTAGAGTGGCTTGTGACCAAGCTCCAGCCTCTCTCAGCCATTGTCTGCGAGCAGTCCCACCTGTCCTGGGACCTGCTGGGAAATAGGCCAGTTCATACCCCCAGAGGTAGGCCTAATGAACTTAGTTCCACAGATTTTGAAACAGCCCCATAATTCAGCTCCAGCCTCTCTCAGCCATAATCTAGGAGCAGTCGTGCCCACCCAGGGACACCCTGTGTCCCCTCAGGCAGGCCTACTGACCTCCATCTGAATGTGGATCCTGAAGTGGCCCCATAACCTGGCCCTAGCTCCTCTCAGCCATGGTCAGGGAGACAGGCTTCTCTGTGCCCTAGAGGCAGACTTGCCAACCTTGATCCAACTGCAGATCCTGAAACAGCCCTGAAACTCAATTCCAGCCACTCTCATCTGGTATTCAGGAGCAGTCCTGATTCCCCGACTCCACCTAGGGACCTGTTGAGTGACATGCCCATTTGTGCCACCACAGGCAGGCCTGCTAGCCTTGGTCCAACTACAGATCTTAAAGCAACACTGTGATCCAGCTCCAGCCCTGCACAGCCACAGTCCTTCCCACCCAGGAAACCACGAGGAAGCATGTCCATCTGTGTCCCCAGAAGCAGGCCTGCGGATCTTGATCTTGACTGTGGACCCTGAAGTAGCCCTATGACTCATTTCCAGCCCCTCTCAACCACAGTCCAGGACCAGTTATGCTTACTCAGAAACCTACCCAATGGTCCAGCAATAACCCTCCCAGGGATCAGGTGGAAGCTACAATGATCTGTGTACCTAGTAACAGGCCGATGATCTGTGGAACCTTGTCCCAGCATCAGCCCAATTAATGAAGATCCTAGAAGCATTCCAGTCCACTCAGGAATGAGATAGGATCCATGCTCTCCCAAGGCTCTGGAAATAGGCCTACCCCCCATTGCAAGACCCCATTGCAGATCTAGCAGTAGTCACATGATCTAGCTCTACTGTAATTGCAGAGGCAATCTCATCAGTCAACAAGAGAAGGTCTTTACCTGCTGAAACCAGTCTATAAAGACCAGTCTGTAAAAACTGGAAATCTAGCAGACCCCATTGCAAATACAGCAGTAGTCACATGATCTGGCTCCACTACAATTGCAGAGGCAATCTCATAAATCAACAAGATAAGGTATTTACTAGCTGAAACCAGTCTATAAAGACCAGCCTATAAAGACTGGAAGAGGGCCGGGTGCAGTGACTCAAGTTTGTAATCCCAGTACTTTGGGAGGCCGAGGTGGGTGGATCACTTGAGGTTAGGAGTTTGAGATCAGCCTGGTCAACATGGTGACATCCAGTCTCTACTAAAAATACAAAAAGAAAAAAAAATAGCCTGCTGTGGTGGTGTGTGACTGTAGTCCCAGCTACGCCGGAGGCTGAGATGGGAGGATCGCTTGAACCCAGGAGGCAGAGGTTGCAATGAGCCACGATCACACCAGTGGACTCCAGCCTGGGCAACAGAGCAAGACTCTGTCTAAAAAAAAGAAAACAAAACAAACAAACAAAAAAAACGACTGAAAGAGATGTTTGCCCTCTCAAATGCACAGATACCAACTCAAGGCTACATGAATCACGAAGAATCAAGCAAACATGACACCACAAAAGGAAACTATTAAGGCTTCAATAAGCAGCCCCTAAGATATATCATTTGAGATATATAAATTACATGAAAAATAATACAAAATAATCACCTTAATGAAGCTCAGTGGGATACAAGAGAACACAGACCACCAAGAAAAACAAAAAGCAATACATAAACAAAATAAAAAGTTTAATAAAGAAATACAGGTCAGGCGTGGTGATTCACATTTGTAATTCCAGCACTTTGGGAGGCCAAGGCAGGCAGATGGCTTTGAGCCCAAAAGTTCAAGACTAGCCTGGGCAACATGGCAAAACCCCATCTCTACAAAAATTAGCCAGATGTGGTGGCCCGAATCTGTAGTCCCAGCAACTTGGGAGGCTGAGGTGGGAGGATGACTTGAGCCCAGGAGGCAGAGGTTTCAGTGAGCCAAGATCACACCACTGCACTGTAGCCTGGGCAACATAGCCAGACCCTGTTTCAAAAAAAGAAAAGAAAAGAAAGGAAAAAGGAAAGGAAGTAATAAGGAAAGGAAAAAGGAAAGGAAGGGAAGGGAAGTGAAGGGAAGGGAAGTGAAGGGAAGGGAAAGGAAGGGAGAAAGAAAGAAAGAAAGAGAGAGAGAGAGAAAGAAAGAAAGAGAAAGAAAGAAAGAAAGAAAGAAAGAAAGAAAGAAAGAAAGAAAGAAAGGAAGGAAGGAAGGAAGGAAGGAAGGAAGGAAGGAAGGAAGGAAAGAAGGAAAGAAAGAAGGAAAGAAGAAGAAAAGAGGAGAAGAGAGGAGAGGAAAGGAGAGGAGAGGAGAGGAGAGGTGAACTATAAAAAGAACCAAACAGAAATCCTGGAGCTAAAGAATACAATGACAAAACTAAACATTTTAATAGCTTCAACAGCAGACTCAATTATGCAGAAGAATCAGCAAATGTGAAGACAGGCTATTTGAAATTACCCAGTTAGAGGAACAGAAAGTAAAAAGAATAAAAAAGAGTAAAGGAAGCATACAGGTCCTATGAGATACCATCAATTGAATGAATATATGCATTATGGGAATATTAGAAGGAGAAAAGGAAAAAAGGGGAAAAAGCTTATTTAAAGAAATAATGGCTGAAACGTCCTAAATCTTGGAAGGGATATGGACATCCAGATTTATACAAATCAAAGGGTCTCAAGCAGAATCAATCCAAAGACTACTCTAAGACACATTATAACCAAATTTTTAAAAGCCAAACACAGACATAGAATATTGCCCCTAAGAGATATCATTTGAGATATATAAATTACATGAAAAATAATACAAAATAATCACCTTAATGAAGCTCAGTGGGATACAAGAGAACACAGACCACCAAGAAAAACAAAAAGCAATACATAAACAAAATAAAAAGTTTAATAAAGAAATACAGGTCAGGCGTGGTGATTCACATTTGTAATTCCAGCACTTTGGGAGGCCAAGGCAGGCAGATGGCTTTGAGCCCAAAAGTTCAAGACTAGCCTGGGCAACATGGCAAAACCCCATCTCTACAAAAATTAGCCAGATGTGGTGGCCCGAATCTGTAGTCCCAGCAACTTGGGAGGCTGAGGTGGGAGGATGACTTGAGCCCAGGAGGCAGAGGTTTCAGTGAGCCAAGATCACACCACTGCACTGTAGCCTGGGCAACATAGCCAGACCCTGTTTCAAAAAAAGAAAAGAAAAGAAAGGAAAAAGGAAAGGAAGTAATAAGGAAAGGAAAAAGGAAAGGAAGGGAAGGGAAGTGAAGGGAAGGGAAGTGAAGGGAAGGGAAAGGAAGGGAGGAAGAAAGAAAGAAAGAGAGAGAGAGAGAAAGAAAGAAAGAGAAAGAAAGAAAGAAAGAAAGAAAGAAAGAAAGAAAGAAAGAAAGAAAGGAAGGAAGGAAGGAAGGAAGGAAGGAAGGAAGGAAGGAAAGAAGGAAAGAAAGAAGGAAAGAAGAAGAAAAGAGGAGAAGAGAGGAGAGGAAAGGAGAGGAGAGGAGAGGAGAGGTGAACTATAAAAAGAACCAAACAGAAATCCTGGAGCTAAAGAATACAATGACAAAACTAAACATTTTAATAGCTTCAACAGCAGACTCAATTATGCAGAAGAATCAGCAAATGTGAAGACAGGCTATTTGAAATTACCCAGTTAGAGGAACAGAAAGTAAAAAGAATAAAAAAGAGTAAAGGAAGCATACAGGTCCTATGAGATACCATCAATTGAATGAATATATGCATTATGGGAATATTAGAAGGAGAAAAGGAAAAAAGGGGAAAAAGCTTATTTAAAGAAATAATGGCTGAAACGTCCTAAATCTTGGAAGGGATATGGACATCCAGATTTATACAAATCAAAGGGTCTCAAGCAGAATCAATCCAAAGACTACTCTAAGACACATTATAACCAAATTTTTAAAAGCCAAACACAGACATAGAATATTGAAAGCAGCAAGAGAAAAGCAACTTGTCACATGCAAGAAAACCCTTATAAAACTATCAGTGGATTGCTCATCAGAAACCTTGCAGGCCAGGAATGGATGATATATTCAAAATGCTAGGAAGAACCGCCAACCAAGAATACTTAGCCAGGGGCAGTGACACCCACCTGTAGTCTCAGCTATTTGGGAGGCTGAGGCTAGAGGATCACTTGAACCCAGGAGTTTAAGACCAGCCTGGGCAACACAGTGCGATCCCATCTCAAAAAGAGAATACTATACACAACAAAGCTGTCCTTCAGAAATGAAAGAGACGGAAAGATATTCCTAGACAAAAGCTGAGGGAGTTCATTGCCAGTATATCTGCCTTAGAAGAAATGCTACAGTGAGTTCTTCAGGTTGAAATGAAAGGATGCTAAGTAACTACCTGAAAACATGAAAGTATAAATCTCACTGGTAAGGGAACTACATAGTTAAATTCAGAGTACTCTAATACTGTAATGGTAGTGTATAAATCACTTTTAACTACAGTATGAAAGTCGAAAGACAAAAGTATTAAAAAATAACTACAGCTACAACTTGTTAATGAAAATACAACATGTAAAGTATTACATCAATAACATATAATTTGGGGGCAGGGAGAGTTAGACGTGTAGAGTTTTGTATACAATTGAAATTAGGTTGTTATCAGCTTAAAATTAACTATTATAACTATAAGGTGTTTTATGTAGGCCTCATGGTAACCACAAAGAAAAAACTATTAGTAGATACACAAAAGATAAGGAGAAAGGAATCAAAGTATATCATTACAAAATATTAACAAATCACAGAAGAATACAGCAAGAGAGGAATGAAGTGACAAAGGCACTACAAAACAGCCTGAAAACAATTAACAAAATAATAATAGTCAAACAATAGTTAGTTTGTTCAATAGTTAGTTTGACAATACTCCAACCTTTGTATAATAGGAATCGCAGAAGGAGAAGAAAGAGAAAAGGGGCCAGAAAGTATATCTTTAAAAATAATGGCTGACAAATGAGATTACATCAAGCTAACATCTTCTGCACAGCAAAGGAAACAATCAACAAGGTAAAAAGACAACTCATAGGATGGGAGAAAATATTTGCAAACTATTCATCTGACAAGGGATTAATAATAATAATATATAAGGAACACAAACAGCTCAATAGGAAAAAAAAGAATAATCCAATTAAAAGTGGGCAAAAGATCTGAATAGACATTTATCAAAAGAAGGCATAGAAATGACCAACAGGTATATAAAAAATGCTCAACATCACTAATCACCAGAGAAATACAAATCAGAACCACAGTGAGATGTCATCTCACCACAGTTAAAATGGCTTTTATTAAAAGACAGGCAATAACAAATGCTGGAGAGGATGTTGAGAAAGGGGAACCCTCATACCATCACTGTTGGTGGGAATGTAAATTAGTACAGCTACTAGGGAACACAATATGGAGGTTCCTCAAAAAACTAAAAATAGAACTACCATATTATCCAGCAATATCACTACTAGATACATATTCAAAATAAAGGAAATCAATCTATCAAAGAGATATCTGCACTCTCGTGTTTATTGCAGCACTATTCACAATAGCCAAAATATGGAATCAACCTAAGTGTTCATCAATGGATGAATGGATAAAGAAAATGAATGTAGTATATATACACGGTAGAATATTATCCAGCAATAAAAAAAAATCCTTTATTTGCAGCAACATGGATGAAACTCCAGTTCATTATGTTAAGTGAAATAAGCCAGACACAGAAAAACAAATATTGCATGTTTTTATTAATATGTGGGAGCTAAAAAACTGGATATCAGGAAGATGGAGAGTACATTGATAGTTACCAGTGGCTGAGAAGGGTGCAGGGAAGGGAGGGATAAAGAGAAGTTGATTAATGGGTACAAAAATACAGTTAGATGAATAAATAAGACCTAGTGTTTTATAGATCAGCAGAATGACTACAGTTAACAGTAATCTATTGTATATTTCAAAATAGCTAAAAGAGAATTACTCAAGTGTTCCCAGTATAAAGAAAAGTTAAATGTTTAAGATGACAGATATCCCAATTACCCTGATTTGATCATTACACATTATACGAATATATCAAAATATTACATGCACCCCCAAAATACACACATCTCTTATGTATCAATAAAAAAAGTTTATTAAAAAATAATAATAGTGGAAAACTTTTCTAATCTGGGGATAGATAGCAACACTTAGATACAGGGAGCGTATGGATTTCCAAATCAAATTTAATCCAAAGGCTGGGCATGGTGACTCACACCTGTAATCCTAGCATTTTTGGGAGGCCAAAGTGGGAGGATCACTTGAGGCCAAGAGTTTAAGACCAGCCTGGTCAACATAGTGAGACCTGGTCTCTACAAAAAAATTTTAAAAATTAGCCAGGCATGGTGGTACACACCTGTAGTTCCAGCTACTCGAGAGGCTGAGGCAGGAGAATCACTTGAGCCCAGGAGTTGAGGCTGCAGTGAGCTATGATGGCACCACTGCACAGCCTGGGTGACAAAGTGAGATCCTGTCTCAAAAAAAAAAAAAAATCAATCCAAAGAGGAGTACACCAAGACATATATTAATCAAACTACCAAAAATCAAAGACAAAGAAAAAATTCTGAAAGCAGCAAGAAACTAGAAACACACCATATTAAAAGGAGAGCCAATACAACTATCAGCAGATTTCTCAGCAGAAACCCTACAAACCAGGACCTAGTGGTCCAAAGTGGGCCAAGTCTAACCATGTGGCACATTAAGTTTTTCTTACTTGGGGGGCCCAGCAAATGACAGAGCTGTAACTGGCCTTTAGAACCTGAGTCTTATCTTGTATGCCCCATAGACACACTCCCTTTTTTGGATTATACACAAGTAGTCTGTCTCCTATCCCAGGACTGCTAAGCAGTTGCCTTGATTTTAGTAGGGAGTTGTCAGGAGTACCTGCTTATTGCAGTCGATGGGAGATTGGCAAGACTATTCAGAGCAAAATAGGCCATTTAGAAGGGATCCATCCAAAAATTAGATCCTAGCACACCTGTCTTTTCATCAGTCCCACCTCATCAGAATTATAATGGAAAGTCAAATCAGATCATGTTCCAGGGGCATTCTGTCTGCAGAAGAGTATATTAGAAAGGTCATCTTCCTGCCTAATGTTAGATGGACTTAGGTGCACCATGATGCTGCTTAGTAAAATAACAAAGCAGGGCCGGGCATGGTGGCTCACGCCTGTAATCCCAGCACTTTGGGAGGCCAAGGCAGGCAGATCATCTGAGGTCAGGAGTTCCAGACCAGCCTGGCCAACATAGTGAAACCCTTTCTCTACTAAAAATACAAAAATTAGCCGGGCATGGTGGCGCATGCCTGTAGTCCCAGCTACTCAGGAGGCTGAGGCAGGAGAATCGCTTGAACCTGAGAGGTGGAGGTTTTAGTGAGCCGAGATCACGCCATTGCACTCCAGCTTGGGCGACAGAGACTTCATCTCAAAAAATAATAAGAATAATAATAACAACAAAGCAAAGAACATCTGCCAAGTATCTGACACATAAAATATGCACAATGATGTGTAATATAATAAGGCCTTATTAAGACCAGCAAGCAACTCCAGTGAAAACACAAAAGAAACAGCTCTATGGTATGCTGACACTACAAATTGTAATCTCACCTCATACACACTTGCAGCATACACGTTTTCTGATAATTGCAAATTACAGAGCCTGAGGAGAAAGAGGTTGGTGATTCTAGAAAATGGAAAGTGTGGGAAAACATTATAACAAGGCTGAAGTAGAAAAAGGGATTTGGGAGCATAGTTCATAAAAGCTATAATGATATATAATGACGGAAATTAATAAGAAAAATGACTTCACCCAGATTATCTTAATGTCCTTAGATTTTGTTAATGACCATGTCCCACTTACTTATTAAGTCTCTTCACTACTCTAGATGCTTTTATGCAACTCATGTATGGAAAATGAATGTTAAAGATTGAAGAATCAGAATAAATTTTAAATTAGGGCATGTTTTCAATGATCTCATATGGTTGACACTACTGAATGTCTTAACATCTTACTTTATTAAGAAAAAAATGGAAGGAGATAATTATTGAACCAGTGCCATGTTCTGTTCTTCCTTTGGAACTACAAATTTGCAAGTGATTGCCTGCCTTTTCTATAAGTAGATGAAAAGACAAAAAAAAATCATTTTGGTGAGGCTGTGTATTTTCCCTGTGGTCAGAACATGCCCAGAACCAAAGTATAAACCTTATTGCCTAGAGAGAACGGAGAGCTGTAGGAGCTTACAGCGAAATCTATTTTTACAGGTAACACAGTGGGTGGGTGTGGTGGGCAAGAATCTCAGGCCACACACTCAGATGTGAGAGAAGTGTAACATTATCTATATATTATCTATAATAATCTAATATTTATTTCAAATCCCTATTCCAGTGTATGATCAGTTCATCCTGTTTTCCTTAGAGCTGAGTCGACCTGTAGAGGGTTGTTTTAATGAGAGGAGGCATTGGGAGATGTGAAGTTTACCCACTCCTGGGTCACATCATCTGTCTTACCAGAACTTGCTGAGATATATTTGTACCCATTTGGTCTGTCTTTGACTACTCACCTAGAAAGGAAGCCAACATGTCACCCCTTGTTCACCATTGTCAACCCTCCCTTAGCCACTTCTCTGTCATCTTGCATGCACTTGCCACTCCTGAGCCATTATGGGACATAGAATAGCCTCTGGGGCTAATTTCCTCCAGAATCTTGTCACCTTCCCAGGGTTCTGACTAGAAAAGAAGGCACAGGTTGCTGTGCTCTTTAATTCTTCAAGGCTATCTGGGGGTTCCCAGTTGGTTCTTCCTGGAGAATCAGCTTCTGAAAAGACAGGGAGCATGCCTGCCCTTTCACAGGCAACTACAAGTCTGGACCCGTTGCTTGTCCTGTAGTTCACCCCATTTTCCCCATCCTCAGACTAATCCCCATTCTGGGGAGGACTAAGCTTTACTCTGGTTTATGTAATAACCATCTGTATTAGTCCGTCTTCACACTCCTAATAAAGCCATACCTGAGACTGGGCAGTTTATAAAGAAAAAGAGGTTTAATGGCCTCACAGTTCCACATGGCTGGGGAAGCCTCACAATCATGGCAGAAGGCAAAAGGTACGTCTTACATAGTGGCACAAGGGAGAATGAGAGCAAAGCAAAAGGGGAAACCTCTTATAAAACCACTCGATCTCATGAGACTTATTTAGTACCACAAGAAATGTATGGGGGAAACTGCCCTCATGATTCAATTATTTTCCAGCAGGTCCCTCCCACAACACATGGGAATTATGGGAGCTACAGTTCAAGATGAAATTTGGGCGGGGACACAGCCAAACCATATCAGCATCCTAGCTTACAGCTTTTACCCTCAGTTTCTAAAACCTAGATATTTCTTTACTTTCTTCTGTAACAATCCTTTCCTGAAGTAATGAGTGTTATATGATCTGGCTGACCAAATGGGCAAAGAAATAGAGCTGCTGGAACAGAGTAAAGGAATGAAAGGTATGGGGGTGGGAGGGAAACTTTGGTGACTATTTCAAAATATTGTCCTGCTGTGTGCTACCCAGTGAAAAGACATAGGGGGGTAGAAGTCAGAAAAATCTGAGTTCAAGTTCTACCTCTGTAATGTATTAGCTGTTTGTGACTTGCACAAGGAACTTAATTTATATAATCCTCAGTTTCCTCACCTATAACATGAAGACCTATCTTATACAATTGTTGGAAGAATTAAATAAAACAGAGTAAGTAAAGCTCTTAGCGGAGTAAGAGCACATAGTCAGCTCTTAATACATTTGAATTATCATTGTCCTCATCAAGGTTATTACCAGCGGCATCACTATAGCTGAATGATCATGAGCAAATTACTTAAGTCTCAGGGTCTTAGTCTCCTAGTCTATAAATGTGGCTAAGAATTTGTACTTCCAAGCCTTTGTCTCAGGATGGAATGAGATTATGTACATGAAGCACTTTGTGGCCTGTAGCAAGTTAGGTCACTGTGTCAGATGCTGTCATTACTGCTCTGGAAATTGCAGGGTAGGAGATTGGAGCACAAGCCTGGGTATCCAATCAAAACCAAAGAGAGGAATCTGGGTGGAAATTCAAGACTTTCAGGATGAAGATAACTTGAAAAGCAGTTAAAAAGCTCTAAGACTCAGGGTTTGTAAACATACCTAGACTCAGCCTTGCGGCACTGAAACTGAGAGTTTGGCAGTGAACTTGACTTTGGGGACACATAGGTGTGCAGCAGTGTGACATGGTGACAGGAACCAGAGTGACTTCACTGTTCTGTCATATATGAGTGAAGGGGATGTGAAGAAATTCAGGGGCCACTGGCATGTGCCCTGCTTGGGTCGAGATTAGGTTAGGAATGACCCAAATCAGGGATGAACAAACTTTTCCCTTAAAAGGCCCAGATAGTAAATATTTTACGCATTGCAGGCCATAAGGGTCTCTGTCACAACTTAATTCTGCCATTGTAGTGCAAAAGCAGCCATAGATGATATTAATACATAAACAAATTATTATGGCTCTATTCCAATAAAATGTTATTTACAGAAATGGGGATGGGGAGAGGGCAAATTTAGCCCACAGGCCTTGTTTGTTGCCCTTTGACCTCAACCAATGAAGCTTAAAGAGACCAACCTGAAGATAAGAGTGTATAGAGGAAGAGAAATGAAGCAGAGGCTTTTAGCTAGAAATAATAATGACAATAAAGCAAACATTATGAACTCTGTAGCCACCTAAAATCCTTTTCAGAAAGTGGACAGATAGGAAAAATAATAAGCAAACAAACAAATGATAAACATCACAGACTTTTGTGATGGCTTCCATGACCCTTTGTAATCCACCCCCCAGGGTGGCTTGCACTCATATTTTTACCCACTGAAAGGGATTTACACCTTGCTTATAATCTATACAACACAATGTTGTCACTATTTGCAAACTTGTCTTTCTTTGTCACAATTCTGTGTGTTTCCTAATGATAATGGCCAATATTAGGGTAGCTCTATCTTGTAAAAAACCCAAAACTATACAGAGTTTCCATCACAATAGGAGTTTGTCAATCACATAAAGTCCGTAATGGGTCCTCCTGATTGGTAGACAGCTCTCCTTCAGAGGGTAATCCGGAGAAACAGCCCAGACCTTCTTCATTTTATGGCTCTTAAATCTTCAACACAGAGCTCCCAGTTTGTCCTTGTCAAACTGGCAGAAGGGGAAGATGATACAAGGGTGCATGGAAGGGTTTTACAAAAGAGGTGTACAGCGCTTTTCCTCCCCTTCCTTTGGCAAGAAACCAGCCATATAGATGGATCTACCTGCCCAGGAAGCTAAGCATGGTGTAGCTGTGCACCCAGGCAGTGCAGGGAGCAGTTTGGCTGAGCATATTGCCAGTCTCTGCACACATTATGTTTTATTAATTATGTTAGCCTTCAGGCCTACCACTGTACTCAGAATAGAATTGGAAAGAAAGAAGTGTTTGCCGAAAGAGCCATAAAAGGGAATTTAATACTACCCACCTTTAAAAAGATTACTATAATTTATTATTCTTGTAACCAAATCTAAATTAATTGATAGACTTTTTTATACTTTAAGTTCTGGGGTACATGTGCAGAATGTGCAGCTTTGTTACATAGGTATACATGTGCCATGGTGGTGTGCTACACCCATCAACCCATCACCTGCATTAGGTATTTCTCCTAATGCTATCCCTCCCCTAGCCCCCCACCCCACAACAGGCCCCGGTGTGTGATGTTCCCCTCCCTGTGTCCATGTGTTCTCATTGTTCAACTCCCACTTATGAGTGAGAACATGCGGTGTTTGGTTTTCTGTTCAGCACTGTACCTGAAGCAGGTTCATTGCTCATTTCACGCTTTTCCATATGCATTGATTTTAGCCTTGACCTCATATTTTTCAAATGTCTCCATCACTTCGTCAGTGTTGTTAACTATATTATCTCCATCTGCCTCACTTTTACTAACCTCTGGGTTCTCAACCTCTTCATGTCACCTTAGGCTTCATTCATGAAATGAAGTATTTGCTAAATTGTTCAAATTACTATTCTGGAATTAACCTGCATTTAACCTTCCCCCATGCTGCCTAATCCAGTGTCAGATCATATACCCAGCATAATCAGAGCCACATTTATGCCCACCAACCTCTAATTTCACATTAAACTCAATAACCTGTATTTCCCCTGGGGAAATGCAGTGTTTATTGCCCTTTTGTGTGGAGTTATATTTATGCATTATGTGCATGATTTACATGTGAACTTGCAGATTAACAGCCTCCTGTCTCCTGACTGAACCAGCATCCAAGCTATGTAGTCTCCCTGCGTCCCCTTCCTGTCCTTAAGATGCAGAGATGTGGTAGCTTGAAAGAGACATGCATCTGGGAGAGACAAGATCATGGCTTTACACCAGGGATTTCCCAACTTGAACCTGTGACACCTTCAGGGTCCTCATCCCCGCAAAAGGTTTGAAGGGAAGACTATAGGCATTCTGTGAGAGACCATTCTTCATTGTACAAGTCTGTCCTTCAATGGAAGGACATTTAACTTCTGTGACCCCATCCACTAATCCTGATGGTGATCCCCAATCATTGAGGGATGCTTCCACTCCATTGAGAACCATCAGAGATGATCATTATAAAAGCTTTACAGCTTAAATATACTATTAACAGTAGAAGATGCACCTCACTGTTTTCTCAAGAGGATACAATTTTCAAATTCCTGTAGATGAATGGTTCCCCAATGGTGGGAATGTTCCAAAATGGCAGCTCATTTATGCTATTGTTGAGAAGAGAGGAGGTGGTAATGAGGCAAGTCCTTATCCCTGTTCCCAAGCAATGGAACAGGGAGCAGGGAGGTAGCAATGATCAAGATCTACTCTCTCCCTACCAGGAATCCAGATAATGTACTAGCAGAGACCATCATGTTCAGAAATGAAATACTAAGGCAGTAGAGTTTAGTTATAAATGGGATCTTCAAAAGGGTCTTGGCAGGATGAGGCAGAAAAGGATTCCTTGAACAAGAAAGATACAAAAAAAGGATTTTGTACTCCCTTGCCACCCTTTTGCTAGCGTGTTTTTTCATGCAGTCAGAAGCTGCTGAAAGAAACACTTGAACCGAATTTTTTCTAAAAAGAGAAAAGGAAGCAGCCACCATTTATTAAGCCCTCCTCTGGGCAGCATACACCAAATCCTTACACATCTCTGTGAGGGGCGTAATTGGACTGATTCGTAGTTGAGGAAACAGGATTAGACAAGTGCTGACTGTGTACAGGATTCTATACTAGTGAGCTCTGTAATTTGCTGAAGGTCAGTTGAGCAATACTTGATGAAGCCAGGAGGTAAACCCAGTGTCTATCTGTATATGTACTTTCTCTTAAACCATGCTGCCACTCTGGGTGAGAGGAAGTGAATAGAGGGATAACAAGGTGAGTTTTAGGAAAGAAACTAGTCTCATCTCTTTTCCCAGATGCAGCTCAGGGAAAGAAAGGCCCTAGCTATGATGTTAAAGGTCCAAGTTGACTTTCAGGAACCCTTAAACCCCCTTCCAGGAATCCTTAGACAATGTGTGGGCCAGTCTTCAGTAGCTGGTGTGGATTAACCACCAGAGGACCCTTTTGAATGGCGAGAGCTGAGTAGCATCCCCTAAAACCTTGTATGACCTGGGCGAGGGGGAAAATGTCCCAAGACATAACTATGTTTCCCATCAGCCTGTTGGGCAGGGGCTCAGAGTAGAGATACATTATTTAGAAAAAATAAGAAATGAGATATTTCTTACAACTAGTGTTATGGATAAACATTTTGTACACACGACATAGTTTTGTTTGGTTTTTTAATGTTAGACAAAATACAGAAGCCTGGAAAGTAGTGCCCTTTTTCACTCTGAAATTTGTTTTGATTCCACCTACAAACATAGGAGCTCATGTCTGTCAAATCAGACTTATTCCAATAAGACTTCATTTTTATTTCAACATCTTCACTTATTCACATTTGATGTAGTTTAAATCAGTCTTTATTATGTGCACCAAGTTATTTACCACCGTGTAGTAGACAATAAAAAGCAGTTTAAAAACCACTTGATAACAACTTAAAGATAAAATATAGATTCATTTCTTCTATGTGGTACATATGTTAGACAGAAAGGTACAAAAAATTTATAAATCTTGTCATTAGACAGAAACAATTGTAATATATTATTATTCCAAATAAGATTTCACTTTTGTATCAACCTCTTTGCTCTTTAAAAAAATTTTGAGTATTTCACACTTAAACAACTAAGGCAAAATTTCTTACCAATTCTGGGTCAAATAATAAAAAGAACCTGGAAAACAAAAGATTTGTTATTTTTCCCCCATGTAAGAAATTATCACCGTTAAACATCCTTCTGTCTCTTTTAGCTCCTTGCTGTTGTTCTATTTATATTTTTATGAACAAAATAGTCTATATGTCTGTGTCTAATAAATGGGATAGCTTTGTGGGCTGAGCATTCTTCATTTTTATAAGAAGCATGTCAGAGCTGAATTGATCACATGCTCTGAAACTCTCCCCCAGGGTGTTTTCATTTATATTTAATGTTAAATCAACGATATTAGAGGTGGAACAGGCTGTTTGCCATTGAATGCAATCAGCAGTATCAGCTCACTTTGAATTCCATAAATGCCATTTGGAATGTTCTTTTTGGTAGAGCACTTCAGGGTATCTGGGTAACATGCAGCTTGATAATTTCAAAACTGAATAACCAAACACAGTAACAAAGGAAACCACTCTTAGGATTTATAATAAAAAGTACCAAATTTGGAGAAAGCTTCTAAAAGTGTGATAAAAATTTTAAAAACCACACATTTCTTGCCCCTTGAACGCTACATGTATTATTTTTCTTAAGCACAGTGAGCTACTGGTTTCCATTATTTGACAAAGTAATACAATATGTGAGAGGCCCTTAAAGGTAGCCTTCCCCTATAGTTTTCTTTTCTCTATGAAGTCCATCTCTCTTTTTTTTTTTTTTTTTTTTTTTTTTTGAGACAGAGTCTTGCTCTGTTGCCCAGGCTGGAGTGCAGTGGCACAATCTCGGCTCACTGCAACCTCCACCTCCAGGGCTCAAGCGATTCTTCTGCCTCAGCCTCCCGAGTAGCTGGGATTACAGGCACGTGCCACCACGCCTGGCTAATTTTCGTATTTTTAGTAGAGATGGGATTTCACCATGTTGGCCAAGCTGGTCTCGAACTCCTGACCTTAGGCAATCCTCCCGCCCTGGCCTCCCAAAGTTCTGGGATTACAGGCGTGAGCCACCGCACCTGGCCAAAGTCCATCTCCTTGGGCTCTCAGATATACAGTATGTCTTAAAAGTAGCATAGCCGTAACTAGTAAGAGCCTTTCAGATGAAAGTGAAAGAAACACAATGCAAAATGGCTTAAGGAAAAAAGTGAATTTCCTGGCTGGCAGAACTCAAAAGAGTGTCGGGTGGAGCTGGTGAGGCACAAGGGAAGTGGGGTGTTGAGGCCTGATGGTATCAGGAATCCTTTGTTCTCTGTCTCTGCCCACTTTCCTGTGTTGGCTTCTTTTTCAGGAGAGCTTTCTCCAAGTAGCATTAAGAATTTACAGAAGCTCTAGGTTTGCGTGCTACCAGCCTAACAACTCGAGGGGCTGAAAGGCCATCATTTCCCAATGAGTCCAACTGGACTTCCCAAACAGAGCTTATACTGGCCCAGTATGGTGACTGTCTACCTCTAAATGAATCACTGCTACCCCGGGGGGTGGAATATGCTAGGAGGGGCCAGGTCTGGGCCGTATTCCTGCCCGTGAGAAAAGGAGATAGGGTGAGCCCCATGTGGATTTTCAGCAGCTGAGAGTGGGAAAGGTTGGTTCTGCAAAAGAAATTGGGTAGCCGTTAATAAATGAATAGACTGAAGCCTAATCAAGCAGAGGAAACAACTGCCACTACAGCTGGTCATTCTTGGCTACAGGTTGTTTTAGAGAAATTTCATTATGGAAAGTTGTGAACAGAATCATAGGTTAGAGAACAGTATATAAATGGTCAACCCATGTTCCCATCACCCAACTTCAGTAGTCATCAACTCATGACCACACACCATACTCCACATGCCAAGGTACTTTCTCACCCTTAGATGACATTGAAGCACATCCCAGACATCACATTATTTCATCCATAGTTCAGTATGTGTCTCTAAAGGATAAGCATTCTTTACAAAAAATAAAAACCCACAATGCCATTATCATACCTTACAAATTAACAATATTTTCTTAATAGTATCAAATATCCAATCAGTAGTCAAATCTCTTCCATGGTCTCATAAAATAATTTCTCATTATAGCATATTTGAATCGAGGTCCAAATGAAGTCCATGTATTGTGATTTGTGGATATGTGGATATTAAAAGACTCTTTTAATCTATATTTTTCCTTTCATCTCTTTTTTATTGTCTTTGAAAAAATTTATTTATAGTTTTTTTAAAGTTTTTTGTCCTATAGCGATTTCCACAGCCTGGATTTTGCTGATTGCATCTCTGGGTGTCATTTAACATGATCTTCTGTCCTTCTGTATTTCCTATGAGAGTTTGTTTCACTCCCAGAGTGGAGGAAGCTGTGCACTTTCATCCTCTAGAGGTGTACGGTATCTGGTTGTTTCTCTTTCTGTGATATAAGCAGCTATTGATAACTTTGCCAAGATTTATTAATTCATTAATGATTGCAAAAGGGTGATGCTCTAATTCCATAATTTCCTCTTCAATTATTAGCTGAATAACGTTATAAAGAAAAACTATTTGGCTACCTCAAGACACAGTTTATATGAAAGACAACAAATAACTTGATCCTGTCTCTTTATTTACCACTTTTCAAACCAATGAGTTGTTTCACTGGCATTCCCACTGGGGAAAAAAATAGTATATTTTTAAGTATCATTATCATAAACTCATGGATTTAAGTATATTGGATATATTTATATCCATTGATGATATTATTCTTATTGAAGCTCAACTCATCTTATCTTTGGTAATGGGAGCCCATTCAAGTGAGATATCAAGTCCTCTCAACATAAACCTAATAGTCTTTGTTAGTTTCTTGGCTTTCTGATATGATAAGATGCTCAAGGCTTAACTTGTATGTTTGTTGCTCCAAATCTGGGATGAGTAATTTCTCCAAGGAGCCATGATTCCTTTTAGTGGGAAATGATATGTAGTAATCTGAATGCTAGTGTGCTCATTGATAAGGACAGAACTAAGAAATATGTGTACATTTTTAAATGATAAAATACATCATGAGCTCATACTGATATGTCCAATTCAAATGCAGGACAAAAGGTTTCTATATAACCTCATCTATCTTAAATCTTTATCTCTTCTTTCTCAAGTCGTAAATCCCAATGCTCAGTGACATCACCATAATCCCTCAACTTTATCCCACAGTGCACATGCAACAGCCTCAGAAAAACAACACTACCACAAATAACATTTAAAGATATTTTTATTGCAGTTCCATTTGTCTTTATGGAATATCCAACCAATATATTCAAATGACTGTGTTAAAATCACTGGAGGCCAGGTGTGGTGGCTCATGCCTATAATCTCAACACTTTGGGAGGCTGAGGTGGAAGGATCACTTGAAGCCAGGAGTTCAAGACCAGCCTAGGCAACAAAGTGATATCCTGTCTCCACAAAACATTTCTTAATTTTTTAAAAAATTAGCCAAGTGTGATGGTATGCCTGTAGTCCTAGCTACTTGGGAGGCTGAGGCAGGAGGATTGCTTGAGCCCAGGAGTTGGAGACCACAGTGAGTTCTGATTGCACCACTGCACTCCAGCCTGGGTAACAGAGTGAGACTCTGTCTCTTAAAAAAAAAAATCATTTGAGATAGTTCCCCTATGTGACACTCTGCTACTAACTGGATGATCAGATGCAATTATTTCATTTTATGTATAATTCTTAGAAATGGCTTTTTAATTTAATTATGTTTTAAAATTAAGTTCAACTGTAATCATGCCATCAACTGGATACACAGGTTCTGCATTTCATTTTACATGCAATTTTTAGAAATTGCTTTTTAGAATTTAGAGTTTTATAATTATGAATACTATTTACATGATATCTAAGTCAAATCTACAAAATGTATATTCAAAGAAGTATACACGCTTTGTTCTCTCCATCCTATTTCCTCCCCCATAGATAACACTTATTTTTATATTCTATTTTATGGTCCATTCTTCTATTGTTTAACGTGAGCACATACTCTGATCCCTCTCCATTCTTAGAAACAGTATTACACTAGACACACTTTTATTCATTTTGCTTTTTTCACGTAACTGTATATCTTAGCATTCATTGCATCATGTTTTCTCAAACACACAAGTGAGAAAAAGGTGAGTAGGCACATGTGTGTAACATTTAGAAATTAGATGTATATTTTTGGTTTGTTTTTGTTTTTATTTTTTGAGACAAGGTCTCCACTCTGTCACCCAGGCTAGAGTGCAGTACTGCACCTGGGCTCAAGAGACCCTCCCACCTCAGCCTCCTGAGTAGCTGGGACTATAGGCATGCCCCATCATGCCCAGCTAATTTTTTTTCTTTTTTAGAGATAGGGTCTTGCCATGTTGCCCAGGCTGGCCTCAAACTCCTGGACTCAGGCAGTCCGCCCACCTCAGCCTCCCAAAGTACTGGGCTTATAGACATGAGCCACTGCACCTGACCTGGAAGACATACATTTTTATTCTAGTGGTTGTCATTAGATCAATGCCTTTGTATAATAGCTTAGTCCACCCACCCACCCACCACACCTGCCCACCTTTTGTTCCCTGGCTATTGTCTATTGGTCTCCTTCTATGAACATTATTGAAATTAGCTAAGTAATAACCTCTTAGCTCTCTTTGCTCTCTCCTTGAACACTTGACTTGAACTAGTTTCTTTCTACTGCCAGTTAGTATTAATACCTATAAGGCAAGCAGCTACCTAACTCTGTTCTTCATACAGCCAGTACGAGTGCTACCTGTCTCCCAGATAGCATCAGAGTCATAGTTAATACCGGTAAAAATGTGCTTGATCCTCACCACTCTACTTCGGTGGCTCCCACGCTGGCCATTATGGCTGTCCGCAGCTTGTTTTCTTGTAGATTCCCAGGATGAGGAATCTCCCACTTCTTGTGAGGACCTGTAGGCAATTCCAGGGTTCTTCTGGTCTCCAAGTCATCAGAAGCCCTTTTTCCTTGCCTCCATTTCCTTCCACATGGATACTGTTGGTATGAATCATATTCTGGCATTCATGGGAATAGCTCACCACTTATTTTTGCTGGTGATGTTGTCCATGGGGTTTTGGCTTTAATATCTGAGTTGCTTTCTCTCTTTTTTATGGGAGAACTCAAGGAGATCCAAAAATGATTTTGCCAACTTTCCATAATCCTCCAGTGGCTGCAGAATTTATCAAAAAGTTTTGACTGAAGAATTATTTATAAATATTCAATATCTCTTGTGGTCATGTAGCACTTTAATTTGACTAATTAAACTTGAATTAATCCTGAAGTCCTGGCAGACAAATACAAACAAATGGTAATTTTCACAAGCTTAGGTAAAATTCTCTCTTTTAATGAAGAAGAATCAATCATCTATTATGGAAATATAAAACTTTGTTGTCCTGCTGAAAGCAAAACTTTTTTCCCCTTGAAAGTGAATAGCAGGCCACTTTTTACGATACATATGTAATTTGCTATATACATTGTAAACGTTGAAAATTTTATACTTATGGACATCAAAGAAAGCCTAATTTTTAAAAAGTACCTATTTATAAGGTAGTCTGGATATATTTGATCTATTGAAGTTATTGTTTTGCCAGTATAATTTTCACACTATGTGTTCTTCCATGATTAATATATGTGAGTATATAATGCTTCACAAATAGTAGACTCACAAATACTTCAGAAAATAGTAGACTCACAGAAAAGGTCTTCTTTCGAGGGTGAAGAGGCTCAAAGAGGTGTAGTATTTTCCCAGAGTTACACAGCCAGTAGATAGCAGAGCCCAGAGTCAAATACAGAAGCCAAGTGGGACAATGGACTGGGAACCATTGTAGTAGACCACATGAAAACCATAACGCAATATTTTCAACAGAAGAAGGGATTCTAACCATTACCATTGGAGAGGAACACTTACACTTTTCATTTGTTTAAAAGGTAGGAATGTGGCCAGGCACGGTGGCTCACGCCTGTAATCCTAGCACTTTGGGAGGCCAAGGCGGGTGGATATCCTGAGCTCAGGAGTTCGAGACCAGCCTGGGCAACATGGCAAAACCCCATCTCTACTAAAAATACAGAAATTAGCCAGGCATTGTGGCTCACGCCTGTAATCCCAGCTACTCCGGAGGCTGAGGCACGAGAATTGCTTGAACCCAGGAGGTGGAAGTTGCAGTGAGCCAAGATCACAGCACTGCACTCCAGCCTGGACGACAAAGTGAGGCTGTCTCAAAAAAAAAAAAAAAAAAAAAAAAAAGGTAGTAAGGAGAGAAGGGGGAAGGAGGAAGTAGTCGAAAGGCTTATACACTCTAAGCATTGCAATTTAATATATTTTAAATTTTTTCTTCCAAGTTTTATAAGCCATAATTCACAGAGGCACCAGGGTGGTATCTGCCCACCTCTAGATTGAAAAAGAAATGAGGAATCAAGGCTATTTTAGGCATCTGTCAAGCTGTAATTACCTCTTTGCTCAGAGAAACCTTTATGTAAGACTAATGTAGATTGGCATTTCTTCTGTTTAAAAGAACATTTCCAGTCATTCTTTTAATAGAAGGATCCCTATTATGATGGTTATTTCAATATGTTTTGGTAGAGGGAATATGTTCCCAGTATGGCCTTGACATAGAAATTACACTTTTAATCTGGTCTGTTTCTTATTTACTTACAAGCTTCAATACTTCTTAGAGTCTTCTTTCCCTACCCTTTCTAGTTCAGAAATTGTTGAATGGCTTTTATTTAAGCTTTTCAAGTAAGCTGGGTTTGTTTACCAATAAGTCTATGTATACCTTCCACTAAAAGTTTACCCAAAGTATGACCATTAAAAGGTGGGATTGAGCCAGGCATGGTGGCGTGCACCTGTAATCCTAGCTGCTTGGGGAGGCTGAGGTGGGAGGATCACTTGAGCCCAGCAATTCAAGGCCAGATTGGGCAACATAGTGAGACCCTATCTCTAATTTTTTTTAAAGAGGTGGGATTGAAATGACAATTTATAGAAAGAAAACAAATTTTTCATCATTAGGCACTTGTTCATTGTCTTAGGTTGGACTCCCAGAAACTGACCCTGAAATGAAGATCCATATGTAAGTGACTTAATAGGGAGAGTTCTCAGGAAAGATAAATAGAGGGATGGGGAGTGGGACCTGGAAGAAAAGGAGGGCAAACATAGATGCAGTATCAGGCAAAGCCCCAGGAGGGTGACTTTGGCTCAGTGCACAGGGAAGCTCCAGATACTTTTTAAGACCACACCTTAAGTTGTCCTATCAGAGGCAGAGGGATAGAGTGTTTATAGTCGCCAGTTAAGAACTGCCTCCTGGGCTCACGTTCCCCCTCCCCTCCATGCTCTCAGGCAGTTTAGACTCAGTAGGCTGAGGGTATTTCAAAGAGCCAAGTCCAGGTGCTGGATGCTGAGAATGAAAGCACCCAGCATCAACTGTTGACTGCCTCTGGTGGTTTACTTTTCTTGCTTCTATCAGCACATCCTGGAGTTCCCAAGGATATCTTAAGCAGACAAGGGTGTGTAAGAAGTTCAAGTTCTGTTGTGTTTTCTAGAAACTTACCAAATCCAAAATTGGAGACCACCTATACGTAAGTCCAGTGTTTTTTTCTAGCCCAACATTCCACATTTATTAATGATTATCTCTAGAGAAAGGACTTGGCAGTGAATTAATTTAACTAGAAAAAGATCATTGCTGTAAAGGAAAACTATGCTTTTCTAATATTTAACTCGGATTATAAATATGCAACCAAAGTAGCCAGAATGTTCTGACTAGGGTGATGGATCACCAGCCACTGAAATGCCATTTCAAAGAATGGATGGTGTTTTAAAGAAATTATCCTATTCATTAAGACTGTATCTATGCAGAGGAGAACCAAGTGCAATGAAAATGTTTGCGTCCCAGGCACTTCCTTGGGTGCTTGGCATATTTAATCATTACATGAGTCCTCTAAGGCAAGTAAGTATTATTTTTCCTGTTTTAGAAGTGAAGAAACTAAAGTTCATAGAGGAAAAAAAAAAGTATACATTTAATAAGCATTTAGTAGGCATCCGCTGTGTGTTAGGCATGATGCAAGGCACTGATTATGGGATGGCAAACAAAATGGACCTGGTCCCTTCCCTCCTTGAGCACACAGCCTAGTGAGCAAGAGGTGAAACAAGCAAATACATAGGTTATAAATGGTGGTAAGAAAGGAAAGGAAAAGAACAGGACACTGTAAAGCATAATGATGGCATAGGAGTAGAAGATTCAGTAGAAGATTCTCATTGTCTCCTCAATGAGAAAGTGACATTTAGGTTGAGACCCGGACGATGGGAAAAGCTAACCAGGCAAAGAGCGGGAGGAGAGAAAGAGCTTAGAGTGCTTTGGGGAGTGAAACAAGAGTGATATTGCAGTTCCTGGCCAGCCAAGGGGAAAGAGGTGTGAAAAGACTAGAGATAGAAGCAGGAGCAAGGTGATTGAGGGTCTTCTAGAGTAGCAGTTGGCAAATTTTGGCCCACAGGCCAAATCTGGCCTACTACCTGTTTGTGTAAATCAAGTTTTATTGAAATATAGCCACCACTGGGCATGGTGGATCATACCTGTAATCCCAAAACTTTGGAAGGCCAACGTGGGTGGATTACTTGAGCCCAGGAATTTGAGACCAGCCTGGGTAAGATGGGGAAACCCCATCTCTACAAAAAATACAAAAAATTAGCAGCGTGTTGTGGTATGTGCCTTTAGTCCCAGTTGCTTGGTAGGCTGAAGTAGGAGAATCACCTGAGCTCCAGAAGTCTAGGCTGCATTGAGCTGTGGTAGTGCCATTTAACTCTGGCCTGAGTGACAGAGTGAGACCCTGTCTCAAAAAAAGGAAAAAGTAAGAAAAAAGAAACACACATTACCTGTGGCTGCTTTTGCTCTATGACTATAGAGTAGAGTAGTTGCAGCCAACTATCTGGTCCACAAAGCCTATTTACTATCTAGCTCTTTACAGAAAAAGTGTGCTGACTCCTGGTCTACACCATGAAAAGAAGTCTGGATTTTACTCTAAGAAAGAGAAGGAGCCATTGGAGGGTTTTAGGAAGTAGATTCAAATAATTCAGTTTTTTTTTTTTTGAGATGGAATCTCACTCTGTTGCCCAGGCTGGAGTGCAGTGGTGTGATCTTGGCTCACAGCAAACTCTGCCTCCTGGGTTCCAGCGATCCTCCTGCCTCAGCCTCCTGAGTAGCTGAGATCATACCTGGCTAATTTTTTTGTATTTTTAGTAGAAACTGGGTTCACTACGTTGGCCAGTCTGGTCTCAAACTCCTGACCTCAAGTGAGCCACCTGCCTCGCCCTCCCAAAGTGCCAGGATTACAGGCGTGAGGCACCGTGCCTGGCAAATAATTCAATTTATATTTTAAAAATATCACCCTGGCCGTGCTACATGGAAAATGGAATCTAGGAGACAAGAGTGGCAGTAAGAAGCCATTAGAAGTTTTTGAAAGAGTCCAGATAGGAAATAATAGCTAGAGGACTGGACAGAGCAGTGGTTCTGGTGTTAGAGAAAAGCTATGTGTAGAGGAAGGATCAGTAGGATTTAGCATTGTATTTGATGTGGAGATTGAAACAGGGAGAAATGAAGTATAACTCCCAAATTTGTAGCTTGAGCCCTGGGTGGATGACAGTGCCAGTCAATGAGATGAGTCAACTGGAAGTAGCGGAAATAACGTAGGTGAGTAAATAAGTTTAAGTTCCTCAGAGTTCTCCATTATTAAATCTTAGGACCTGCATTGGAGACCAAGTCTTCATGCTTTTCCAGTAAACAGCATGGTCTCCCATTGGAATCATCACATGAGTTTACTGTCAATTGACACAAAACCACCAACACTAAATTTTTTCACTGCCAATAAGACCACAAAGAAATGGTCAAAGTGATCTGTTTTAGGTAGATGTGCTTGTAATTTTGTAGCCTTGTCTTTACATTTTACAGACTTTATATATAATTTGTAATATGCATAAGCATGAGCTAATTTTGAGCTCATCTTTTTTTTTTCTTTTTTCTTTGAGACAGGGTCTCACTCCGACATCCAGGCTGGAGTGCAGTGACATGATCTCAGCTCACTGCAACCTCCAACTCCTGAGCTGAAGTGATCCTCCCACCTCAGCCTCCTGAGTAGGTGGGACTACAGTCATGTGCCACCACACCTGGCTAATTTTTTTTTATTTTTAGTGGAGACAGGGTTTCACTGTATTGCCCAGGCTAGGAGCTCATCTTTAAAATAAAAAATATTTCAGACCATTGATTAAAATCTTTCACAGTTAATTAAATATGTATCTGCATTGGCTATGCAGAGAGCATCTTTAGGGACATACAATATAGGGCTTCAAATAGTTGGGCTCTTGTCACCGTAGCATTCATTTTGTCTCGGGCAGCTGTGAGGCACCCACTCAGCAACATTTCTGAGGTCCTAATTGAAAATGAGGAGATTCTAGAACTGTGCTTAACCCTAAACTTGGAAGGGAGTGTCTCTGAAGCAAGACCTCACATGTCTGTGGTTCACCTTCCCATCTAGGTAGCTAAGAGGGCAGAAAAAGGCTTCTCTGAATAGCCCCACTACTCTGCCCAGGCTGAATGGAATGTCAAGCTCTAGGCCACCCCAACACAAGTCTCCTTAAGCAGCAGACCCAGCCCAGGTTGGAATCTGGCATAACTTGGAAGCTGAAAGATGACCTAACTAGCCACATTTCAAATTCAAGCTGAAAGTACCACTCACATTTAATCAGTTTCTGGAGATCTATATGGAAGCCTTTTATTTCCACTTCTTTAAATGAACAGCAGTTCATTTACCTGGAGAAACTGCATGTGAATAACAGCAAAGCAAGTCGAGAGTGAGTTATTAACTATGCAAACTGACTACTTAACCTGTTCTTTTCAGACTTCCCCTAACAGTTTTATTGAGGATATGCTTAAAAACATATTTAGATGATACATTGCATGAGTTTCAAAGAGACCATTAAGGTCTCATTTGGGCAGAGAAAAATGAATTTTTAAAGGAACCATTAATGTGTGTTTTTATAATTGTGTCTTATGGTATTTTTAATATTGCTACCATTTATCAAATATGAAAAATAAGACTTTACAATATTATCAAAATAATATTCATACGGTAGTAGTCTCATACCCATTAAATATTATCTGCTAATCCTTTACCATTGTTCCTAACATATTATGATTCATTCAGATCTCATTAGATTTTATTTCATACTGCTTTTCATGCATAGTATCTCATACTATGCATCAGGTAGTTTTTAACACTCTCACTCTTTTTTTTTTTTTTTTTTTTTTTTTGAGATGGAGTCTCACTCTCGTTGCCTAGGCTGGAGTGTAATGGCACAATCTCAGCTCACCACAACCTTCACCTCCCGGGTTCAAGTGATTCTCCTGCCTCAGCCTCCCGAGTAGCTGGGATTGGAGGCATGCACCACCACGCCCGACTAATTTTGTATTTTTAGTAGAGACAGGGTTTCTCCATGTTGGTCAGGCTAGTCTCGAGCTTCCGACCTCAGGTGATCTGCCCACCTCAGCCTCCCAAAGTGCTGGGATTACAGGCGTGAGCCACCGCACCTGGCCAAAACTCTCACTCTTTAATGCAATTTTTATTTGCCTTTTCTTATCCCCTTACCTCCCTATAGGACATTTTTCCTCTCTTACCTAGTTGAAAATTAATCTTCCTCGGACATTAAGGAAACTCAAGAAAAAAATACTTAGTTTAAGAAACAAAAATTTGCTCATATTTGTAAATAGATTTTCGCATGCATTTTGGTTTGCACCCTTTTCAATTCTGAAACTCTGAACTCTAGTTTTGGACATGAGATTAAGCTTCCATTTGATGGCAGGAGTGAAAAATACAGGAACATTAAAAACGGAAATCACGATCTCCACCAACCCTGTTCTTCATAGCCTTGAGAGTAGAAAGAGTAAAAGGCAAAGATAGTGTTAAACTCCAATCTGTTATTATTTTAGAGGATAGATAAGGAATTAGTCTAAGCTATGTTCTCAGGTTCTGTAGGAAGGAAGCTTTTCCACTAATTCTGTTTTTCTTGCTTTTCCTTTGTTTCTAACCCCAATGGATACATACTTTTGAAAAGTAATCTTTATATAATGTTTCATGTAGTAATTGAATAGCTTGTATGAGTGAAACATTTTTCTTTTTTATATAGCCAGCCCAAATGCAGACTGTAAGTCCTATTAATATAAAACAGAAAGGTCTCAAAATTCAGTTGCAGGGTTAGTGTGCCCCAAGTTCATCTTCAAAGCAGTATTTCCCAATAGACAGGAAAATGAGATTTCTCTCTGCTTTGCCATGGATAAAGTATCACTATTGATCAATTTATAAATAATTTTTCTAGGTTGAGGCTAAATTCAAACATGGGAGGCACACTTCAGAAATTTAGTATAAATCCCCTAACCTCTTTCCCTCAGAGAAAATTTTATCATGGTTCACTGAAAATCTGTCAACTTTCAGAGAGGATTGGAACATTGCTAGGTTTTCTGAGATTTGAGGTGCCATTTCAAAATAGCTGTGTTTGAACTATGTACCTATCGTTCCTTAACCTAATTTTTACCTGCAGTAAGAAGGTATATTCCATCCTGTAGCTGTTTATAAACAGTCTCTGCAAACATTGTCTTCGAATTGAAGCTTCTTCGGGGATATCATCTCTATTCCTTGCCAACATTAAAAATAGTATTTCTCTGTTTACATTTGTCTCCTCTTCCCTTCTATGTATACGAAAGTTACCAACTGGAAAAATAGTTTATGGTCTTTACCATTGCCTTATTGTTAATATTCAAATACATGTTCAATCCTGGTAAAGCTCTATATTGTTCCAATTCTGATACATCTAAATTGGGAGGTAGTGGCTATGACCACTAACCCCTAGGAACAACTGGGAGCCCCAGCTCCTTCTGGCTCCAGGATAACGTTATACATAGGCTCCCCTTAGTTAATTTCACCTGAATCTCTCACCTTTTTATTCTTGAACCGCTCAAAATGTGAGGCCTCAGGACACAGATTTCCTCTGGCACCTGCTTCTCTGTGACACCTGGTTCTTCCTTCTCCATGACTTAACACGTTCCCTATGACTAATTGATCTTAGTTTTGGTTCCTTCACAAGCCAACTCTGACACAAGGATTTGTGTGTGTATAGATAATCTAGGGCGTGATCCCAGGAAACACCAGCCAGAGACTAGAGATGTGAGACCAAAAAGGAAGACAACCAATAAAATGTAAGTTATCAAACCAATTGCCACTGTGGGCAACTGGAGCTTCATCCTCTTGGGGAGTTCCAGGATCAGTGTAGAAAACATGCCTTGGAGTTATTCAGTTGAGTGGTGAGGGAGTGGAGGTATTTATACTCTAATTCTTGTCAGGTATTGAATGAGGACTCCTCTGTGGGGTCATTCCCCAGAACTTCCAGCTGATTATGTGTGGTCAGGGTGGACTTTAGCAGCCAGAGAGAGCCCCCAGGCAGGTGGAAATGAAGAAGCCTCCTCAATTGTCTGCTGTAACTCCTAACTAACCATTTCTACTGCACCCCTTGAACACTCACTCTATTGCAAATGTAATGGCCTTAACAATTAACCTCTTTTTACCATTTTCTGAGCCCTTGCCCTTCTCTTGTGACCACGTTGAAAGGAGGCTTAGTCCTTCTCGTGCCACTTAAATCACAGGGTAAAGAGGTAGTATTGGCATTCTCCTGGCTTCTCATGATTAATTTATAAGTCATTATTCTCTCAACCTAGTGCAAAACTTGCTCCTTTTTTTACTAGTTATGCCCTCCAACAATATGACTTCAGACTTTCTCTGAATTTCATGCCATTCCTTACATATACTGAAGACTTTGACACCTTCCAAGAATCCTACCACACTCTGGATAAAAATCAGCATTCAAATATCCACATGGATGAAATTACCTTCTTAGTTTTTCTATCTCCTCAACTCCAAGTGCCTTCTTGACCATTCCCTTTCAGCCAAGCACTCCTGATCTCCACATCCCCAACCTTTTTGACACCCATAACTGAACCTCCTCTGACACCATAAATTCCCAATATCCCAACTTTGTAATTATTCTATTACTAAAGAGTGATTCTCACTAGAATTATTCTCATCAATGCTGTCTTTCCCAACTCTTTCCAGTCTTCCTTCGTAGACTTCTCTCACCCAAAAGCCACTCACCACTCATCTTGTGTCCTAATTATACTTGCTGGTATACTTTTCTCTAAGCAGACCCCATGCATCCCTGCCTGTAGTCCTCTTTTCACCTACACTGCCCCTGGAAACTGCATTCCTTTCAAGTGCTTACCCGTTCATCAAGATCCAACTCAAACACAGCTTTTTCAGTGGTTCTCCACCACTTTCCCTCCTATATCTCGCATGTTGGAGTCACTCTCTTCTTGTTCTGTATTTCCAAGATATCTATCTGTAGTCGCTCTGCTTTGCAACTGTCAAATTCTGCCCTGCCAGGTGAAGTGGGTAAATTACTTGGCCTTTCAATGCCTCAGTGTAATCAACTACCAAATAGAGAAAGTGATAGTTACCTGTCAACGTTATTGTGGAGATTAAAAGAAACAATATGTGAACATGCTTCAGAACCCAAAGATGAACACAACATGTATCTTTATTGGGCAGCTGTAAGGAACAAATAGAGAAAAGCAAAACCTTTTTATGGGAACTTTGAATACTGATAATGACTTTACCATGGATAGAAGGAAAGGACATTGGTGCACATAGCCTGGGTTGTATTCCTGGCTCCACTTCAAATGAGCTGCATGGCCTTGAACAAGATGCTTACTCGCATTGGAGAAAGCCCATTTCCTCATGTAAAAAGTGGAAATAATGAAACCTACCTTGAAGAGTTACTGATGACTAATGCATGGAAGCAGACAGAGCTCTGATAACTTGAACTGAAATGGCTCCCGATATTCCCTTATCATCTCTCACCCAGGCCAGTAAGGTTGGGGCACACACCCCAGGCAAGAGGCAGTATTACGTGACCTAACAAGGTCTGAGTGAGGGAGTGACTGTCAGCCCCATAAGACGGGATTCCATCCTGGGAGGCTGCACTGCTGACTTGGACAAGTGTCAAGATCCTGCTTTAGGAATGATAGGCTCAGACAGAAGCTCTGAGTACATGCAGCGTGCGTGGGGACAGAGAGAGGAGCAGTTCTTTATGTGCCCTTAAAGTGAGCCAACTCCATGTCTGGGCTAGCCTCTCCTCTGTGTCTTCTAGAATGCTTTCCCTCATGGCTCTAGGGACAAGAATTAGTAATTACTGATTACTAATAATTTTTAATGATTGAATAACAACAGCAGACACCACCATTTATGAAGATATGATTCAGGGCTGTGTATGTCACATCTCTCATATGCTATCTGCCTACTTTATCCTTCCCCTCCTGACCCACATTCTACCCCAGAGTTGAACCTGCAACTCGGTCTGCAGCAAGGACTATCCTAGGAGTGGATAAATCTGGTAAATGAGAAGATATGAGGATTTCTTCTGGCACCTGGATTCAAAGTATTTTAATTTCTGGAGCCTGTGTATCTTCATCTCTAAGTGGGAATAATAATACCTAAGTCCTAACATACTCGGAAGAGTTCTTGAGAAATATTGAGTGTGAAGTACTTTACACGGTGCTTAGCATACAGTAGACGTGAAGTAAATGATTGCTTATACTGGCGATTCTTCTGACAATGTCCTGGTTGCCCCCCATAGATCCTGACCATCCCTTGTTCCTCTCTGTATTGAAACCTTGTGCAGAGCAGTCTTCTGATGAAAATGGCCCAAGCCATGTGACCCCAGGTACCCAAGCAACCTGTTTATCTCTTCTCCCAATTTGTTCTCTCTCTTCTTTAAGGAAAGGCCATCTTTTCACCCATCTGCCCCTGCAGAGCTGTTTGTGGATGTTGAAGGGTTGCCATGGACACCAGTAGGCCTGGAGGCACGTGGGTGAATCTGGGAAGACTTCAAAGGGGTGATCTCTGGACAGTGTTCTGAGGAAAGAGATTGAGGTGCCATTTGTTGAAGAAAAGGTAGCAGGAAGTTCTAGATCAATGACATTGCACAAAACACGGGAAGTGATATACGGGACTCAACTTGAAGGGTAAGCGCCTTGGGTCTCTAGAGGAAACCCATGTAATTTTAGGTCCAGTTCAGTTTCTACATCTTCTGGATGCAAACAGACAGCAGGAGAGTGTGAGGGGCTCCCCACACTTACTTCTAGCCACCTGAGGCATCCTCTGTTCTGCTACCAGAGTCTCAGGTCATTCCATAGAATGGTGGCCCCAGACAGGCAGGGATTTTTTTCTGTTTTCTTCATCGGTCTATCCACAAAGTCTAGAACAGTCTTCGTTGCATAGTAGGCACTTGTCAAATATCTGTTTAATGAATTCCAACGGTCTTTAAAGTTGAAGTGTAGGTGAAGATAAGAGGAGGTGAGTGGAGAGCTACTGGAGGTGTTTCCTACTGGGGGAAAATGATTAGGAAATCTTACTTGAATCTGAGCTGCATTTGGAAATCATCATAGTATTTGGAGAAGGGAAGTGATGTGATGAACATTAATACCTCAGTAAGATGGGTCAGCTTTCTTCCAAATAGACCAGAAGAGAGGAGACAGGAGGCACTTCACTTCTTGCTAAAAAGTTATTTTCCCCAAATACGGTTATTGAATGAATAAATTTGAAAAACAATTTATATATCTGTTGTCATTGAAAGCCATATGCTTCTTATCTCATCTCACCTGACAAAGTCGAACATAACCATGGAGTGGAAGATAGGAATTTAACTTCTCTCACTATAAATTGCAGCAAGTTGACATTCAGCCTGGCCTTCTGAAATGCTCAGTTTAAAATAACAGTTGCAGGTACCCGCCTTTGCAGGCTAACTCCCTTAGAGCATGCAGTATCAGTGTTTGCCCTTGGGACCAGACATTTGCAGTTGCCTGGGGAAAGTAATCTCTGTGTGTGCTAAAAACACAGAACACAATGATGGAAATGATACCAAAAAGTATGCCAACAAGATGGACATGATTCTCTTAGCAAAATGCTTATAAAATCTAGATGCTTCACGGACAAGGGCGCAAGCAGAAAACATCCTCGCAAATGCTCCACATCCTACGTAGCTGCATGTCTAGGCAGAAGTTTATTGAAGCAAATGTAATGGCCAAGAAGTACTTTAAATGAGCTATTTCTTGCATCCTTGAATTATTTTCTCTCCCTTTCCTCCCTCAATCCCTGCTCTCATCCACCCACTAGGATTTTTTTTTTTTTTTTTTGGCAATCTTCAAGGAAAAATAATAAAAAGAACTGGAATTTACATAATACCTTCCTTCCAAGATACTAAAAGCAGTTCACCCATCTATAATTTGTCCTTACAACAATCCTTTGTACAGGCCTGTTATTATTATTATTAACATTATTATTATTTCAATTTTGCAGTCACATTGCTTGCTGCTGAGAATTTTAGCTAACACCTCATTTCTTGAACAATTTTAGCCCCTCAGCATATGTATAAAAAAGGCTTCAACTGCCACCTCCCATTTGTGATTGTGCCATGTATTACATTACAGTCTCTGGCCCTCTGTTTAATTTTCATTTAAAAATATATTAAATTCCTTTATTGTGAGAGCACTGCCGGACTGCTGAACAGAAGGTGAAGTGAGCGTTGAAAGAGAACAGAATCAAACATAAATATCTTCCAAACTAAAAGGGAAATGGAAAGTAACTGTCAAGGCAAATTGATTTGAATTGCATAAGAATGTGATTTTTTTAAAAATTGACTCAGAATATGAACTATTCTTTCTAACAGCTTCAACTTGGCAGATGACACTACCTGTCTCTTCCTAATCTCTTGCAGTCTTTCAAATTCCAAATTTGTATTGGGTTCAAAATTTTTCACATCTCAAAAATGTTCCCAGTTCACTGAATTCCTTTAGTTATCTCACATTTCCCATATGAACAGGGCCTCCCATGGGAATGACCCTGAAAAGGCATGAGCCATTTGCCAATGGTCTTTCTTAATTGCCCCAGCAATCATTTTCTTCCATGGCCCTCTACCTAATTTATTTTTAACATAAACAGGTTTCATTCAGCAGACCAGATGTTGAATCCTCCCCGTCTTCTTCTCTTACTCATTTACAGTGTTACATGAAAATTCCATTCTTCTCTCTATATAATAGCTGCCCTGCTATTAGATAGGGCTGTATCAGTCAGCTGTTGCTTCATAACAAATAATCAAGATCTCAGTAGCTTACTGAATACTTTCTTTTTTGCACTGTGGTAAAATGTATACAACACACAATTTTCCATTTTAATAATTTTAAATGTATAATTCAGTGCCACTAATTATATTCACAATATTGTGCAACCATCACCGTTATCTATTTTCAAAACTTTTTTAGTGCTCCAAACAGAAACTCTGTACCCATTAAGCAATAACTCCCCATTTCCCCTTCTCCAAGCCCCCAGTAACCTCTAATCTACTTTCTGACTCTGTGAATCTGCCAGTCCTAGATTTTTCATACAAGTAGATTTAATATTTTGATATTTTTCCTTCTGTGTCTGGAAATAAGTGTTTCTTTCTCATGCATCTGCAAACTGGATGGGGAAGCTCTGGTGATCTTGGCTGGGCTTGCCTGGAAACTACAGATTAGTTTCAAATCTATTTCGTATGTCTCTCCTCCTCCTTGGACCAGAAGGCTGCACAAGGCAATACAGAGCAGGAGAGAGCAAGCAGGAACAGGTGGCAAGGCCTCTGAAAGATTAGGCTCTGAACTGGTACACCGTCACTTTCACGGTTCTTCCATTGGCCAAAGCAAGTCATTGACCAAGCCCAAAGTCTAAAGTCAGGCAAGTAAACTTCAGCTCTAGTGGGAGAATGCAAAGCTACATGAAAGTGCATGGATACAGGGAAGGTTAAAGAGCTGGGGCCATATCCTACATGGTTAAAATGTAAGTTCTGCAGTTGAATGGACCCTCCTCTACCACTTTTCAGCCACGCAGCTTTATGAAAAGGGATTTAATCTTTCTGAGCCTTGTTTCCTCATCAGTAAAATGGGGATAATAATATTACCTATCTCACAGGCTGCTGTGATTACTATTGAAATGCTCTAAATTTGCAGTAAAAAAAATGCGAGCAATATTATTGTCATTCTTAAAACGTAAAGAATAGAAAAAGCAACCAAAGCCAATAGAACCTTTTTATCTTTGCTTTTCACTGAGGAAAGGAAGTTTTAGGTTAGAAGAGGATGCTGGAAACCATGGAAGTTCAGAAAGGGAATTAGAATTACAAACTAAGACCTATTGGTACTTGAAGAACCAGTAGCAATCATTTTGTCTATTTGTTTTCATATTTTCTTTTAGTAATGTCACTTTTTTTGACATAAACCTAGCCTATGATCTCAGTGCATAAAGCAGTAGAGGGGTTCTGGTTGAAAAGACAGGGGTATTCAGGGCTCTGCCCACTGGCAAGAGTCCCTGTCTCAGAAGGGTTGCATGGAGCACAATTTGAAAACCGCTAATCAATCAATCAATCAATCAATCAATCTGCAACCTTAGAGACTGACTTTTAAATCAGAACCTTTCAATTGTTACTGTCCTCTACTACATATTCTGTATCTATCTGTAATCATATAAAATAACTATGACTTACTAAAAAAAAAAAAAAAAGAAAACCACTAATTTTTGTTTGTTTGTTTGTTTTTGAGACAGAGTTTCGCTCTTGTTGCCCAGGCTGGGGTGCAATGGCACGATCTCGGCTCACAGCAACCCCCACCTCCCGGATTCAAGCGATTCCCCTGCCTCAGCCTCCCAAGTAGCTGGGATTACAGGCATGTGCCACCATGCCCAGCTAATTTTGTATTTTTAGTAGAGACAGGTTTTCACCATGTTGGTCAGGCTGGTCTCAAACTCCTCAGTCACCTCAGGTGATTTGCCCACCTCGGCCTCCCAAAGTGCTGGCATTACAGGCGTGAGCCACCGTGCCCAGCCAAAAACCATTAATTTAATCCAAGCTTCCTCTTCTTCCAGATGAAAAAAAAATGAAACCCACTTGTGTAATGTGATTTGCCCCCAAAATCACATACCTAATTGATGCCAGATCTAAAAGGAGAGTAAAACCTCTCTTTCTAACTCCCTTGCCCATACCATGCTGGCTTCTGTGAACTTTCAAAGGCCTTGTTGGTAACAGCAACCTCTTCGGCCTAATTTTATCTCCTCTCTTCTTTTTCAATTTGTCCCTCATTCAGATATATCACACTTATAGGTAGGTAGTGCTCATATATTAGCCATGATTCTGCCCATCTGAAGAATGCAAATGTGTTACTGGTGAAAGAAATGCCCATCTCCATCAGCAAAAAAGGGGAAGAAGGAAATGAAAAAGTATATACAGTAGACATGTGATACAAGAAATATGTGAATATGTATATTCATTCTCCTATAAATGTACTGATATATGTATATATATACACACTCATACATACACACCATTTTGTGAATCTGACACATAATAGAGAGTCATGAGATGGAAGTCAAAGTTCTACCATGTAATAGCTGTAGGGCTTTAGACAAATTATTCAGCATCCCTGAGTTCGGCATCCTCTAGGTAAAATGAGGCTAAGAATCACTGCTTCCCAGGGATGTTACAAGCATGAATACGTATGAGAAACAGAAGTTTACCACCTTGGGAGTGTTACCAGGACTGCCAAAATGCCACCCTGGTACTTTCTAAGTTCTGTGCTTCTAGACCCATTTCTGAATTCTACAGAACAACTTATAAATACACAGGCTTTGGAGTCAGAAAAGCACAGATCCATGTGCTGATTCTGCCAGTTACTGAAATGTGAACTGAGAACATTGAATTGATCTATTTGATCTCGGTTTTCTCATTTCCAAATAAGAATGACATTACCTTCTTTACTGGAATATCAGGAAGCTTGAATCACACAAGTAATTTGTGTAGTACACTGTATGGCACATGGTAAACATTCAGAACACATTAACTCTTAATCTTGTTCTTATATTGTGATTGTTACTGTTCTTCAAAGTTTCCCCTAGTTTTCTACCCACTCAGGCACAGGGAAATACATTTGGGGAAATATTGAAATAGCAGTACTTTGAATCTTTAGAAATCAGATTGTTTTAAAAAATATAATATTTTCTTTATTTTAGGGAGAAACTATTAAAATCTTTTTTCCCCTAGAGAATGACTGCTGTGACGATTGTTCAGTGTGGTTTCATGTCCCTGAACACCATCTCTATCCCTGTGTGTGTGTTCCAACAATTTAATTCAGCTGGCAGAACTGTCCCCCTTTAGAATAAGGTAGAGATTATGCTAACATTTTAGACGAGGATCCTCTTGTTGGTTTTTGGAAAAGTACCTCCACATGAGCATCTCTAGATGGGCAGCATTGTCCAACATATCATGCTGCCATGATACAGTATGGTAGCCTCTAGTTACATGTGGCTATTAAGCACTTAAAATGTTGCTAGTGCAACTGAAGGACTGGATTTAATTTTATTATGTTTAGTGAACTTAAATTTAAACAGCCACAGGTCTGGAGACTTCTCTGCATGTTCTGGGCCAATGAGAATGCTGTTTGAAATTTTGATATTTAACTTATCAAAGAACACATCCTTGAAGATAAAGACAAACAAAAAGACAATGGAAAGAAAGCTTTCATCCTGGAAGCATGTCAAAGCAGCCCAAAATGAATGAGATGAAACGAATTACCCCTTTCCTTTCCCAAATCTTCATGATGATTATGGACTATTACTAACTGCTCACCAGGACTTTGGGAGTCCCAATAATTTTCATACAGTTTGTGCTACTTAGTTTGAGTGAGTTGAATGTGGCATGCTTACACCTTCTTAGTATCCCTCGCTCAACTGACAAAGCTTTAACTACTTTTTACATTACTGTAAGACATTCTTCTCCAACTCCTCCTTTGTGAAACATAAATGGATTGCTTATTCAACATGGTGTCTTTCAGTCATAATGGCATTTATCTCCACATCCACTCAAGAATATGTGTTTAGATGACAGCATGTATTGATGGACTGCAACTTATTCCAGTTGCTGACAGAGTAGAAGGAACTCAGTCAGACACTAAGAAGAGTAAAAAAGTAAGGTAAAGGAAGACTAATTGAGTTCATAGAGTTAGAGATGCACATGTAATAGGATTGTCAATGAATGATAAAGCCAAATAAAACAGAGTCATTGGTTGAACACATGTATACCCTTTGACCTACCAATTCCACTCCTAAGTATACACCAAACAGAAATAGATACACATTTAATATATTCACCAAAAGACATATGCAAGACTGTTAATACATAGCAGCACTATTATTTAACAGCCCCAAATTGGACTACTCAAATGGCCATCAATGGTAGAATTGATAAATGAATAGTGGTTCAGCTACACAATGGCTACTACACATCAATGAGAATAAATGATCTACGACTACACATCACAATTTGGATGAATCTCAAAAACAATTCTGAGTGAAAGAAGAAAGAAACAAATCATTGTTACTTTACAATTGTATTCATATAATGTTGCAAATGAGGTCATACTGTTCTATGGTATTAAAAATCGGAACTGTGGTTATCCTCAGGAAGTATATTTGGAAAGGAGCATGGGGGCTTCTGGGATATTGGTAATGTTTTGATTTCTTATTTGGACCCTGATTACAATTATCTATTGGTACATAACAAATTACCTCAGCCAGGCACAGTGGTTCACACCTGTAATTCCAGCACTTTGGGAGGCCGAGGCAGGCAGATCACCTGAGGCTGGGAGCGAGACCAGCCTGACCAACATGGAGAAACCCCATCTCTACTAAAAATACAAAATTAGCCAGGTGTGGTGGCGTGTGCCTGTAATCCCAGCTATTTGGGAGGCTGAGGCAGGAGAATCGCTTGAACTCGGGAGGCGGAGGTTGTGGTGAGCCAAGATTGCATCATTGCACTCCAGCCTGGGCAACAAGAACAAAACTCCTTCTAAAAAAAAAAAAAACAAAAACCTCAAAACTTAGGAGCTTAAATCAACAACATTATTATCTCACCTTTCCTGTGGATCAGGAAACTGTGTACAGCTTAGCTGGGTGCCTCTGGCTCAAGGTGTCCCACAGGGGTGCAATCAAGTTATTGTCTGGGGCTGTGGTCTCATCTGAGGCTCAACTGAAAAGGAATCTGCTTCCAAGGTCACTCATGTGTTTCTTTGCAGGATTCAGTTTCTCACAGGCTCTTGGACTGAGGGCCTCAGTTTCTTAACAACTTTTGGCCGGGACCTCCCTTGGTTCTTTGCTGTGTGGGCCTCTCCAAAGGGCAGCTTATGTGGTATTTGGTTTCCTTTGGAGCAAGTGAGCAAGAGTGTGAGAGAGAGTGAGCCCACAGTATGGAAGCCATAGTTTTGGGGTTTTTTTTAACCTAACCTTGGATATCACATTCTCTCACTTCTGCCATATTTCGTTTATTAGAAATGAATCAGTAAATCCAGCCCACATGCAAAGGAAGGGAATTATACACAGTCTGAGCATCAGAAAGTGCAGATCCCTGGGGATCATCTTAGTGGCTGCCTACTGCATGTGTGTTCAGTGTGTAAATTTCAATGAGCTGTACACTCAAGGCATGTACTTTTCTGTATATTCATTATACTTAAAAAGTGTGATTGAATAATTAATTAACAGAATCTCTGGATCTCACAAAAGAGGCCTTTGGCCTTCAGATAGACTTTACTAAACTGCAGGTTCTTAAATTTAAGTCTAGCCTCCGGAAACAGAAGCCTTTTTTCTAACTGGTTTCTGCCAAACTGGGCTTACTACAACATCACTAGGTCTTTGCTCTTCTATCCTGTACATTATCACAGTACACATAGCTGTAGCTGCCACTGCCTCTGAAAACCCATGAACCCTGAAAGACAGAGGAGTTCTTTCCAGTTGGACAAGCATGGGGCCTGGTGCTTCTTGTGTCATAGAAAGGAAAAGTGGCTCGGTCATGATGAGGTCAAGACCTGGGCTTCCTGTGGCAAACCCCACAGTCAAATTCAGTCAGAGCAGGAAAACCTCTGAGATGGTGAAGAATGGTAATTGTATTATTTAAAGTCAGCCTCTAGTACTGACACACATTTAAAATGGAAAAAAACATGAAGATTCCTTGGGCAAGCATCAGAACAATTGCTGTGGGCCAAAATTCATAAATATGCTATACACTGTCCCTGATTTTAGGGTTGGCCTGTTTCTAGTCACTGTTTATCTTTACTCTTACGGAAATGTCCCCAGGACTGTGGACATGCATAGAGGCAGGAAAGAAGGGAATAAATGAAGGAAGTCTTATCCTAGGTGATGAGAATAAAATAGTGATCCTGAAAAGGCTTGAGAAATGTTAATAAAGGAGCTGCCAGTTAAAACACACTCTGTTATTTCTCACTATAAAAGAAGCCGTTGGCTTCTTCTCAATAACCACCCTGTCATTTGTTCTAAACCATGGCTGGATGGCCCATCAACAGAGCACACAACCTGGTGGCCTGCTTTTGCTTAATGTCTGTTTTGTTCATCCATGGCAAAGTGTTTAAGAAAAACATCCACCCCAACTTTTTTTTTTTTAGTACTTTTTGTGCTTTCAGTTTACTATGTCAGTTTTTTCCAATGGTATTTACAAGAAGCGCTCTTAAGAACCGAAGTTCATTTAGAGAGCCATTAAAAAGTCTGCTACTCAATGAGTTCATGACTATTGATAACAGCCACCTACTGCCTGCATTGCTGCCTTAGCCCTTAACTGGGCCCACACTTCCACCTTGCCCTCCTGCAATCCATTCTCAGCTTAGTGGCCGGAGTGACCTTTTTAAAACATGTATTTTGTCATTCCTCTGCTCCAAACTCACAGGTAAAGCCAGACTTTTGCAATGGCCCATCAGGCCCCAAATGATCTGGGCCCTGGCCCTCTCTCTGATCTTTCTCCCTAGAATCCCTCCCTACTCTGTTGAAGGGTCGCTGAGCTCCTGGCTCTAACTCAAACTTCCCTGGCAGGTTCCACCTTAGGGCCTTTGCCTGTAGCCCCCTGTGCCCAGGAGGTTCTTCCCCTTGACAGCTTCATAGCCAACTACCTTACTTCCTACTCATTGTTGCTAACTTGTCACCTCTTAATGACATTTAACTTGTCTACCCTATTCAAAATGGCATGGTGGCCTACCTCCCAACACTCACAAATGTCCATGTCATCTTCAGCATGCTGCATTATACATATGGTGGTATTTGTTATTTATTTTTTATTGAATGTCTTCCCTCTTTAGACGGTAAGCTCTGCCAGGTTAGGTGTTTTATTGACTGTTTTATTTATTGATGTAGCTCAGGATTCCTCAATCTCAGCACTATTGACATTTTGTGCTGAGTAATTCTTTGTTGTGGGGGCTGTCATGTGTGTTGTAGGATGTTTTGCAGCAACTATGGGTTCTACCCATTAGCACTTCTCCTAACTGTGACACCCATAAATGTCTTCAGACATTGCCAAATATCCCCTATGGGGTAAAATCACTCTCCACTGAGGATCACTGATATATCCCAAATGCCTGGCCCCAGGTAGATACTCAATAAATATTTGCTGAAGGAATGAATGCAGGGAGAGCTAGACAGCATCACAGAAGTGTGCAAAATAATTTAACTATTACCTCATGAAAAGCTGCTGCCTTTTATACATTTTAAATAGAAGCACTATTTTCATCCATTAGTCAAATAAGCATTTCAAAGGCCAGAGACAATATTCATTCAGCAAAAAATGAATTAAATGGACAAAAATTAGGTCAAACCAAAACCAGATACATATGCAAATTAACTCTCTTAGCAGTAGTTTCCAAATTCAAAGTGCCAAACCTGAAATTTTATTGCAAAGGTTTACAAAATACAATAAAATAAAGAGTTTGAAATGATGCAATTTCATCAAAATGTTAATTCTGATCACCACTGTATCAATGATGTAGATTTTAACCATAATAGCCTAATATTAATCTTCTTCACAAAGAAAATCACAGCCTAAGCCTTAAATGCATTCAGTAAAATGTGAATTAGACTTTGCAAAGATTTCTGATTTCTCCCTAGGTTTAAAATTCAAGTCGTTGGTTATATGTAAGCGAGTTAATTCTAAGCCTAAAATTACAATGTACTTTAATCCTTTCTCTGCAATTCAAATATTTACTTGACAATGCCATACCAATTGTGCCCTCCAAATTATTCCTTGTAGTGAAGCATTTTTAGTCCAAGACACTTGATTGGGTCTGCTTCTCCTCTAAGTTTGTTTTTTTCCCCTCTACCCCATTCTCCACAAGTCCATAATTAATGTTACAATTGGCAAATCCCACTCTGAGCAGTAAGAAAATCTTTTTCCACACTTCAACATACGTTTGTATAAGACAATTTTTTTGGTTTGTTTTAATGGAGGTCACAAATACAGTATACTAAGGGAGTCATTGGCTTGGACATTTTATCTTCCTTGATAAGGGAGACATGTTGAATTTCAAAACTGTTTGACTGTTTTAAATAACTGTTTCTTTAAAAACATAGTTTTCAAATTCTTTTTGGGAAGATGATGTTCTAGTTATCTATTGCAGCCTAACAAACGTAATGGCTTAATGTAATAATTAATATAAATAATTGGTTATCTCTCATGGTTCTGTAGGTTGACTGAACTCATCCAGATGGTTCTCACTGGGGTCTGTCTTGTGGCTGCAGTTCAATGGCAGCTGCGGCTGGAGCCATCTGAAGGCTTGATTGAGGAGATATCCAAGATGGCTTCTTTTGTCATATGTTGTTGCCTGGACTTGGACAGCTGCCATAGTGAAAGCTGGCCAGGCATCTCTCCCTCTCTCCACACTACTTCTCCACATGGATGGCTTCTATATGACATGGTGGTCACAGGGTTGTTGGACTTCTAACATGGTATCCGGCTTTCCTCAAAGTGAGCATTCCAAGATATCCATGTGGACTTTATAAGGCTTCTAGGATTATTCTGACCAAGGCCCAGAAGTCATACAAAGCTATCTCTATCTCTACAATATTCTGTTAAAAGTGAGTCACAAGATTAGTCCAGATTCAAGGGGAGGAGACTAGACAGAATGTGAATATTAGAAGGTGTGTTACTTGAAGGTCATCTTTAGATCCCTAGTATCACAGACAAAAAAAGATAAGCAATACAATTATCCAGTTTTTAAGGATGAAGTCTTTAATACATTGCTTAATAAGGATCTTTTCTTAAATTCTCTTTATTTTCCCTTTGGCTTAAACTGGTAGTCTTTTTGATCAGCAGTGTAACGTCTCACTCAAGGGTGAAAATGGTAGTAGGAGAAACAATATCTATAGAATTGGTAGAAGCCAAGTCCAATGCTACTGGGCAAGTGGACTCTTTAATTCATCTCCTCTATGTTTCTGTTACCCTAATGACTATGGTGGCTTCATTATGCCCATTTTCTTCCATAGCATTCCCTGAACATGACTTAGAAATGACAAATAGTCCCATTCCTCTTCTTTGCAGGTACCAGGGTGGAAGCAAGCTTCAGCGGCAATGAGCAGAGTGTAAATGCTTCATATAGTCCATGACAGATTACACTTAACTGTAATATGTTGACCTTTTCTGAATGCTTGGTCATTTGCTGGACATTTCCACTCTCTCCAGCTAATGGCTTCAGTGCCTGTTAGGAATTGATTCAGTGGATAATTATAATCTCTCTTCAGAGTGTTGCAAAGGTCAACGAGATAAAGCAATAAACCCCCATTTCAAGTGCAGTCCTGTGGCGACTTTTCTGAAAATGAAGGGCAACACTTCTTCCTTCATCTTTGCCAGCAATTGACTAGGCTGACGCTACGTTATGGCTTGTTATCAAATCTGAAAAATCTCAGTGTTCTTTTCACATCTCCAGGTTTAGGTGGGAAGAGAAAATAAAAAGCAAGCAAGTGGCTTCATCACAAAATACCCTAGGATTGGGGAAACGCCCTTCTGAGCAAAGATCATCGGAGAAACACTGTTAATCAGTTCTTATTTTCATGAATAGTGACTGTCCACCAGCAGCGAGTTTAAGGGCTGAGACTCACTAGCTTGCAGAAAACAATTATTTTTTTTTTTAGTTTTCTTTTTTAATATTTTTATTATACTGTAAGTTCTGGAGTACATGTGCAGAATGTGCAGGTTTGTTACATAGGTATACACGTGCCATGGTGGTTTGCTGCACCCATCAACCCATCGCCTATATTAGGTATTTCTCCTAATGCTATCCCTCCCCTAGCCCCCCACCCCCCGACAGGGCCCGGTGTGTGATGTTCTCCTCCCTGTGTCCATGTGTTCTCATTGTTCAACTCCCACTTATGAATGAGAACATGAGGTGTTTGGTTTTCTGTTCCTGTGTTAGTTTGCTGAGAATGATTGTTTCCAGCTTCATCCATGTCCCTGCAAAGGACCTGAACTCATCCTTTTTTATGGCTGCATAGTATTCCTTGGTGTATATGTGCCACGTTTTCTTTATCCAGTCTATCATTGATGGGCATTTGGGTTGGTTCCAAGCCTTTGCAATTGTGAACAGTGCCGCAATAAACATATGTGTGGATGTGTCTTTATAGTAGAATGATTTATAATCCTTTGGGTATACACCCAGTAATGGGATGGCTGGGTCAAATGGTATTTCTGGTTCCATATCCTTGAGGAATTGCCACACTGTCTTCCACAATGGTTGAACTAATTTACACTCCCACCAACAGTGTAAAAGCATGCCTATTTCTCCACATCCTCTCCAGCATCTGTTATTTCCTGACTCTTTAATGATCGCCATTTTAACTGGTGTGAGATGGTATCTCATTGTGGTTTTAATTTGCATTTCTCTAATGACCAGTGATGATAAACTTTTTTTCATATGTTTGTTGGCGGCATAAATGTCTTCTTTTGAGAAGTTTCTGTTCATATCCTTCGCCCATTTTTTGATAGGGTTGTTTGGTTTTGTCTTGTCAATCTGTTTAAGTTCCTTATAGATTCTGGATATTAGCGCTTTGTCAGATGCATAGATTGCAAGAATTTTCTTCCACTATGTAGGTTGCCTGTTCACTCTGATGATAGTTTCTTTTGCTGTGCAGAAGCTCTTTAGTTTAATCCCATTTGTCAATTTTGGCTTCTGTTGCCATTGCTTTTTGTGTTTTAGCCATGCAGTCTTTCCCCATGCCTATGTCCTGAATGGTGCCTGGTTTGCCTCTAGGGTTTTTATGGTTTTAGGTCTAACATTTAAGTCTTTAATGCATCTTGAGTTAATTTTTGTATAAGGTGTAAGGAAGGGGTATAGTTTCAGTTTTTTGCATATGGCTAGCCAATTTTCCCAACACCATGTATTAAATAGGGAATCCTTTCCCCATTGCTTGTTTTTGTCCGGTTTGTCAGAGATCAGATGGTTGTAGATGTGTGGCACTATTTATGAAGCATCTGTTCTGTTCCATTGGTCTATATATCCGTTTTGGTACCAGTACCATGCTGTTTTGCTGTTCTGGTTACTGTAGCCTTGTAGTATAGTTTGAAGTCAGGTAGCATGACGCCTCCAGCTTTGCTCTTTTTGCTTAGGATTGTCTTGGCTATATGGGCTCTTTTTTGGTTCCATATGAAATTTAAAGTAGTTTGTTCTAATTCTGTGAAGAAAGTCAATGGTAACCTGATGGAGATAGCATGGAATCTATAAATTACTTTTGACAGTATGGCCATTTTCATGGCATTGACTCTTCCTATCCATGAGCATGGAATGTTTTTCCATTTGTTTGTGCCCTCTCTTATTTCCTTGAGCAGTGGTTTGTAGTTCTCCTTGAAGAGGTCCTTCACATCCCTTGTAAGTTGTATTCCTAGGTATTTTATTCTCTTTGTAGCAATTGTGAATGGGAGTTCACTCATGATTTGGCTCTCTGTTTGTCTATTATTGGTGTATAGGAATGCTTGTGATCTTTGCACATTGATTTTGTTTCCTGAGACTTTGCTGAAGTTGCTTTTCAGCCTAAGACGCTTTTGGGCTGAGACAATGGAGTTTTCTAAATATACATTTATGTCATCTGCAATCAGAGACAATTTGACTTCCTCTCTTCCTATTTGAATACCCGTTATTTCTTTCTCTTGCCTGATTGCCCTGGCCCAGAACTTCCAACACTATGTTGAATAGCAGTGGTGAGAAAGGACATCCTTGTCTTGTGCCGGTTTTTAAAGGGAATGCTTCAGCTTTTGCCCATTCAGTATGATACTGGCTGTGGTTTTTTCATAAATAGCTCTTATTATTTTGAGATACATTCCATCAATACCTAGTTTATTGAGAGTTTTTAGCATGAAGAGGTGTTGAGTTTTATTGAAGGCCTTTTCTGCATGTATTGAGATAATCATGTGGTTTTTGTCATTGGCTATGTTTATATGATGGATTACATTTATTGATTTGCATACGTTGAACCAGCCTTGCATCCCAGGGATGAAGCCGACTTGATCATGGTGGATAAGCTTTTTGATGTGCTGCTGGATTTGGTTTGCTAGTATTTTATTGAGGATTTTCGCATTGATGTTCATCAGGGATATTGGCCTGAAATTCTCTTCTTTTGTTGTGTCTCTTCCAGGTTTTGGTATCAGGACGATGCTGGCCTCATAAAATGAGTCAGGGAGGAGTCTCTCTTTTTCTATTGTTTGGAATAGTTTCAGAAGGAATGGTACCAGCTCCTCTTTGTAACTCCGATAGAATTTGGCTGTGAATATGTCTAGTCCTGGGCTTTTTTTGGTTTGTAGGCTACTAATTACTGCCTCAATTTCAGAACTTGTTATTGGTCTATTCCGAGATTCGACATCTTCCTGGTTTAGTCTTGGGAGGGTGTATGTGTCCAGGAATTTATCCATTTCTTCTAGATTTTCTAGTTTATTTGCATAGAGGTGTTGATAGTATTCTCTGATGGTAGTTTATATTACTCTGGGATCAGTGGTGATATCCCCTTTATAATTTTTTGTTGTGTCTATTTGATTCTTCTCTCTTTTCTTCTTTATTAGTCTGGCCAGCAGTCTGTCTATTTTGTTAATCTTTAAAAAAGAAAAAAAAACGTGCTGGGTGCAGTGGCTCACGCCTGTAATCCCAGCACTTTGGGAGGCCGTAGCAGGTGGATCACAAGGTTAGGAGATTGAGACCATCCTGGCTAACACGAAGAAACCCCATCTCTACTAAAAATACAAAAAAAATTAGCCGGGCATGGTGGTGGGCATCTGTAGTCCCAGCTACTTGGGAGGCTGAGGCAGGAGAATGGCATGAACCTGGGAGGCAGAGCTTGCAGTGAGCCAAGATTGCACCACTGCACTCCAGACTGGGCAACAGAGCGAGACTCCGTCTCAAAAAAAAAAAAAATGTGAACCAAGATCGTGCCACTGCACTCCAGCCTGGGCAACAGAGCAAGACTCTGTCAAAAAAGCTAGCTCCTGGATTCATTGGTTTGTGAAGGGTTTTTCATGTCTCTGTCTCCTTCAGTTCTGCTCTGAAACCCTACAAGCCAGAAAAGAGTGGGGGCCAATATTCAACATTCTTGAAAGAATTTTCAACCCAGAATTTCATATCCAGCCACACTAAGCTTCATAAGCGAAGGAGAAATAAAATCCTCTACAGAAAAGCAAATGCTGAGAGATTTTGTCACCACCAAGCCTGCCTTACAAGAGCTCCTGAAGTAAGCACTAAATATGGATAGGAAAAACTGATACCAGCTACTGCAAAACATACCAAATTGTAAAGGCCATTGACACCGTGAAGAAACTGCATCAACTAATGGGCAAAATAACCAGCTAGCATCATAATGACAGGATCAAATTCACAAATAACAATATTAACTTTAAATGTAAATGGGCTAAATGCCCCAATTAAAAGACACAGACTGGCGAATTGGATAAAGAGTCAAGACCCATCGGTGTGCTGTATTCAGGAGACCCATCTCATGTGCAAAGACACACATAGGCTCAAAATAAAGGGATGGAGGAATATTTACCAAGCAAATGGAAAGCAAAAAAAAAAAAAGCAGGGGTTGCAATTCTAGTTCTGATAAAAATAGACTTTAAACCAACAAAGATCAAAAAAGACAAAGAAGAGTATTACATAATGGTAAAGGGATCAATGCAACAAGAAGAGCTAACTATCCTAAATATATATGCACCCAATACAGGAGCACCCAGATTCATGAAGCAGGTTCTTAGAGACCTACAAAGAGACTTAGACTCCCACACAATAATAGTGGGAGACTTTAACACCCCACTGTCAGTAGTAGACAGATCAATGAGACAGAAAATTAACAAGGATATTCAGGACTTGAACTCAGCTCTGGACCAAGTGGACCTAATACACATCTACAGAACCCTCCACCCCAAATCAACAGAATATACATCCTTCTTGGTACCACATAGCACTTATTCTAAAATTGACCACTTAATTGGAAGTAAAACACTCCTAAGCAAATGAAAAGAACAGAAATCATTACAAACAGTCTCTCAGACCACAGTGCAATCAAATTAGAACTCAGGATTAAGAAACTCACTCAAAACCACACAACTACATGGAAACTGAACAACCTGCTCCTGAATGACTACTGGGAAAATAACAAAATTAAGGCAGAAACAAGTTCTTTAAAACCAATGAGAACAAAGACACAAGACACAACTTACCAGAATCTCTGAGACACAGCTAAAGCGGTGTTTAGAGGGAAATTTATAGCACTAAATGCCCACAGGAGAAAGCAGGAAAGATCTAAAATTGACACCCTAACATCACAATTAAAAGAACTAGAGAAGCAAGAGCAAACAAATTCAAAAGCTAGCAGAAGACAAGAAATAACTAAGAATTGTTTTCTAATTTCTTTGAAGAACGCTGAAGTACAGGAAGAATAAAGAATCCTATGTGTGCATGTGTATACCCATGAAGTGAGAGTTCAACACTATGAAGTGAGAGTTCAACACTGTTTCACTGCACTTTATCGCCTTTCTTTCTAAATAAAAATACTGCACATCCATCTTTCAAGAAGTTACATTAGAATGTTATTTCACTGTTTATAAAATGCTTTCATATGTAATCCTAAATTACCTCTGTTTTCCTTTTAAAAGCCTAACATTTCACCCTTCACAGATTGATTATTTACTTCCATTTTTGAAATTTAAAATTGTACAGTTAACTTGTTTAGACTTAATGTTTCTAAAGCAAGATTCTCGAATTCTGACATGAAATATCTTCCTACATATCTTTGTTATTTGAGTTTTATTTTGTTTGGTTTTCCCAATGTCTGAGCAAATCTTGATTCCCATGATGACTGTTAAATTAGTATCAGTGTCTGGGTTCATCAAGAAATCTATTTAAGTTGGTCTAGAAAGAAAATATACATTAGCACATGCCAATATGATTATATATTATAATTTTTAAATGGTATAAATATAAAATGAGAAAGGCATTTAAAGAAACATGTCAAACTATGCTGCTCTAAAAAACAGAGAACACCAGCCTTAGCTTCATTGTTTAGAGGGATTGTAATACTGGAAACTCTACCTCATTGGAAGCTGGGCTTCTTCCTCACATAGCTTTGCTTTCTGCATCAAATGACATCCAATGAAATCATAAAATGGTATATAATGCCAAAGCATGCTCTAAAACCATTGATGCTGGTGTCCCAAACATGTTTCAAGGGACTCTGCATCAAAAAAGGATAAGAATAAACCTTTGTCAAAGAAATGAAGAGAGAGGAATTGAAGGCAAGTTTGACAGGAGTGGTTTAGGGTAGGATAGACTATATTCCCCTGCAGAGATGAGCACTGTGATTCAGGGATGAAAATGATGTTTTTAACAAACTCAACCATTTAAAAAATATTGTCACAGCAATTTGAAATTACTCTTCAAAAGTAGAAAATTTATGTGGAATTTAGTATGAAATAATACTTATCTAAATGTAGTTATAACTGGATTCTTAATGGTCTCTAGCTGTTTTAGGCCATCCCAGAAAGAAGTTAATTTGATGGCTTAAAAGTGTCATCTTCTATTCCTGATTCTAATCATTCTGTTGAGGCTATTTTTAAATGGTGTAGATCATTGTTTTAAATGGTGTAGATCATTGTTTTGTTTTGTTTTTCCTCCTAGGATCGTTGGGTTAGGAATTTTAAGGGATCCAAAACATTATAGAGTTAATTTTTCTTGTTTGGCAGGTTATAATTACATAATTATAGACGAGAAAAAAAGAGAAGAAAAGCATGTCCCTAGTCCTGGTGATAAATAACATATTGGAATATTTTATTTCAATTCAGACAACTTCATTTATTCATTAAATAGTAAAATTAAAGTCAATCTAGATTATGTGTCAGATAATTTACAAAGCATTACTATAGCTGTAAAGACTTTAAATATAATCAACATATTTTGAAAATAGTTCCCATTTTCAAATTAATAAAGTGTGCTGAGGAGTCCTTCTTCCAGAATTTCTTGAAAGAAGAAATTCTGCATGAGGTTAAGTCATGAATGGAAACTACTTTTTTTTTTTTTTTTTTTTTTGTGAGCCAGAGTTTCACTCTTGTCACCGAGGCTGGAGTGCAGTGGTGCAATCTTGGCTCACTGCAACCTCCACCTCCTGGGTTCAAGCAATTCCCTTGCTTCGGCCTCCAGAGTAGCTGGGATTACAAGCATGTGCCACCATGCCCGGCTAATTTTTGTATTATTAGTACAGACAGGGTTTCACTATGTTGGCCAGGCTGGTCTCAAACTCCTGACCTCAGGTGATCCACCCGCCTCGGCCTCCCAAAGTGCTGGGATTACAGGCATGAGCAACTGCACCCGGCCTGAAACTACTTTTAAGATACATATGGATTACTAAGCTAGAAGTCTCTTTATGCATGTGGCAGGCAAAATGTAAGATGGACCCCAATGATCTCTCCACTTGTATTCTTAGATTTGTGTATTTCCTTCCCTTTTAGTTTGGGTGGGGCCTGTGACTTGCTTTCTAACCAATAAAATGTGGTAAAGGTGACGGGATGTCCATCCATCATTATGTTACATGAGATTGTAGCTTTCATCATGTCAGCAGACTCCCTCCCTTGCTGGCTCTGATGAAGCAAGTTGCCACGTTGGTGAGATGGGGAGATCCACATGGCAAGGAACTGAGAGTGGCCTCAAGCCAACTACCCACAAGGAACTGAGGCCCTTGGTCCAACAGCCTAAAGAGGATTTTCATCATGCCAAAAATCACTGAAGTGAGTTTGGAAGTGAATCCTTCCCAAACGAGCTCCCATATGGGACCCCAGCCCTGGCCAAAACATTGCAGCCTCAAGAGAGAACATGAAAAAGATGACCAAGCTAAGCCATGCTTATATTTCTAACTCACATGAACTGTGAGATAATAAGTGGGTATTGTTTTAAGCAACTAGCTTTCTGGGCTTTCTGGGAATTTGTTATGCAACACTAGGTAACTGATAAAGCTAATGTCTATGGTCGGCAGAATAATGATCGCCTGAAAAATGTCCTCATACTAATTTCCAGAGTCTGTGACTTTCTTTGCATATATGATTAAGTCAGAGATGAGATGATTATCTTTGATTATCCAGGTGGACCCAATATAATCACTAGTCCTTTTAAGTTAAAGAGGAAGTGAAAGTCAGGGAAAGATTTGAAGATGATACTGCTGGTTTTGAAGATGAAGGAAGGGACCATGAGCCAAGGAATACAGGCAGCCTCTAGAAGTTGAAAAGTCTTTAGAATGAGTGCAGCCCAGCTGACACCTTGATTTTAGCCCAGCAAAACTCATTAGAGACTTCTGACTTCCAGAAATATAAGATAGTACATTTGCATCATGTTTAAGCCACTAAGTTTGTGGTAATTCGTTATAGCAGCCATAGGAATCTAATACAGGGTCTATGCTTATTAGCATCAAGGATGACTAACAAGAGTCCTTCTCCAGGGCCTTGCCTGCTCCTAACAGCTACTGCACTGAAGCGGTGCATATCAGCTTCCCTTTCCAGAGTGAACAAATAAATTCAGTGCCACTGAGCATTGCTCTAGAGAAAATTAGCATTTGTCCCACAGCCTTATGGGCCTATTCATTCTCCCACCCAACCTACCACCTTACAGTTTTTTGTCTGACAATTATCCCTCATTCTCTTGTTTACTGTTTTATTGTTTCATCTCAAGATTCTAAGCCTCCCTGTCTTAGTCAAAGGGTGTTTGGACTCAAATAATATGATCTAATCAAACCAGTTCATCATGCTAACTGACTTCAAACTATACTACAAGGCTAGAGTAATAAAAACAGCATGGTACTGGTACCAAAATGGATATATAGACCAATGCAACAGAACAGAGGCCTCAGAAATAACACCACACATCTACAACCATCTGATCTTTAACAAACCTGACAAAAACAAGCAATGGGGAAAGGATTCCCTATTTAATAAATGGTGTTGGGAAAACTGGCTAGCCACATGCAGAAAGCTCAAACTGGATCCCTTCCACCTTATACAAAAATGAACTCAAGATGGATTAAAGACTTAAACGTAAGACCTAAAACCATAAAAACCCTAGTAGAAAACCTAGGCAATAACATTCCGGACATTGGAATGGGGAAAGGCTTCATGACTAAAACACCAAAAGCAATGGCTACGAAAGCCAAAATTGACAAATGGGATCTGATTAAACTAAAGAGCTTCTGCACAGCAAAAGAAACTACCATCAGAGTGAACAGGCAACCTACAGAATGAGAGAAAATTCTTGCAATCTATTCACCTGACAAAGGGCTAATATCCAGAATCTACAAGGAACTTAAACAGATTTACAAGAAAAAAACAAACAACTCCATCAAAAAGTGGGCGAAGGATATGAACAAACACTTCTCAAAAGAAGATATTTATGCGGCCAACAAACATGACAAAAGCTCATCATCACTGGTCATTAGAGAAATGCAAATCAAAACCACAATGAGATACCATCTCATACCAGTTAGAATGGCGATCATTAAAAAGTCAGGAAACAACAAATGCTGGAGAGGATGTGGAGAAATAGGAATGCTTTTACACTGTTGGTGGGAGTGTAAATTAGTTCAACCATTGTGGAAGACAGTGTGGTGATTCCTCAAGGGTCAGAACTAGAAATACCATTTGACCCAGCAATCCCATTACTGAGTATATACCCAAAGGATTATAAATCATTCTACTATAAAGAAACATGCACACGTATGTTTATTGTGGCACCATTCACAATACCAAAGACTTGGAACCAACCCAAATGCCCATCAATGATAGACTGGATAAAGAAAATGTGGCACATATACACCATGGAATACTATGCAGCCATAGAAAAGGATGAGTTCATGTCCTTTGCAGGGACATGGATGAAGCTGCAAACCATCATTCTCAGCAAACTAACACAAGAGCAGAAAACCAAATACCGCATGTTATCACTCATAAGTGGGAGTTGAATAATGAGAACACATGGACACAGGGAGGGGAACATCACACACCAGGGCCTGTTGGGTGGTGGGGGGCTAGGGGAGGGATAGCATTAGGAGAAATACCTAATGTAAATGACAGATTGATGGGTGCAGCAAACCACCATGGTACGTGTATACCTATGTAACAAACCTGCATGTTCTGCACATATACCCCAGAACTTAAAGTATAATAAAAAATAAATAAATAAATAAATAGAAGTTGGGAATAAGTAGAGCACGCAGGTCTTGGAGGGTGCAATCATAAGACAACTATATTCTTTCCCCGCATTGTCCACTTATAACAGCTCCCCAGGGCCAGTTCCTCCAAGCCCTCAACAAAATCTCAGGTAGTTCCCATAAACATATTGAACAGGTTCAGAAAGTTATCCAGTCACTTGTACACTTGTAATCACAATTAACACTTGATTGTCATGTAATAGTCAAAACTTCCAACTCCACAAAATTCCTCCTTTTTGCCTAGTTCAGGCCTAGGAAGCCTGCAGTGGGTTAAGGGGCATTGTCAATGTTTTCTCTACTGCCCCAGCATTCAGCTCCTTCCAGATTGAAATGAGGCCAAGATGGTGAGGTAAAAGGCAAGAAAGTTCTCACTTGATTGGCACCAGTGTAATCCAGCATTACTTTCTTCTGTCCGTGGAAGGTGATGTTGGTGGACTCTTTCCTTGTGTTTGCTTTCATGGATTCCTGGAAGATTTCTTTGTTGAGTTACTCCTATTGCAGCCCGCTTGTGTCAGGCAGAAACCAAGGGCGGGCTATGCTCAGTGCTCCTTGGATTCTGTATATTTCTGCGAAGGCCCTCTCATCCCTCAAAGTAGCTCAGTTGATCAGGAGGTCCCAGGCCAATGTTTCTACTGCATCTTCCAAGAGTCTCATACTTTGGGCCTGCCTCAGTGTAAGGGTAGTAACTGCACAAATGTAGCCTCTGCTCTTTGAGCATGTGCTGCTTCTGACAGCCTCTTCCTGCTGCCTTTTTTTTCAGTTTGTAATGAAGATATGAGTCAGATCCCAAGATGAGTAAGGGGTAAGGGTTCCAAACTCTGGTTTTCAACACCTTTGAAAATCTTGCGGCACCCTTCTTTGGCATGTGGGAATGATTGGCATGTATTGGCATGGGGCCTCAGCTGATTCTGTCTCAGTTCATCTTAGCACCCTGTAACATATGAACACATATGGCTTCCATCTTTTTTTCCACCTAGGTTTGGATTAGGAGTCCTAAGGGATCTGTAGTGCTATGGAGTTAATTCTTCTCTGGAAGATGATGATTATGTACTTAAGATGAGAGAAAACAAAAGTAAAAGCTCTTTCTCAGAATGATGATCGATATCCTGCTGAGATCATTTATGTGAATGATTTTATTTCTAGCAAAATGGTGAACAACCAGCCCTCAGGAATGGTGGAAACCAGGACTGTTCAGGGGATTACTGGCATCTGTAATGTTTACTCTGGTGCTCAGTCGTGAATGTGACTTGGCTCCCAACTCTCTTAGTCTCTGTGTCTCTAAGTTCTGATTCTGGAGAAAGGATATCTGATTGGCTCATTCCAACATTCAGGTCCAATGAGCTGGGCCCATTGCTTGCTCCTGAGGACTCTGGGATCAGACTCAGACAGGACAAGCCAGGCAGGGCAGATAGTTCCACTAACATGGCTACCACGCTCACACATTCTTTGGTCAATGGGGTTATAGAGCATTTCTTATCTGATAAACGTTTCTTGTTGCCTGTGAACGAGGAAAACTTGAACAAAAACTAAGAAACAGTGCTTTGTTTCTGTTTGTGCTGCTTTCCACATATTTGTCTCATATCTGTTATCCTGGAGATGGACACCCAGTTTGCCTCTGACACTTCACCCCCATGCATTCTGCTGCAAGTAACATCCTCATCCACCTCCCCTTAAAGGCTAGCAGCAGAATTTTTGGGGGGATATAAAACCAGAGTTGACTGGCTTGGTCATGGTGCTTGTGACACTGAAGTTGACCTATTGAAGCTAGATTGCTTCCCCAAACTGCTACACGTGTGTATATTCCCACCAGCAATGCAGATCCTTCATCTTATGCACTGAATTCTCATTTGATTGCACTGTTGCTCTGTCCACTGCAGTCATTGGGCTCCCTGCCAGCCTTGGTGACTGGGAACTTGTGGGAGCAGACTGGCCACCATCAGCACTGTGCTACCTTCCTGCCCCCACCAGCACCATCATCCTAAGTGTTCAGAGTCTTCCTGGAGTTTTAGTTCTATTACTCCTTTCCCTGCCCTCTTGATTCCTCTCTTCCCCTACCCCACTCCCCAACTACATGGTCCAGCCCAGCCAGAGTGAGTGGGCCGAGCCACAAATCAGTTAGTGCTAGAAGTGTGATTTGCAGTGACTTCTTCCAGGGAACAGCCTTGCAAAAGATCTCCTTCCCCTTACTTATGTGGGCAATAAATCAGAAAAGCAGGTAATTAATTACAACCTAAAGTAGAAAAAATCAGCTCTTCTTCAACAAAATGGCAACTGACCTTTCTCCTAGTCATGATTTAAAAAAGAACAAAGAAGGGAAGAAAGAAAAACTATTATAATCCATAATATGATTTTTCCTCAAGGGTTTGAGTTACGTGGAGGGAATTAGATAAACCATTATATTACATTGTTCTGCTTTTAGCCATGAAGTGCGGCCTATTGTGAGTAATATTTCCCAACCGGTGCCTGTCTGAAATATTTATCAGCCCAGGGTCCTAGCATTGTGACCAGGGACTTACTAAGCCACACAGTATGGGAACCGATGTTTGCTGGGATGCTATTTTTTTCATAAGAAACCTACAATAACATTTTTGTCTCTGGATGCTGATCCTGAGAGGTAATGACGTTCCATGAACTGACAGAATTTTTAAAAATCTCTTCCCCTGACAGAAAACTACAGAGAAATTTTTAAGCAGCAAAGAAAAATAGGCTAAAGGAAAATCAGAAGGAGAGAATCAATTCTGAGAGCAGCAAAAAATATAGAGATTTGGGTGATGCTTCTAAAACTGTTCTTCCCTTCCTGGGTTTTATTTTAAGGTCCTGCTGTTTGACAGCACAGATAATATTGCCCAATGTAAACTTACTAGGAAGCTTTCAATTGGGCAGTTTGTTAAACTCAGGAAACGCTTCATTTTGGCTTTTGTGTGGTCTGAAAGCCTACATCTGAGCTATTTGGTTTACTCTATCCTGGGAGTCCAGGGAGCATTCACTAACGCATCACACATTTTGTTTTGAAAGAAAACTCTTACTAGTTAGAGTCCGGGCTCAGTGCATATCATAAATATGTTTGTTTTTCTCTCTTACAGAAGCTGCAAAGAATCGATACTCCTCACTGTCATTCAGCCTTACCCTGTAAGTGTTCTGTGAATAAAAGTGCCACTTAATGTTCTCAGGCTTCTTGTTTCTTCTGCCCACTCCAGTAAAACCATAATGATGAATAACAGCAGAGAAAAATAACATGCACTCACAATATGGGTTCAAAAATCTTGACTATTTTTGTAATTTATACTCCATGTTAGCAAAGTCATTCATTGAAGAGAAAAGGGAGTAATACATTTTCTAAAGTTCTTGAAAGACAACCAGCTATTCCAGTCCTATGCAATGGTCACATTTGTAAATGACACTAAATTCAAGACCTTCTTATGCTTTTCAGCTTAAGAAACACAAATCTCATGAGACTATCTAATTGTAGGAGGTCGATGCATGATTGTTATTCTTATCCCCATCTATTTGGCAGAGAACTGGATATTTTAGCAAAGCCTGCTTTAAGAATAGATGTTATATGACATATGGTGTCAGAATTCGATTTCAGCTATCATGGTTAGGAGGGTGGAAAGTGATTTAAAAACTGGACAGTTCTTGTGATTTAAAAAAAAAAAAAAAAACGACTTTATCATGGTATAATCTGCGTACCATAAAATTCATCCATTTTCAGTGTACAGTTCTATGGTCTTCATAAAATCCACTGAGGTATGCAACGATCACCCCATCCAGTTGGAGGACATTTCCATCCCCCCAATAAGATCCCTGTTCCCATTTACAATTAATCCCTGTTGCCACACTCAGTCCTAGGCAACCGCTAATTTCCTTTCTATTTGTATAGACTTGCCACTGCTTGCAAATTTCATACGTTGTCAGTTGAACTAAAAATTACCGAGGCAAATTCCTTTAGATTTTTCCCAAAATGGTTCCTGTCAGTCTGGCCTTCGTAAGGAGTGGCAGCGATTCCAGCCTGCTTAAGCTCCTATTTTCTTCCCCATAGAGTTGGAGCATTTCTATATCAATTAAAGTGCTCTGGTATTTGCTGATCTCCATCTTCTGACCAAACTCTTCATTTCCCCTGTCCCAGAATTTTTCCCCTAAGCTCTGTGGGCTAGGCATTTTAGACAGGAAATAATAAGGATCAGGATTCTGATAAGACCACAAATAGAACTAACCAAGACAACAAATTATGCCATCTTACTATGCATATTTATATTAAAAGCTCAGTTTAATATTGACTGTCACTGTTAACTCCATCTCTTTGACAGAACTTACACACATACACATACATTGGGATTTGAAAACTAAGGAGGCCCCAGGATGTTAGAGAACCACGACTTGAGATCTAGCTCACAGCAGTATAACAAACGAGTCAGCAGTGACTACCATAGCTGCTCAGAACCTTGGTCTCCCCAACTGTCTGATTCCGAGATTCCTTCCATGTGCTTCTATAAAAAATACAGCTGGGCTGTTTTTAGATTGTTTTGGTTAATCAAATTGTCATTTTCACTTACTTCACATCTATACACATTTCTTGATTTATTTGCAGTGGACAAATTCATTTGGGTAAAGCCAATGTAAATGTCTATAATAAGCATCGAACAACTATAAATTGAGATTGAACAACTATAAATTCCTGATGGAACTTCACGTTTGCATTGTCATTCCTGAATTCTCTTTCTATATTGTATAATCTATTAGAAATGCAAGATCAGGCAGGACCTTTGTGTTTTGTTTTTTGTTTGTTTGTTTGTTTGTTTTGCAATGTGGGATACTGTTTTACCTCATGCAGTAAACTTAGAAAAAGAAAGAAGAGTTTTACATGTAAGTTTATGGTTGTGTCTTGTGGCTTTACTTGCTGTTTGCCACTGGAGTCCATGTGACTTGTTATTCATTTGAATATTGATTACTATCAGTGAATCATGGCACTTCCTTTTAACAGATAATCTGGAATTTTCTAGGAGTTCCGATGGCTCTTGCCGTTGTGCTACATTGAAAGGCAACACTTAGCCACAATATTCAGGAGGAAGTGTCACATGTTCTTATAGCCAACAGCTGTACCTCTGCTCCAGAGTCACTTTCCCCTTGCCCAATCACCGCAGATAAATTCTCATCTTTGACTTTCCTTTGACCACTCTCCTTTGAGAAATGACTCCAGTCCCACCACCTCCTCGGCCTCGCTAAATAAATCCTTCTCACCTTTCAAGTCTCAGGCCAAATTATAAATGCTACCTCAAGGTTTTTCAACCTTGGTTTTGTTGACATTTGAACTGGAGAGTTCTCTGTTATGGGGACACGTCCTGTGCATTGTAGGATGTTTAGCAGCGTCCCTGGCCTGTACCTACTAGATGCCAGTAGCATCCTCTCCCCAAGTTGTGACAAACCAAAATGTCTCCAAACATTACCAAATGTCCCTTGGGAGCAAAATTACTCCCAGCTGAGAACCACTGTCCCACCTAAAGTCTTCCCTTTACTGTTCAAATCCCAAATGGCTTTTCTCTCCTCCGAGGTGTGGAAGTTGAAATTAAAGAATTAAAACCCCAAAGTTTCTTAAATGGATATCAGACATGGAGAGGAGAGCAGATGGGAAAAAACAAGACTGCAATCTTTTACTTATATTTTTGGGTTTGGATTTTACTACAAGCAAGTTGCTTTTTGTAAAAAAAAAAAAAAAAAATACTTATTGAGTTTCATTTATTTGTTAAACATCTTCTTGGCAATCAAGACTGACAAACAGAAACGGATGACCCAGCAGACCAAAAGAAAGTCCATAAGTTCTACTTTTATTACAGACAATAAAAATTAGCATTTTAATTTCTTTTGCAACTTGCTGGACAGCATTTTTAATGTTGTATTTCTTCTGCATAAGGTCCAGTAAAGATAGAGAGCCAATGTTTATACCTTCCGGCCACATTCCACATGTGCCCAGGGTACCTCAACATGACCCAACTGCAGAAATTGATCTCCAATGAGACCTAGGTCAAGGGGGAATGGGGGTGAGAGTCTTGGGATCCCTGAAATTCTTTGATAAGAAGTAATTCTTAATAGGTTGCTGCATTTTTTAAAAAAAGTATTATGGTAGGCTTTCCCCACCACCACGATTTTTACTGTTTTTCTTGGGAAAAAAAATACTAAGTGGAAGTATAGAAAGAAATACAGATGCAGAAAAATGTGTTGGCAAACTTTTCCCGCAGAGACAACCAGTGTAAACATTTTGACCTATTTCCTTCCAGTCTTTTTTTCTATGCCTTAGTTGAGATCATATTGTACATATAATTTTATTCTGCCTCTTTTACTAAATATATCATAAACATTTCCTATGTCATCAAAAACTCTTTATAAGCATCACTTAAATGGCTGCAAAACATTACACTGAACCAAGATTTCCTTAACCAACCCCCATCACTGGGCCTTTCACATCGTCTTTATTGTTTTGCTATTATAAATAATTCCGAAAAGAAAATCTTTATGTGTAAGTCTTAATCTGTAGTTAGTATTTCCCCAGGATGGAATTTTAGAAGGGGAATTTCTGGGTTACTCATGGGTTTTATTTGTTTGGCTCCGATATACCGTCTTCTTTCCTTGTACTGTTACCCTTTTTTATTATAGATCTTTCATTGGCCAGCTCCTTCCTTTTTTCCTTTGACTCTGCTTTCTACAGTTTCCAAGTCTAGAATTCCAAAGCCAATCTTACCTGAGACAGAGAGTATTTAAAGAGTTTCTACGGCTGGGCATGGTGGCTCACGCCTGTAATCCCAGCACTTTGGGAGGCCGAGGCGGGCAGATCACCTGAGGTCGGGAGTTCGAGACCAGCCTGATCAACATGGAGAAACCCCGTCTCTACTAAAAATACAAAATTAGCCAGGTGTGGTGGCACATGTCTGTAATCCCAGCTACTAGGGAGGCTGAGGCAGGAGAATCACTTGAACCTGGGAGGCAGAGGTTGCAGTGAGCCAAGATTGCACCATTGCACTCCACCCTGGGCAACAAGAGTGAAACTCTGTCTCAAAAAACAAAAAAGAGTTTCTACAACTTCCCCTCATGCAACCCCAACTCAATGGGACTTGAGCTAAGTCATTCTCTCAGTTCTGGTGTCCCATGAGCTAGCATAATTCACATTCCTTTAGGTTTCTTCTAGTCCAAAGAGCTGAGGGACCCGCTTTCCTGCCTCCAACTTCCTAACTACATTTTACTGTGTTCCACACAGCTGAGAGAGGCTACACACCTCCTCATGGAAACCCCAGTGTAGCACATTCTATCAGAGCCCAGACCATATGTCATGCTGAGCATACCAGCCCAATTTCCAATGGAGAACACCTGTGAGTCTTTGCCTGTGGGCTCTTCCTGGCCCCAGTAGCATGCTCATGGAGCAGGCCACAAGTGCTGAGGAATTATCATTCCCAGAAAGGCTGTGTTTTGTGTTCTCTTACATGGTGGTCAGTCAGATGTAGCCACAAGAGGGGACACAGGAGACATGCGGGAAAAAGAAGTTTTTTTTATACTCACAGGTCCTAGAGAAACTGCATGCCAAGAGGAGGGGTCATATGAGAGGGAGCACCAGGGGAGCCGATTCAACCAACCAGGCGGGGACCAGACAGAGAGGTTAGAGCCTGTGGGCAAATGCCTTTATCGGGGGTCAGGGTGGAACACACAAGAAAAGTGCGAGGGAATTTCATTGGTCTCTTTAAATGTTACTAAGTCACAGTCAGGGGAGGGTGGGAAAGAGTACTTGTGGCAGGAGCTAACTTTATCACACTGGTGCACCTGGTTGCCTGGGCAGGGTGCTCACAACCTGTATGTGGGGATGTTGAGGCAGCAGGAAAATTTGAATTTTGAAAACTTACAATACAAGGAGACACTCCATCAATGATTGACAGAAACTGGTGGATAAATACCCCAGCTCCCTCTCTCCTCAGACAGTATAACTCTGAGGCATGTGGTCTACCTTGTTTCCCAGAGGTTCCCAGCAGGAGTAAGCTCCAGTTGCCTATAATGGTGCCTTAGTAACAGCGAATGCTTTACTGGTTTATTCTCCCTTCCTGCCTGCCTTCCCCACTCACCTACCTGGGATTCCTGTGAGCACCTCCCAAATCAGCTACCTGTTTGTGAATCCTTGTCTTAGGTCTGCATTTTGGAGACTCCAAACTAAGCCAACCAGTGATAACTGTAGGCGAGTCTTCACCAAATGTTCACTCAATACCTGCTATATAAGTAATACTGTACAGCTCTAGGAATTGCAAGTTCAAGACCTTGCCCTTCAATTTCAGAAATTAATCTTATTTCTGTAATTTTTTCAAGCTATGTTCTAGTAACTTCTAAGAGCATTCAAAAGCATCAGGAGCATTCCACACACTATTGTGGCCATCTTAGCAACAGCAAATTTGGAAAATGTACAGGGGTTGATTAGGGGCCTGATAATCTTAAAATTAATTAACAGTAGGAGAATCTGATTATTCTAAATGATAATTACTTGTTATTTCCACCACAGGATATGAAGTGCTTGTGATCAACACCTACAGGTTGCTCAGAATTAATTCAGCAGGCTTTCAAGTGGTACACATTGTATATTTTTTGAAAGCAAAGATAAATCTGTGTTAAAACTATAGTCATGACTGGTTTACATTACCCCATATAACACAAGTAACTCTAGCCAGTGGAATAAGCCAGTATTTTGTTGATTCTCATTAAGTAGCCTTCAGACTTGGAGAGCCTATGTAGTTGTTATCCAAAAGTAATTTCCAAAACATTTGTCAGTTTTATGAAATAGTCACAAACCCAGAACAAAAAAAGTACTTGTTATGAATTCTTAGTTAGAAGTTTACCCCGAGTCTGTTGACTTCAAATTGTGTATAAAATAATATTTACTTAACAACCTTGGCTATTTAGTTTCCTTTCTGGTCTTCCTAAATTACCATGTTTCTCATTATTGCATCGTAAATAAATACAGGAATGAAGTTACATAAAATGGGCATGCTACATATAGCTAGAGAGAGGAGATAGTACATAAGGTTATTTGCCCCTAAAGTAAATAGCCCCACGTTTACTGGCCTCAGCAGGGCTAGTAAATATGGGGCTATTTACTTCAGGGGCAAGTAACCTTACGTATTTTCGTGATCCCTGGGAACACCATGGCACTCTAAGGTTATATCAAATGATATGCATCCGAAAACTCTATATTTGTTATTGAAGCAAGGAATTAGATGGAACACTTTAGAAAAATATGGCAAAATATAACATTTAAAAATTGAGATGCATAGAGGAATAAACCTCAGTATCTGGCACACTGAACACACGTGAAACATTTCATTCCCAAACAATGCTGGAGAAGTGAGGTGTGACTGCATTAAAACATCTCATCTCATGAGTAGTGTCTGTTCTGGGTAGCTTTATTACAGCCGCTTCACTTGTGCTCAACTCATTGTGCCAATGTAAATACCGCCTGCCTAAAATCATTACGGGAGAATAATGTTTTCCCTTCAGCTAAAAAATGAAATATCAAAAGCAAATGCGCTCACCGCTGTATGATTTGCTCGTTAATCATTACTAAAGTTGGCCTATAATTACAAAGATACTGATGAGAACACCCTGTCACATCACTTCAGCTCTGCAGCAGGACTTTTAAAAGTCACGTTGAGCATGTTTAAAGCTATTCTTTCGGTTTCTTGCTGTTGTCTGTTTGTTTGTTTGTTTTTTAAAGACGGCAGCCATTCTCTTAAAACATCTTGCATAAATGGATGAATTCAAGCTCTGGGAGACAAATCATCCATTTATCCAGTCTTCTAAGACACTACTCACAGCAAAGGATGGGATCGGTGTGGAGGGGAACTTTAGAAATAACAGGATTCTCCTGGTATTAAAGCAAAAACTCCATCCAGGATACACACACACACACACACACACGCACGCACACACACGCACCCCACACACACCTTGTATCATACTTTTTTCAACAGCTTTTTTATTACAGTAAAATACACATAACATAAAATGTACCATTTTAAACATTTAAAAGTGTACAATTTCGTGGCATTAAGTACATTCAAAATGTTTTACAACCATTGCCGCTACCTAGTTCCACAACTTTTTCATCACCCTGAAAGGAAACCCCGTATTCATTAAGCATCACTCCTCATTCCCTCATTCTCCTCCACCCCCAGCCCGTGGCAACTACTAATCTACTTTTTGTCCCTATAGATTAGCCTATTCTGGACATTGCCTGTAAGTGGAATCATGCAATATGTGGCCTTTTGTGCCTGGTGTCCTTCACTTAGCAAAATATTTTCCAGGTTCATCCATGTTGTAGCATGTGTCAGAACTTCATTCCTTTTTATGGTTGAATAATATTTTATTGTACAGATGGACCACATTTGATTTATCTATTTCATCATATTGCTTTTTAAATTTAATTGATCTTAAGTATACTTGTATTTGACAAGGATGAGAGTCCTTTTTTAAATTCATTTTACTTGAAAACCAAAGTATAGGTCACCCTAGTTGGCTTTTGTATCTCTAGATTAGTACAATAAATAGAGGGTTAAGCCTCTGTGTTGTTTCTAGAGTCAATTACTAGAATTCTTTACGCAACAGCCTCTATGTCTTAAGACTACATAGCATGGAAAACGTTAGTTTGAACCATAGGCAATTGCCAATATTTGACCATTTTCATTTATAAAATAACAATTATATGATTCAAACTATTTACCTCTGTATTAGGTTTCATAGAGAATGTAATTCTTTTTAAAAATAAACAAACAATGCCTGCAACATAGTAGATATGTACTAGGTGTGAGTTCCCTTCCCCTTAGGCTTCTTTAAAATTATGCAACAATGGTGATTCTCAGATAAAGTGACTTTACCAAGATCATGCAGCAAGGGATGCCCCAGTATCACAGCACCCTTCTAGGCAGGTTCTCCCATTGTACTTCCAATTTCTGAGGAAGAATTGTGCCACATTGCCCCTCTTTCTGATAAAAGAAAGGAGAGAATCATAAAGCACAAAGAGCCCATAAGATGAGGAAGAATATGAAGTCAACTTTCAATTGTAATGAAAGGTCTCGTCTCTACCCTGCCCAGTAAGATCACAGGATCACAAGTTACCAAGAAGAGGCTAAAACTCAGGTTGCAGGTGCATAAGGCATGAGTGCTTGAGAGAGAAAGAGAGAGAGAGGGAGAGACAGAGTACTTGTCTGCTCACATGCCCATATGCCCTTAATGTGAATAACAATAGGATTATGAATCATTTTAGGACTATCAATGGCTCTTCTCCACCTCATTAAAATAGATGATTAATGATCAATTCATCATAAACCCAACATTAGATCTGACTACCACCTCACCTTGAACACTGTGCTCAAAGCTCTCTATTAAAAGCAGAGTTTGTGTGCTTTTGCAGCCATTGTTTTAAAACATCCCTGGAAATGTGCTCAGTTAAAACATGGAACATAGTGGTGGTAGTTCTGATCTGGCCACTAAATCAAACTTACTAACTTATAGACATGACAGTGTTTTGACTGCATCTATAATTTGCATTTTGTCCTTGAATCGGACATGCACCAAGCATTTTATTTTTAAGCAAAATTATTGCATACCTAAGATGGAAAACAACTGTTACAAGGTTTGCATTATGTTACCAGTAATCAGATAAAATGTTTTCTTTTCTTCTAGTCTCCCAAATCAGCATTTATTAGTGCTGCAAAAAAGGCAAGATTAAAGTCCAATCCTGTCAAAGTACGCTTCTCTGAGGAGGTCATCATCAACGGCCAAGTGTCGGTGAGTTTACAGTCACCTGCTTTGTGACTCAGGGAGAGTCAATGAGGCAGAAGCTTTGCACTCAAAACAAAGTCAGTAGTCCCACTGGAATGACTGATCTGAAATTGGTTGTTGGTTTTTACAGAGGTGTCAAATCTCAAGGTTGTAAAGGGCTTGAGAGTTCATCAGGTTGGGCCTGAATCTCCTCTAGCACGGTCAGAATATGTGGTAGTCCAGGATTTCCTAGAATGCTTTCAGTGTCAGAGACATCACTACTTTGCAAAGGAGTTCATATGATTTGGGATCACTGACACTGCCTCATTCATACTCAGTAAAATATGCGTCTTTGAAACTTCCACCTTTTTCTTCCCATTCTGCTAAATAAGCATTCTTCCATATGATAGTGCTTTATGTATTTTTGAGAAAGGTATTGTGTTTCTCCTTTTTACTTCCCCAGAAAAGCCTAATCTTTCAACTAATCAGGCAAAGAACTTAAAACGATGGAAAAATTTTATGTAGGCAACCAGAACTGAAGAAATACTGCCCACATCTCCATAAATAGGTCCTGATAGAAATCATGATTACTCAGGCAATTAACTGAACTTCAGAATGAATAATGCAACTATCAACAGGATGTTTTGACTTTTTCTCCCAAAAATATACTGAAGTGTTTTCAGTTTTTAGAAAACTATCATCCAAGGCACTAATATTTTTTGGACCTTTGAAATGCCAGAGCGTTGGTGTTCTGTTGGTATTGTTTAAATAAATCCACGAGGATAAAATCTCACCTATGATATATTCATTATTGATCACAAACTCTTCTCTGAGGTTGGTTCTGGATCTGAATCTGAATCTGAAGATGTAGGCCTATACATCCTGGGCAAGGCACTCATGCTCCAACTGTCTTTGAATCAAAACTTACTGATCTAGGGCTGCTCCACTTGGGGTCCAGCTATTGTGATGCTTGTGGGGAAGGCTAGAGGCTGTGGCTGTGCTGCCCTGTGAGCATGGTCTGTTCTGTGCCTCTCAATGTGTCCCATCACTCTGGATGCACGGTCACTGTACATTATTAATTTACAACAAGACTGTCCCAGCTGAAGGGTGGAAGGTACAGAGGAATCAATATGTAGCAGAAAGTCATCTGAAACTTACCTTTTCTGCCCAGAGCTTTCGAGCGTGTAATTGGGCAACCAGGTAGTTTATGCATCTTTAGAAAGAATATGATTCTAGAAGCTGCTACAGCAGTGTCAGTTCATCCCTGGATATAGCAGGACTCCTGCAAGGCAGCTGATGTGTAAGGACACCTCTGAGGATAATCATCTCCTGAAGCCTCCACAGCCCTGCCACAGGCTTGTGGATGGCAGGGATGTTCGGTCACGTGGATGCTCCTCAGACTTCATGACTGTCTTCATTTCCAGTTTACCCTTGCTCTTCTGAGTCACTGAGTGCAATTTCTTCTGGACTGGGATCCAGATTTATTCAGTGACTTGAGAGCAAGACTGTGCGGGAAGTCCACAGGAGCAGAAAAGAGGGGGAGGAAATTCAGGAAAAGAAATAGGAAGTGAAAGGCAGGAGGCCTATTATGGAAATACTTAGGGACTGAATTCTCTCTGACACTGGCAAATTCCTGAATATCTTGCCTTCAGTTCCTTCATGTGCAAAACAAGGGATGTGTGCACTCATGACTGCTGAGTTCTCCTCAACTCCTAGGACTTTATGACCAACTACATGTGAATAACTCAGCTCACTCCTGGGACTTATAGAACTCATTCAGTGTGCCCCCTTCCTCCCTCTTTCTTCTCTCTCATCTCTCACTACTTCCAATGAAAGAAAAAATGCAAAGAAATAACATTTCTATTGTTTGCTTTTTGTCATGTTTCAAGCTGGCATCTTTTTCTGAGTTATTTCTAGATTATGATCTTGTTCATTATAGACAATGTTTTACTCTCTTAACACACTAAGCCATTCCTTATCTTTTCCCTTGGAGTTTTGTTTTTTGTTTTTGTTTTTGTTTTTGTTTTTGTTTTGCAGTTGCAACATTTAATAGAGTTCCCTTGGAGTTTAAGACTCATTCCTAACTGGGTGAAAATACTTTCACAAAATAACTTTATACTTGAAGCTTATTTATGCTGGTGACTCACCATCATGACACTGCTAGGCAACAACAGTACCTCATCAAACAGCATCATTGCTGGTCTTTTTTCTGCTCAAGACGTCCTGCCCTGCTTAGGTCTGGGCTTGTAGTTCCAAATGTCAAAGCCTAATCACAAAAGAATCACGTCTGCAATCATGTTTGCCAGTGGGGAATCTTGAGTTAAAAAAACCTCATCTGATTGATTTTCTGATGAGCAAATGTATTTTTCTATGAGCAACTTAACTCACATATCACCAAAGGAATGCCTTGTTGGCCTTAGAGAGTTTGATTGTTTTTTAATGCCATGCTTAGAATAAAGTATAGATGTGCTGCTACTGCAAAGAGAAGAGTTATAATTTGATCAATTTATGCCCTGCCCTTTTTTTTGTTAAACAGGAAACTGTTAAGGACAACTCACTTCTTTTTATGCCAAATGTTTTGAAAGTCTATCTGGAAAATGGGCAGACCAAATCATTTCGTTTTGACTGCAGCACTTCCATTAAGGTAAGATGACCTGGTAAACTCTGTCCCTGGACGCTTTCAGGTACAACATGCAGGACACTGTGAGCCATTGTAGCAGCATCTTCTTTCAGAACTATCCCTTTATTTCTGCAGTTTTGTTGATTGCCTCCATATAATGTAGTCTGTGAATACTTCAAACCAAACCAAAGCCAAAAGCTTAAACCAAGAAGGCTCTGCTCTTTTATTTCTCTTGGTGTTGCAAAACAATATAATATGCTGTCAGTGAAGAAACACTAGAGCTAGTCATTTTGATGCAACTACAGATTAATTAAAATAGTGTGACTATCACCAAGAAGGCTTGGCACCCTGCCCAAGGCCAGCATGATTTCTCAGCAATATCAGCTGCTCAGAAGATTAAGCTGTTAGCTGTTAATTGAATATTTGCTACTTTGGTGTCCAGCAAAAAACAAGGGGTAGAGTAATGTAAAAGTAACATTTACTTTTAATTTCTGTAACCAATTTCATGGTAATGATGCATAAAGAGGCAGAAATGAGGCCTGCTTCTTAGAAGAAGGGCTGGAAAGGAAGACTCACAAAGCAATCCTATTCTTTCAGAGCCACAGGTGAGTTTTAGATAATAGGTATTATAGCAAAGCATATGGTTTTTTTCCCCACATGCTTTCTTCCTGGAAAAGAAAAGTACAGAGTCTCTTCCTTTTATTGGACAAAAGTGTATTCAGAAATTGATTGCTCCCTAATGCTTCATCAGCCTAAAATAGGCTTTCTTCCCATGGCACAGTAAAAAAGATTTTATGAAGGTAAAAGAGTACCTAGTGATTATCTGTATAATAATCTATCAAGAGAATATCAACCCTCTGTTAAAAAATGTCTATCAATATCCGACCTCTAATTCTTGTTGGTTTTTTTAATTAATCAGCATAGACCTCACACATAGAAGCATTTCTGCAAAGACCCATTCACTGTGTATTCTTATTGTCACGATACCAGCAAGCAGCTCGTTTTGAATTGCTATAAGTATGTAGTGGCTTAATACGTCATGCAGTGGAAAATATTAGATTGATGTTGGAGCATTAAATCATCCTCAAATCATTCCAGATGAAATATTAACTTCCTTCATACAAGACTTCTAATTTTAAATGGTGATGACTGGACAGGTCTTCTTCCCTTTTTCCTCATTCATTATCAATTTGTGGTGAGATGTTAATATAATTATTGATCAACTAACCCAAGAGTAGGCAAACTTTTTCTGGAAAGGGCTAGATAGTAAACATTTTAGGCTTTGTGGGCCATTTGATCTCTGTTTCAACTACTGAACTCTGTCATTGTATCAGGAAAGCAGCCATGAACAGGTGGGTTTGGTTAGTCCTTAAGACAATGCTCAGTCTTGATAATTCACTCAAAGGACCCACAGAACTCAGCAATTTGTTATACTCACAATTACAGCATATTATAGCAAAAGAATACAGAATAGAATTAGCAATGGGAAAGGCTCATAGTCAGGGCACAGGAGAGATTGAGTGGAAAGCCTCCAGATGTCCTCTTCCAGTGGATTCATACAGGTAATGCTTAATTCTCCCAGAAATGATGCATGACAATATGCATCAAGTACTGCCAACCAGGGACGTTCACCCAAGCCTTGGTGTCCAGAGTTTTTATTGGGGGTTTTCCACGTAGACACAGCTAACCACCTGCATGGTTGAACTTAGTATCCAGTCTCTCCAGAGTTAGAGCTGATACCATATGGCCCAATGTTCTCACTATAAATCAATTGTTAGCGCAGACTATCTGGTATGGCCCAAGGCCACCCAGTAAACAAAAATACTCCTATCAGACAGGACAGTCCAAGGGCTTACAGGTTACTTCCTAAGAGTGGGAGAAAAAGAGCAAATTTTTCTTTAGGCAAGGTTAATCTGTTACTTCACAGTCAATATGTGAACAAATGGGCATGGCCAGATATAACCCGCAGGTCATAGTTGGCAGACCTCTGAAATAACCTACAGAGCTACATTATTACAGCCCTTTCTGACACCATGGCCTTGTTTTGTGTTGCCAACTGGTCAACTCCCTGCCATTGGACTCCCTACCCCACCTGAAGACCGAGGTAAAGACTTGAATGCATTTCTTAACAGAAATAAATCTAAATTGAAGAAAGCCCTGTTGTCCATTCCCTCCAGCCTCTTTATTACGGAACATATGCAAGACTAAGTTTGATTTCCCTGAGGATTGCAGATGACAATGAGAAGACAGGAAGAAATGCAAAGAGTTCACATCAAATTCAAGTTATCTTATCTTATACCTAACAGCCTCATTATTACAATAGACACTGGCTGGTAGGTGTAAAGGAGAAATAGTATAGTTATGAAAGGAATATGACACTGTGTAACAAAAATTGCCAAAATTCTTGCTGCAGAATTACAATAGGGAAAAACTCTTGCTATTGATTTTCCAATGTCCTCCCTGGTGGTTCAGGAAAATGCTTTATAAAGTATTTGTTGCCACACAAAGGCTGGTTTTGTTTTCTCTTTCCTGGGCTTTAAGAGAAAATTATAAAGCAGGGAAATCTTTTTTTTTTTTTTTCTTGAAATTCAACATAGTCAAGGCATTTCTCTTGAATGATTTTTTTTCAGGAGTGGGTGGATGTGGGGATCTTTGATTTAATGGGGCCTGAAGAAATTGAAAAAGGACCACAGAGAAGGATTAAAACATCAGAAAAGTCAGTAAAAGAAAACTATAAGTTTTCACTCTAAGGTTTCCGGATCTTGACACTGTTGAGATATTGGGCCAAATCATTCTTTACTGTGGGGCTGTCTCTGCATTGCAAGATGTTGAGCAGCATTTCTGGCTTCTACACACTCCATGGCAGTAGTGTCCCCAACCCTATTGTGACAACCAAAAATGTCTCCAGAAATTTCCAAATGTTGCACTGGGGCAAAACTTCCCTATAGAATTTTTAGCATCTGAGTCTAAATTATCTTCGAGGGATCATTTACCAGTTTTCAAGTACATGAAAAAAGTATAGGTTGAAGAGATTAGTTTTACATTGTAGTAAATGTGTGTGTTTGTACATGGAACACCTTTCTGATCATAAATGCTTAATCCTATAAAAGATTGCTGACAAAGCTTGCTCATTCCACCTTCCCCAGAGATGTAAAATAAATATATGTATATTATTATGGTGCCCTCACTCTGTGCCAAACAATGTTATAATAAACGCTTTGTATGTGTGAACTCATTTAATCTTTATATCCGTTCTGAGATAAGCATTATTATTATCCCCAGTTTACACACAGGGAAACTAAGATACTTAGCGACTAAATAACTTCCCCAAAGCTGCACAGCTAATAAGTAGTAGAGCTGGGATTAGAAGCCTAACTGTTTTCTTAGCCCCTATTCCTTACAACCACTACACTGCTCTTTCAGAAGGGGAAGCCAGGGTCAGCAAGCAGATATTTCAGTCTTCACAGTCTCTGTTGCAGCTACTCAACTCTGCTGATGCAGCACACAAGAGCAGCCATAGATTTTAGATAAACAAATGGGTATGACCACGTCCCATTAAAACTTTATTTACAAAAGCTGATGGTGAGCTAGTTTTGGCATGCAGGCCATGTTTTCCAACCCTTGGGGCAGACCACTTTCAGAACTGGTTTAATTGCTACCCCATTTAGAAAAAAGGAGAATTGAACTGGCTACACTGCACAATCTATTGACAACCTTTCTATATCAAGAGCTTACATGATATTAAGCTTCTCCTCCAGCTATTTACCTTGTTAACTCTCTGTTGTGAACTCCATAAAGATTTTGAATGATCGAGGAGGCCAGGAAAAGGGCAAGAGAAGGAAGGCTTCATTTCTGCATCTTTTTGGATATTTGGAGCATTAAATTTCAGAATCAACCAAACGTATAAAATTTCAAGATTGGCAGCCTACATGTGTAACACTTTTCAGTCATGGTAGACTCCACAAGATGGCAGCTTCGATTTTGGTCTCATCATGTTCATGTTTCCTCTGTAAGGATGTCATCTTAACCCTTCAAGAGAAGCTCTCCATCAAAGGCATTGAACACTTCTCTCTCATGCTGGAGCAGAGGACAGAAGGGGCTGGAACGAAGCTGCTCTTGCTTCATGAACAGGAGACTCTAACTCAGGTCTGTGAAATCTCACCCTCAAGTGATGAGGCTGCAGGTTAGAGCAGAGGTTGCCCAGTCCAAGATTTCTCCCCCACTCTAATCCTGTAAATGTATTAATTGTATCCCTGGGTATCCTCTGTAAAGGAAGTGCTGGCATTCTTAATGCATTTTACACCTCAAGGTCATGTTTCCCTTTCTGCCCATCTTTTGCAGACTGTCAGTCTCACAACTAGATTTGTCATTCAAAGTCTCACCAGCTGCACATTGAGAATACAGCTCTGTAAAATTATATTTTATGGGATTACAGTGATCTGTTCACCTGTTTTGGTCAACAATCTCTTGAAACCATTAAAAAGAAATGGTTTCTGGGATTACTTAAATTAATCCAAAATCATATTTAGTTGTCTGAAATTCTGGGTGCATACTTAAGACTATTTTTGGAAGCCTGAAATCTCTGCCCCAGTCCTGCCCGCTATAAATATGTGATCTACCAATGTGTCCCAGTTCCTGATTACCAAGATGCCACCCCCATCTGTTCCCTGGGGAGACAAGCAGGCTGCTTAGCTGCTGAATTCAGCGCAGCACCCTGATTTTTCTTGTGACACAAGCAAAGTCTTTGTTGAACGTATAAAAGATTTCAACAAATTTCTCTTCCATAGGAGAGATCAATGATAACAGAACTTTATGGAAAGGGGTAGGAGGGGACACCAGGAGGAGAAGCATCAGATGCTGCCAGCTGGATGGAGTGGCAAAAAGTGTTGTCATACTAAAGTGCTTCTTCCTTGTTGTATATAAAAGCTGGTGTCCCACACATTGGGTCCTGCAAATATCCCCGATTCTCTTGATTCAGTCCAACTTTTTGTAATAGATTAGTTCAAAAGTTGCCATCTGTGATTTATATTCCTCTACCCAAACTTGGCTTATTATTTCCATCAAGTTTTTTGGGGTTTTTTTTGTTGTTGTTGTTTTGTTTTGTTTTGTTTTGTTTTTTTGAGACAGAGTCTCACTCTGCTGCCCAGAGTGGAGTGCAGTGGTGCAATCATAGCTTATTGCAGTCTTGAACTCCTGGGCTCAAACGATCCTTCCACCTTAGCCTCCCAAAGTGCTGGGATTACAGGAATGAGCCCCCATGCCTGGCCTCTATTGAGTCTAAATCTACCTATAGATATTTTAAATCACTTCTAATGGTTATTATTTTAACCTGTGCCAAACACTCTTGGAAATAAAGGACTTATTTTATGCTTCATTACAGGGGCACAACCCCTGATATACAGAATCTCTCATGTGAAAGGTCAGTGTCTGGATCTGAGTTCCTCCAGAGGCAGAACTTAAGGATTTGAATGCATGTAGTTTATCTGGGAAGAGATATCTGGAAATACCCACAGAGGAATGGGGAAGAGAGATGAGAAAAATTGAGAGGCCAATAAAGAATGTATTATCAAACCAGTTTCTACTGTGGGTAACTGGAGCTCAGTCCTACCGGAGAGCACTGGGAGACAGTGTAGGACGCACCTCAGAGGTATCCCACCGAGAGGCGAGGGAGCTGGGACATGTGCCTACTGACATGCTGTCTGTTATTGATAGTGGGCTACTCTCTTGTTATTGGGGTTTGCCTTGTGCTATCGAATGGTCACAGGTGTTTGCTGTAAATATCCTTCAGCTTATAGCAATAAATGCCAAGGGGAAATGGGCAGACATCCAGTTACTACGAGTCTAATGAAACCCCCCACAACGTTTTGATCTTTCTGGTTATACTTTCTCTCTAAACTTTTATCTACTACATAGCCATTATAGGAAAGCTTCATGCTGATTTAGTTGGACAAAAATTCTCTAAAAGTCTCTTCTGATGCTAGGTAAACACAACTTCCCGCTCCAGTTACATTTCTTTTAAAATGTTGGAAGGAAATAAACTTCTAATAATCATTCTTTCTTTAACTTTATTTTTCCTTATAGAATCAGAACTAGAAGTGAAGTGCTAAAAATCAAGTGAAGTGCTAAAAATCTCTAGAAAAGAAAACGGATTTAAATATCCTGAAACAAACCAGCTATATGCCTTTGAAATCAATGCATATGAAAAAATCGATTGCTAAAATATTTGTAGGCATGATAAAAGTGGAGAGTAAGAAATTATATTTTTTCCAATAATAAAATCATTTTAAAACATTTAATTTCTATGAAAACCTCCCAATGGAACTTTTAAGCAACTTTACCTGAATTTCTAGTGGTTTGATACTAAACTTCTGCTAGAAAACATTATTTATATACTACTTAAAGTTTCCAAGAAATTGTTTCTGTTTGTTTATTTTAGAAAGTGTTATGGACTGCCATTTCTAATGGCTTGAGGCAACCTTTTTGCATTACGTTAATTCATTTCCCAAAACCAGTGTAACCTTCTGATACTAAAAGTAAACTCAAGATAAGATGGCTTATGGAAAATTCAAGAAAGAAAAGTTGAACCAGTAATTAAAGGAGTCAGAGATATAGTGATTCCTGACTTTCTAACACACCAGGACAAACCTTCTGGCAAAATAGCTCATGAAGTCGCTGTGAAACACAACAGCAAGGCTGGCCAGCACTAGTGGCCTCTTAGTGTCCCCAATTTCTTTATTCCTGGTTTGCTTTACCCTCAGCCAGTGATAAGTAGCCCATAGCCCTCAAGTCTCAGGAATCCACTCGGCTCTGCAGGCCTGCCCACAGCCAGAAAGCTGGTGTGACTACTCAGGATGCCCACATATGTACAAGTAGGGTGTCTTTTTCCATTGGAATTCTTCTGTTCAACAAAGTTAGCGAACTGTAAATACATACACATGCATGCATACACACACCACGGGACTCAATAAAGCTATTTTATTTTAAATTTTTTAATTGCAGCTCACATTTTTGTATTGCCAGATCTGTCCCCTGCATAAGAGTATTACACACAACTGTGTTGGTTCATGCTGCATGGTTTTCATTTTGTTTTGTTGACTCCTTGAAGGGAAATCGATGAGCTCTTGCCTTCTTTCTTAGAGTCCAATGTCTTTCATTCATTCAAGTGTTTATTAAACACCTATTATTATTTATTAATTGATTTCCTTTTGTTGCAAAAGGAATTAAGAAACGAACTTCTAGTATGTGACACATATTATGCTGTATAAAATGAAAACAAACTGAAATGAGCCATGGTCCTTAACCCTGAAGAACCTGTGGTATATTTTAAGCTCCATTGAGCAAGTGGAACAATATCATCATGATATCAGAAGTTTGGAGTAGTTTGAATACTTGTAGAATCTGGTGTACTACATGGGCCAAAACTTCTGTCTTCCTACTTTCCAATGTGATGTCATCTAAGGTTGACACTATCATGTTTTCATTGCAATAGTCAGTCTGGAGTCTAATTTGGAAAAACAAAACAAAACACAGCAATGTTATGCAATAATAAACCATACTGGACAATCTCTCTGCTGTCTCTTTGGATCCCCTTTTTGTACTCCCCAACATAGATTTGGGGTGCTATCACTAACAGCCAGCATCTGCAGATCTTCTTCCAAGGACTGCCCTCAGACTACCGGAGCCCATCGTGTCCAAACCTGGAAACTCACATCCCCTGGGACAGCTCTAAATGAATGACTCATCAGTGCTCCTTTGGCTGAGGTCTCAGCAGCTCTGTGGTATAGCTACCACTCCATGGTCTCCTGCAGGATCAGGCTATAGCTACTCTCTGCTGGGGTTCCCTGAGGAGGCACCCTTGCTTGGCTTCCTCTTCTTTCCTGACCTGCTTCCCCCACTCCCTTACTAGCCTCCCCTGGGAGCACTTTCTTAATAAGTCCCTTGCACACAACCCCTCATCTCAGGGTCTGCTTCTGGGGAACCCAACCTAAGTGGCAAGGTTATGTGTAGTTTTCAGGGAATGAGTATCTATAAATACTAAAAGAATATCCGCTGATTCTTTCCTTAGTGTCCAAAAAAAGTCGACTGCTTCAGTGTCCCTCAGCCATTTCTCAGTCAGCACTGAAGGGTTCTTGTGTGATTGGTCTACTCTTCCAGGTGACACAGAGGCCCAGCTCCCATAAGATGAGATGTCTTTTCCGAATTAGCTTCGTCCCAAAAGATCCAATTGACCTTTTAAGGAGAGATCCAGTTGCTTTCGAGTATCTCTATGTTCAGGTATGTTAAAATTTTGGCATGTTTTATATCAATGTTGTGATATAAACTAACTCTGGGGCTTTGCCCTGAATTCTTTAACTTGAAATCTTTCTTTTTTGTCCCCCACCTCAAGCTCAGTGAATCGTACGATAATTCTATGATGCTCTTTTTATTTTTACGTTTGATTTTGAAATAACATCATACTTCCAAAAAAGTTGCAAGAGTAGTCATCTATACCCTTCACCCAGATTCACCAGTTGTTAACATTTTACCACATTTACTTGCTCTTTAGTATATACACGTTTTCTCTGCCCACACAAATACACATACAAATGTATATAATTTTTTTCTAAACCATATGAAGGTCAATTACCAAAATAATTCTGGTTTACTCCTAAATACTTCAGTGTGTGTTTTCTAATAACAAAGACATTTTCTTATACAATTATTATACAAGTAACAAAATCAGGAAAGTAAACATTGATACATTTCCATTATCTCATCTACAGTTTATATCCATATTATGCCTATTATCCTCAAAATGTCTTTTATATATACATTTTTTCTAGAACAAGATGCACTGCAGGATCCCATTTTGCACTTAGTTGTCATGTCTCTTTAATCTCCTTAAATCTGGAACATTCCTCAGCCCTTTTTTGCCTTTCACGACCTTGATAGTTTTGAGGAGTACTAGTCAGCTATTTTATAGAAATCTCTCAATTTGGGTTTCTCTGATGTTTTCTTATGATTAGATTGATGTCATACATTTTGGGAAGAACAACGCGAGTGACTTTGTGTCCTCAGTGTAACACATCAAGAGGCACATGATGTCAGTTTATCCCTTTAATGGCAAAATGAACTTCGACTCTTGGTTAAGGTGATGTTCTCCGAATTCACCCAAAAGCTACTACTATTCCTTTTGTAATTAAAAAGTAATTTGTGGAGAGTCACTTTGTAACTCTTTTTTTTTTATTTATTTATTTATTTTGAGACGGAATCTTGCTCTTGTCACCCAGGCTGGAGTGCAATGGCATGACCTTGGCTCACTGCAACCTCTGCCTCCCGGGTTCAAGTGATTCTCCTGCCTCAGCCTCCCAAGTAGTTGGGATTACAGGTGCCTGCCACCACGCCCAGCTAATTTTTGTATTTTTAGTAGAGACGGGGTTTTGCCATGTTGGCCAGGCTGGTCTCAAACTCCTGACTTCATGATCCACGCACCTTGGCCTCCCAAAGTGCTGGGATTACAGGCGTGAGCCACCGTGCCCGGCCTGTAACTCTTATTATCTTCTTCATCAAACTCTCACCCACTAGTTTTAGTACTGAATGATGATTTTTTTCTTTTTTTGAGACGGAGTTTCGCTCTTGTTGCCTTGGCTCACCGCAACCTCTGCCTCCTAGGTTCAAAAGATTCTACTGCCTCAGCCTCCCGAGTAGCTGGGATTACAGGCATGCACCACTACTCCAGGCTAATTTTGTATTTTTAGTAGATATGGGGTTTCTCCATGTTGGTCAGGTTGGTCTCGAACTCCCACCCTCAGGTGATCTGCCCACCTCAGTCTCCCAAAGTGCTGGAATTATAGGCGTGAGCCACCGCGCCCAGCCCTAATTGATTATTCTTATCTGAATCCATTATTATAATTGTGGTTGAAAATTATGATTTTTCTAATTTCATTATTGCTTCTGCATTTATTAATTGGTATGATGAGAGTTTTCCCTTCTCCTTTATTTACTTATTTGTTCATTCATTTGATGCTTAAATTATTCTGTAAAATTGTGATATTCATTTTACTGAATTGTTAATTTCAACGTGGTAAAACTTGAAGAGAACAGTCTTTTCCAGACTGATATCTGATTCTGAGCTATAATTCCCCAAAGATGAAAGTTTCCAGGAATGAGTATCTGGTGTAGTTTGTCCCAAAGGGAATTTATCCAAGTTGATATTTATGAGGTGTTCCTATATTTTACTATAACTGCTTCCTATTACTCTCACTTAAATTTCCAATATAATCACATTAAACAGTAAGAACCAACTGACCTAATCCTTAGACAGCTTAGACATCTAGCAGTAGAACTAACTACTCGAAGAGGTTGCAAATCTAAACATAACCTCCCCCTCCCCACTGCCAGAAAGAGAGAAAAAACAAAAATGAAGCAAAAAAAAAAAAAAAAAAAAGACACACTGTCTTTGAGAATATCTGTATAAGGCAAAGATTGCTGGAGCCATATATAAAAGATATAAAGCAAAAATGTAAGAAAAATATAATAAAAAGAAGCATTTGTTAACTCTAGGTAGTTAATAACACTGGTGTTTGCTTTACCATTTCCAATACTTTCCTGTATATTTCAAAACATTTGTAATCTTCAAAAGCTGGGTAGAAAAAAAAGTAGGCGGAAGATGGAAGAGAGACTAGACAAGGTAGGTATCAGAGGTTAAGAATGGTGACATAAATTAAAGTGGCAATAAGCCCTGAAGATCACAGGTTAAGTCAGACAGGAAAGACACAGAACATACAAGAATGTTCTAGCAGATGGGGGCACTCAGGGTGAGGCCAGTCAAATTTTCCCCACCTCAGTGGTCTTTGGAAGACTGTGGTATTTACAGCTCAGTGGGATGATTAATGTTCATGAAGATAACCCTACATCATTGGGAAAAGTCAAGTCCTGTTCAATGAACCCTGTTGACCAAGTAAAGAAATGTGTAGTGTGCTTTAAAATATTTTCCACCCCGAACAACGAAACTGCCACGTTTTGGGTTTTTTAAATGTTAAGCTTTGATCACCTGGACCCCTCACTTGTCAACAATATCTCCTTGTCCCCAGCAGGCGTGACTGCATGAAACAGAGCCTGATTCTCAGCTGATCTGTTACTGCATCTTCCCCATGTCCCTGCTGAAAACCAACCCAGGGCTTTGCTACTGCAGCTCAGATCATGTGCTACATTGTTAGTTGCAAATAAATAGTTATAGGCGCTGGTCAGTAGTCGCTGTAGACAGTGAGTGCATTCAGTGGTTTTTCTCTATAATTATATACTCACCCCATTCACAAGATGGTGCTTTAAAACTATTTTACTCTGCTTCCATTTAAACATCACGAGTCCATTGCATTTATAAAAGAACAATGTGGTTGCATTTGTCTTGGGGAGAGGAGACCTCTTAAGTAGACAAGGAGTACAGCTAAACCCAGTTCTGTTTAAGGTGTGTTTGCACAAATCTAATATAGCTTAGGGAGATCTTTCTTATTCAACAGACACATGTTTTATACATGTGAGACTGTCCTCAGAACACGAAAATGTGTCTGGAAATCTTGCCCAGGGACTAACAGAAAAAGACTGAGGATGTTTCTGCTTTCTTGCCTTGGGTATAAAATAGGCAGTGAATTAGCCACCTCTTCAAGGCATAGCCAGAGGGGGAAAAATAGAAAAACAGGTATGGTAGGCAATAAAGACCAAAATAAAGCAACTGTCATATATCCTCCGCTGAAACAGGAAATCAGAATGTCTTTGCCTCAGACCCTCTTCTTTGAAATGCCTTGTATCACAGAATGCGTGCTACCATAAGTCTAAAATAACATCTAATATAAGTCAACAGATCTGCAAATGGTGTCTGGGTGCCCATGTTGATTTCAAGATACTAAAAAGATGCAATAAAACAAGCCTAGAGAACAAAAGAGTAAGCAGGAGCAACATGTATCACTTTACAAAGATAAAATCAATTTAACTTAGTGGGCTCCTAATGAGGACAGTAGCCATTGACTAGATGAATCATGAAAACAGAAGTTGCAATAGTAATATCTATTAATCTCCTAGTTCTTAATGGTCCATGACATATTTTACAGATTTTAGCATATATATTAACAATAAATGCTAATAGTCCAGATTGTTCAAATTTATCATTACAACGGGCTATACTGACATTTACCTGTCCACTATCTGTTAAGAAAAAGACTGTTATGTCAATTAGCAAATGAGTAAGACCTAAGAGGCTCCAAAATGTTTTCAAATACTATAGTACTATTGGTTTCCTTTTTAAGATCTAACATGTTAGTTATAAATGAACATTCTGGAAGCCTCAAGTGGAGCCTTTTGGGACCTCTATTTAGCAAAACAGATACTACCCATTTGCTTGTATAACTGTATTTTAAGTAATACAGTTGAGAGCAATAAAAGCATGATTAGTACCAAATATATATATATTTGGAATATATATATATGTTCCAAATTTCATTCTCCAGGATCAGTCTGAACTAATTATATCATGTAATTAATCACCTTGTCAAAAAATTCATCCAGAAGCCTAGTTAAATACAGGGTAAAGCAGTGATGGGAAATATGGTCCCAGCTATGACTCTTAGGAGAAGTAATAGTGATGGCTAATCTTTATCAAGTATCTTCCATTTCATGAAACATATTTACAGGTATCATGGCAACCTTGCGAGTTCATTGCTAACTCTCAAGTTAGTTGTTTTTGAGACTTAACCCATTTTTCCGATAAGGAAACTGAGGCTGAAGAGAGATGAAATGCCATGTTCGAGGTCATTTTATTAGAAGTTGACAGAACTTAGAATCAAACCTGGGGCTTTTGTCTCTAAATTCTATGCCCAAATCCTCTTTCAATCCATTATGGCATAGCAGTTGCTGAAGAAAATGATTTATCAAAATGATTTCTCAAAAAATTGATTCCTCACTGTGCCAATGGTTTTCTCACCCCATCCTTTATGGGACTGTATAAAATGACCCTATCTAGGCTCTCAACCCCTTGGAGCTCATGTGGACAACCCTGAGCACTTGGAAATAACTGGTAAACCCAAGACTAGCAAAACAAAATGGCAGCCTGTAATTGCTCTCGGAGGCTGCCTTAAATCAGACCACCCTATCTCCTGTCTCTGGACAGACCCACTTCTGACAAGGGGTGCTGTGCAATCCAAATAGGTTTAAGATTTTAAGGAGAAGCAAAGGTGGAAGATCACATTAGGGATGAACAGGTGAGAGAATGTGACTTCACTCTTAGCAGTGAAGTGATGGGCTGAGAGACATGCACCCATGGCACGTGGATACAGAGCGTGCACGCACGGCACAGCACCGGTGCAGCATGGGTGAGTGTGCACAGTGTAAATATTGTATGCAGAAGCCATCCAGGGGTATATGTTCCTATTTTAGTAAAATCAATATAGGAAGCGGTTATAAATGTGCTTCTGTTGGAAAGGAGGCAAGCAAATCTTGATATAGTTTTTCATTTGAGGCCAAGGGCCCACAGAAGTTTCACTAAAAAATCAAGTCAAAAAAGACAAATGAATTAGAGAAAAGGCATACAAATATATTTAACGTATATCCATGGGAGCCTTCAGAATGAAATCCCAAAGATACAAGGGAAATTGTCCATTTTTATGCTAATGTTCAACAAAGTATGGATAGCCATGTAGAAATAGGATTGGACTAAAAGGGCCTGACCTAATGCTAACGGACTGAATGAAGAAACCTAGCAAGGCCTAGATTCTTCTTGGCCTCTCTGAGCAGCGTTCCTTCCTTCTGGGTGTGGGGCAGGACCCTTTCTGGAATGGGAGTCTTATGACCTACAATCAAACCATGTTGGTCAGATAATTTCTTTATGGCCAGTCTTTACACAGGGCAGAGGGAAAATTAGAGTCATATTTTTAGGTTTTAAGGCTGGCTTTGGGGAAAGGGGGTTCTAGTTTCTATGACCCACCTTGGGGAAGAGGGATTCTAGTTTCTATGGCTAGCCTCCAGGGATAACAGAAATTAAAAAACAGGAGGGCAGGAGAAGGTCAAAGAAATACTTTTGTTTCTGAGGCCTTCATTTTGGGATATTGTTTTTTGAGCTCCAACAAAATATTCTTGGGGCAAGCCAAAGAATAAAGAAAAGGAGGAAATAAGAAAGAAGCTAAATACCATATTTTCTAGCCCAGGAATCCAGTTTCCCATAACAAAAGTAAGTGAACGCACGTGTAGAATATGCCTAAGCAATGCAGCGCTTCCCAGCAGCACTTAGCTCACTGCCTTGTGTCTAAGCAGTAAGTGAGGATACTACTCCAAAGCCAACCTCTGTTCCCATGCAGCACTTTACACTTGATGACACACTCTCAGCCACTCTTCAATTTGATCCCCACAACAAACCCTGTGAGATAGGTGACCTTATTCTACAGATGAACAAACTAAGGCTGAAAGAGGAGGAATGACTCCCAGAAAGTCAGGCACTTGAAAAAGCAGGGCAGTTGCCATTGAAGTGAACAGAGGAGTTCAATAGCTCCCCTTATCCAAGGTACCAATGTGCTGTGATAAAGCACTTGATGTGCACCTCATCTAATCCTCCAGCCACTCCAGTGAGATAGTATGAATCCCGTTTGCACAGATGAGTAAACTGAGGCTGCAAGAGTTAAAGTGAATGGTCTAAAATTACTTACACAGGTAGCCACTGGGAAAGGCAGAACGCCAGAACAGGTGGATATGAGTCCCAAGCCACTGTGCTCACTCACCGTGCTAATTCTGCCTCCCTGCAGCTGCTGTGGCTGATAAGGAGGAGGAGGAGAATGATGTTAGCAGTGACAGTAGTAAACATGTAAGAGGGCTTACACCCTGCCAAGTACGGTTCTAAGAGCTTTTGGGGTTTTGTTTTGGCTTCTTTTTTTTTTTTTTTTTTTTTTTTTGACAAGGTCTTGCTCTTTTGCCAAGGCTGGAATGCAGTGGTGTGATCAAGGCTCACTGCAGCCGCAAACTCTTGGACTCAAGCGATCCTCCTGCTTCAGCCTCCCTAGTAGCTGGGACTACAGGCACACACCACCATGCCCAGCTAATTTTTGTGTTTTTTGTAGAGACTGGATTTCGCCATGTTGCCCAGGCTGGTCTTGAACTCCAGGGCTCACGTAATCCACCCGCCTTGGCCTCCCAAAGTGCTGGGATTCTAAGAACTTTTCATGGTTCACTCATTTAATGGTCACCACAACCCAGTGAAGAGGGAGCAGTATTATCCCCAATTTACAGAAGAGAAAACTGAGGCACAGACAATTAAGAAGGTGCCCAAGTTTGTGCCCCTAATGAAGTGGAGAAACAAGTTTCAAGCCTAAGATTCCAATTCCGGCAGCCTAACTCCAGAAGCCACATTATGCTATCAATGCTGTGTGCATTCAACTGCGGCACCTGTGTTTGGAAATTTCATACCTAAATTCCTAATTGTTTTTACAAAAAGCTAAATATTTAAATAGCAGCTCGTCGATGAATGCTAAATGTTTTGTGTGGTCTCTGTGTTTGCGCTTGCAATTCAATACTGACTCGTTTCCAAGCAGCACGGTGGAGATGTTTCCACATTTAGCCTCCTTGCCTGGGAAGTGAAGGTTGAATCACTCGGGAAATGTATGTCACCTGTTCTGTAAGTCCACGCGCTGCGGCCTATTCTTTGACAAGCTGTGCCCCCTGCTGGTCTCTTCGCAGAGTTGTAACGATGTGGTTCAGGAGCGATTTGGGCCGGAGCTGAAATATGACATAGCCCTGCGGCTGGCCGCATTACAAATGTACATTGCAACCGTTACCACCAAGCAAACGCAGAAAATCTCCCTCAAATACATCGAGTAAGTGTTGACTCTCAGCGCCATTTCGGAGACAGACATGCCGCCTCCCTTAGCCCGGGTGTATTTTTGTTATTTGTCCAAAATTGATCTTGTTTGTGTCAAAGCATTCATTCGCCAGTGGCAAAATGTATGAATATCATGCTCATTTCTGGCAGAAGAGATCCATTTCTAATCCACCTTTAGAGCATTGTAGTTAAGATGAGGGACATATTTAAAACGAAGCATAAATTTTTGAATTCCTAAAGGGGCTTGATTCCAAGCCAAGCTTTGGTCTTAGCACTTTTCACACATTAATTTGTTTAATTCTCACAACACCCCTATGAGATTAGTAGGATTTTAGCTTCATTTTACAGACGAGCAAACCGAGTCATAGAATAACTTGCCCAAGTCAAATGGCTATTAACGCGGGGATATAGGATTCAAACCCAGGCAGTGGGACTCCCCGTTGTGCTATAGATTGTGTGATGGGTTGAGGCACCTGTGTTTGGAAACACATGTAATGCTAAAGCCTTGGACCTCCCCCCACACCCTGCTTACAATCTCACCTCCAAAAGATGTATAAACTAATTAAAATCCCACTTTCCAAAGAAACTTCTCATGGGCTGCCTAGAAAGCCTTTCTAAATTCCACAATGCCAGGTTCACCCACCAGGGGGCAAAATGGCTTTTCTCAATAAATTCATGAGCCTGTGTTGGGAAGGATTAAATCTCCAACTTGCTGACTTCAACACCACTGTTCTGACAACTCTCAGTCACCTGTTGACATGTAGGGACAAATCCTCATATGCAATTTGAGAACCTCAGGCCTTCAGTTCACTCCTTCCAGATGCTTTCTCTCTCTCCCCACACATAAGCGTGACTGTAGCCTGAGAAAGACTTGGCTCACAAAGAGATCTCGTGCTCAGCTGGACACATTCACACACTCTTCCACTCTCCTTTTTAAAGTTCTTGGGGACAGGTGAAACTGGCTGCCATTTGAAAAGGTGGCCTGCACAACCGGAGTTGATTTTCAGACAATTAAAATGCATTTCTTTTCCTACTTTGTGTACCCACATTTTACCAGGTTGAACATTGTATGGTCAAAAACGTCTCAGAGATATCTGGCTTGAGTAAGAATCCTGAAAAGTCTGTAATAATGTTCTCATTCATAAATTCCTTTGACCAACAAATATTCATTGAGCATTTTATATAGCACTCACATTAGGATAGTAGAAAATACTAATATGTATGAATTATATTCCTGGCCATTGAGGAACTTGTGGTCTGATTGTAAAAACAAGATATAAAGATAGGAAAAGTAATTATTTAAAATAATGATACAAGTAGGATTACAAGAAAGCCCATAAGTAGTGCCAAATGATGGATAAGACAATAAGTACAAGTTGAGAAGGAAGAAAACATAATGATCATGAAATATACCATCTTAACTAGTGAAGAATATGAATGGTCAAGTGGTGGGGGTAGGTTGTCTTCCTACCCTTCTTTGGAGAGGACCTAGAACAGGAGAAATAACTGGAATCCTCTTGAAGGTCTTCACATAATTTAGAAGACACTGGTTAGACACATAACCTAGGGTAGGATTTCTACTCCAGGATAGATTTCCTAGAATTCAAAATATGGGACCTTCTTAGAAGGGGGTGGTAGTCGTTTCTGGTGAAATTGGCTCTTTGTAAAAATGTATTAACTCAGTCCCATTTGTTGTTGTTTTGTTGTACATCCACGTCCATGAATGAGAACAGCATCTCCACATCAATACTGGGCACACTTAAGAGTCATGAATCACACCCAATTCCACACCACCAGCAAGAAATGTTGATGGAGGGAGTTAGACAGGAACTGGCTGGGACAAAAGAACTGTGTGTGCCTAGAGAAATAGCCATGGAGGAGGGGAGGGACAGGGAAGAATGGTTTGGGGACATGAAGGACTTGCATCCATTCTTCTAAGAGAGGAAGAATATGAGCAGACAGGGAGATTGGAGAATAGAAATCAACAAAGGGATGGAGAGAAATTGGTGTTGGAAATACAAACTCGGATACGTGAGTGACTTTGAAGAGATTCAGAAGTTGGTTGGACAAAATGTCTCTTCACTTTACATTGGCTCCAAATGCCTCCTTAGCATTGTCTCTAGAGAATGAGGAACAGATTTCTTTTTAAATGCAAACATGTGTATTAATGATCAAGTAGTGTGTGTCCTGAGTGTAAATTAAAAGTTACTTCCTTTGGGGACTTGTCTCCATTCTCTGCCTCACCAAGGGTTCATTTGTTCCAACAAACATCAGAGCACCATTTTGTCTTAGATAACTCATCATCACAGAAATGTGAAATTAAAGATATGCTCTTTATTGCAGAAAAGAATGGGGATTAGAGACTTTTCTTCCCTCTGCTGTGCTGCAAAGCATGAAAGAGAAGAACATAAAGAAAGCACTTTCACACCTTGTCAAAGCAAATCAAAACTTGGTACCACCGGGTAAAAAGGTATCACATTTCCATCTTAAAAGAAAATTATAAAGAGAGAGGCTTGAATGCATTTTTTAAATGTTTAAAATTAGCTCATGAATAAAATACTTAGTACCATATTTTCAGAAGCAGTAACACTGTGTAACTTTTTTCTAACTATTAACATGTTTCTAACACTAATGAAAAATAAGTATTCATATAGAAACCTATTTCTTTCTCACAAGTTATGGACTCCGTACTGTAGCAGGGAGGTATGTGTTCATGTGCCCATCCAGGAAAAGTTTGCGTAGCCTCTGAGACCTTGTGGATAGAAGATAGAATTGTGAAATCATTCTATGTTTCAATCATGCAATTGCTTACTGCTCAGACCAGCTTCAATGCACAACAGCCAGCAAGAGGCCCTGCAGGCCAGAGGCCACATTAATTAAACCAGGGATCCTCAACTGTGGCGTAATTGACATTTGGGAACAGATCATTCTTTGTTAGGGAGTTACGGGGAACATCCTGTGTATTCTGGGATGTTTAGCGGCACCCCTGGTCTCTACCCACAAGATGCCAGTAGCACCCTCCCGTGATCGTGACAAACAAAAATGTCTCCAGACATTGCCAAATGTGCTCCCGGGAACAAAATCACCCCTATTGACAAACAATGGATTCAATCCTACCTTTGGAGGGAAGATAAAATTATTGCTGTCATTCACCATCATTAGTGTTAAAATCTTTTTATGCTTTTGTTTTTGTTTTCATTAAGTAAGAGAAACACAAAGGAAATTTTAAAATATACTGTTGGTCAGAAAAGAGAGGTATAGTTTATAGGTAATAAAAAGCAAAGGATTCCAGGAACCAGAAAGAGAAGGAGCCTTAAAATACTGGATCTATAAAATTGGAAGCAGTCTTATAACTGAAGAACACTTTCCAATTGATATTAGCTGGAGAAATTTGTGTGACTCTAATACAAATCACTGTTTACGTGGAGAACCATTTTGTCTTAGTATCTGATTTTTTTAAGTCATTTTTACTGGGTAAGGTACATTTATTTCTATCCCCTCCTCACCCCACGACAATTTTTTTTTTTAAGTATAATCAGTTTCAACACACTATCAGCCACCTTTAACTCACTTCCCAATTTCATGGGAAGGATGTCTTTGATCACAGTGAGCATTCAGCTTACAGAGATGTAGCAAGATGATGTGGGTCAAGTTCTTTTTAACTTCAGTTCTGATTTGCTGGAAGCTAATTTCTATAATTGACTTGTGATTTTTTTTTCAAGCCTGGCCCACTCGTAATAATTTGGATAACTGCTATAAGATCAATCAACCTATCCATTTATCCATCACTGTCCTTTAAAGGTTGTTTTTCTAGCCAAGAGTGAATAGTTTGCTTTCAAAACAATTTGCAAATGCTTTGCATTTTTGAAAGAAGTAGGATGGATGAATGGTGCTAAGTAACAATTACATAAAGAGCAGTGCCTTTATGTATAGTTAACAAATAAGTTGGCAAGCCATCTGCAAGTGAAAATAGAATTTTATGGTCATTGCCACTTAATGGTGGTCTACACCTTGTTGGAAAATTTCAACCTTAATAAACATCCCTGGCACATTCAGTATGAAACATGGACCTTTTTTTTTTTTAAATCAAATACTCTTTTTAGTGATATGGGATCCTACATTTTTAAGTCTTTGTAAAGATAACTTTTATCTGGATAAAATTTCATTTATAAATCACTTGTGAAACTCAACAGATTTTCCAAGTTGAATTAATAAAACAGAGCCTTATTTAGCAAGTTCAAACATTTCCACAATGATTGGCTCTCAGAAAGTTCATTTCCCCCGAAAACTTGCAAGGACTGGAAGAAACTTGAGAGGGGAAGTGTAAAGGGCCTGTTTAGAAGGCTTTGCCTAGATTGCAGGTGCGTATTCAAAATGATTCCCACAAAGTCTGCATTCAGGTGAGTCTCTTGTGCAATGGGAATATAGGTAGACACCTCACCTTTGTCCCTAATTGCAAGTAGAAGGCCCACTCACCTCTTGAAATCTCCCAGTGAGCAGATGTTCAATGGAACATTTTATGGTCTTGTTCTCACTTGCTGAGTGCCCTGGCCCAGCATATCTATACCCATGAGTGCCCCATACATTGACCCCCTAATAAATAAGATTTGAATCTTGATTTTATGTTCCAGTCCTTCATCAGGAAACCAAATATGTAGCAATTTTATTCCTAATGAATAGTCTTTGTCACATCTCAACTTTTCAGCCGTAAAATCATCCTTCTATCTTACACTTGTTTTCTGCTAGTCTCCAGCTGAAATGGAGTCATACCCAATAGAGTTAACACCTGAGGTTTCTTTTCTCTCCTCAGCTCTCTGCACTACAAGCCAAGGTCCATTATCTCAAGTTCCTCAGTGACCTACGATTGTATGGGGGCCGTGTGTTCAAGGCAACATTAGTGGTAATTTCTTTTTTTTTTTTTTTTTTGCTTTCTCTTGGAAGCCACAGCAGCTCATTCCGCCTCTGATGACAAAAGCAAATCAGCTGTGAATCTTCTCCAGCCTTCATTTCTAACCAACTTCACAACAGTCTGAAAATATCAGAAGAAATGTTAAACTAGATAACACCACTGCAGAATGCCCTAGAAAAAGAAATGTGAAGAACCGAGAGAATCAAAGGATTCTAACAATGGCCTTCTTTTAAATCATTGAGCCAGAAGTTGCTTTCACAGTGAAAAAAGGAAAACCAAAAAGAAAAAAACAAACCTCATTTCTAAAAGGATCTTATGATTATGAACATACTGTGCTATAACATTTACTTTCTAATTACTCATGATTTATCAGAGCCTCAATTCAGTCATGTATCTGGTTCTTCTAATTGGATGATTTAGTACAGTATGACCCAGAAACACTTTCTAAAGAAAATATAATCTTATAAAAATAGGATCATAGGTTCAAGTTGGCATAGCATTTCAGAGGTTCAGTATTTTTATGTTGTCAACTTCTCTTTCTCAGCAGGCAGAAAAGCGCTCGGAAGTGACTCTCCTGGTTGGGCCCCGGTATGGCATAAGCCATGTCATCAACACCAAAACCAATCTGGTGGCTCTTTTAGCCGACTTTAGCCACGTCAACAGGATCGAAATGTTTTCCGAGGAGGAGAGCTTGGTGCGGGTAGAACTCCACGTGCTAGATGTGAAGGCAAGTTTCTCAGGTGTTGACACATGGCCTTGCTGTCAACAGCTAATTTCTGATAACACTGCAGATGTTTACAAGGCAGGCAAAAGTCAATGTGTGCAGAGCATCACAGATGCAATGTGGTGCAGAAAATAATCCACCAACTCAGGCCTGAGGGCTCCAGTCCTCACTAAATCGCTGTGTGATTGGGAACAGGTCGCTATAATTCTCTGCGCTCAATTTTTTTATTCATACGTGAGAAAGCAAGCTACATAATTTCTAGGTCCCTTCTGACTTTAGAATATGTGATTTCTAGGTATAGAGTAGGGGAAACTTTTCTGAACTAACTTTCTAGAATATATGACTCAAATCAAGAGGGAGATTTTTCCCAACTTTCTTTAGAATTCTCACTCCCTTTGCTTACGTTAGGTCCATATGTGTTTATTCTTTTGGAAAAGCTTGATGTTTTAGTTCATCTGTCTTCTCATATGGTAGCAATTGGTACTGACTGAACATCTGGCTCCTATGAATGTCATGGCCATTCCATTTAAAACAAAAATCTGGCCAGGTGCGGTGGCTGATGCCTGTAATCTCAGCACTTTGGGAGGCCGAGGCGGGCGGATCACGAGGTCAAGAGTTCAAGACCAGGCTGACCAACATGGTGAAACCCCATCTCTACTAAAAATACAAAAATTAGCCGGGCGTGGTGGCGTGCACCTGTAATCCCAGCTACTCAGGAGGCTGAGGCAGGAGAATTGCTTGAACCCAGAGGTGGAGGTTCCAGTGAGCCGAGATCGTGCCATTGAACTTCAGCCTGGGTAACAGAGCGAGACTCCATCTCAAAAAAAAAAAAAAAACACAAAAATCTGAGATGGTCCACAAAGGGCAAAACTCTACTCCCAAAAGAGAATAGGAAATAGTCCAGGTTCCTGGTCTCCACCTTCTTTTCCCAGTAGAGATGAGTTATTGGATTTTGGCAATGGCAGTATTTCTACTGTTTCTATGAAGAAAAGGCACGGGAACAAATGGAGATAGTGACTCCACAAAGGAGACAACACCAGCCTGGAGGGTGCTCTGAAAATAGCCAGGGAGGACCCAGCCCTACCTGCCTCCCCACTAGGGTGCTGGTGTGGGAGGAGTGGATTAACAGCCATTGAGAATGTGGCAAAGCGTTTCTACAAAGCACATCAGAATACACTAGAGAGCTCTGCAGTGGGAACAGATGATCACGAAAGAGAGAATGTGGAGCTCAGACATGCTGGCTGTGACCTGTAGGACTTCATGGGCTGGATCCAGAGGGTTTTCATGGCAAGCTGAAAGTGTGAGGATAGACTTGGAATGCTAATCCTACTCCATGAGCAAAGAGGCTGAGAGAAATAGCCCCATCACAGAGAAAGGTGGATGAAAGGGTGAACTGGATGCAGTTATTACAGATCCGATGACAGAGATAATCTGTCCTAAACAGAAATGAGTGTCGTGCCCGGCCGATGGCGTCCTGCCTATATAAAATAATGATGCGGTGCCTTGGAGGCTGAGGGGAGACCTCAACTGAAGTGGAAGGAAAGGCAGTTCAACAAGTAGTACAGGGGCTTTGGCAGGAAAGTTAAATTCTACGAGCTGGGGGCGCTGAATCCGCCCAGTGTCCTATACCTAGGAGTGAAAGCAAGAGGCCTGCTGTCTTGCTGTCTTTGTGCCTCTCTTCATATCTGCTTTTTCTTGCTTCCTTATTTCTCTCTCACTCACTTTTTCTCTTTCAACAAAAACACATCCTTCCTAACTCAATGAGAAAAATTGCTTCATCCAACACTTTTTTTTCCCTATAAGCTCCAAATCTATGTCCAATTGTATAATAACCTTATTGTTTCAAGAGAGTTTTAGTGAGGCCTTTTCTCAACTCCCATCTGTTTTACCCTCCTGTAAATTTACGATTTCATCTAGAAGCAACTTTTTACTGGATCTCTGGCACTTTTCATTCAGTCTTAGCAGTAATTTCCACTTGAATTTTACCTCTAACACTAATTTACACCGTGAACCCAAAACTTAATCTTCCTGTAATTTTCAGATTGTGAGTTCACTGCTGGTAACTGAGGTAACTGGTAACTTAACTAGTTAATGTTAATTTACCAGTTTAACATGTTTAATTGTCTTTAAATGTTAAAAATGTTAATTATTTGGGAAGAAGACAATCTCATTTTTTTTCATTTCAATATGACTGGGGGTCCAGGTGCGGTGGCTCACACCAGCAATCCCAGCACTTTGGGAGGCTGAGGTGGGCGGATCATTTGAGATCAGGAGTTGGAGAACAGCCTGGCCAACATGGTGAAGCCCCGTCTCTACTAAAAATACAAAAATTAGCCTGGCGCGGTGGTGCATGCCTGTGATCCCAACTATTCCGGAGGCTGAGGCATAAGAATCGCTTAAACCCAGGAGGTGGAGGTTGCAGTGAGCCAAGTTCACGCCACTGCACTCCAGTCTCGGCGACAGAGCGAGACCCTGTCTCAAATATAGATAGACAGATAGATAGATAGACAGACATATATATATATGACTTGGAAGAGATTCAAAATGTCCAGGCTTTTTAGAGGGTGTGTCCTGAATGTTTTTCAGTAAGGCACTTTGTGTTATCCTTGGCTTTTTCTCCTGCTTTGGGTTTCTCCCATGAAATGTTTGTTCAATAACTCCTTTTTCCATAAGCATAAATGCAGCTGTTGACACTCCAGGGATGTTATTAAGAATGGATGGCTTTAACCAAAGTGTTCTCTTTTGTGTAGCCTATCACGCTTCTGATGGAATCCTCAGATGCCATGAACCTGGCCTGCTTGACGGCTGGATACTACCGGCTGCTTGTTGATTCCAGGAGGTCGATATTTAACATGGCCAACAAGAAAAACACAGCGACCCAGGAAACAGGTATTCTCTTCCTGAACTCATCAAGCACTGACCTCCCTGCAAACACCCCACCTGACAACAATAATAAGGATGTTTTCTGAAAAGTTAAGGCCAGGCGCGGTGGCTCACGCCTGTAATCCTGGCACTTTGGGAGGCCAAGGCAGGCGGATCACGAGGTCAGGCTTTCGAGACCAGCCTGACCAACATGGTGAAACACCATCTCTACTAAAAATACAAAAATTAGCTGGGCATAGTGGCACGCACCTGTAATCTCAGCTATTCGGGAGGCTGAGGCAGGAGAATCACTTGAACCTGGGAGGCAGAGGTTGCAGTGAGCCGAGATCGCACCACTGCACTCCAATCTGGGTGACAGAGTGAGACTCTGTCTCAAAATAAATTAATTAATTAAAATTAAAATTAAAAAAAGTTAAAATTGTACCCACAAAAAAATCAAATGTCCAAATTCAATGCCAAAAGCCTTCAGATACCTGTGATGTGGGCTAATTGTTAAAAAGAAAAATGCTGATTTCTCACCACATTTGACACATCACTCAGAAGTGTCAGGGTGCTTGCTCCAACCTTGATTTTATTATCATGAAAGTCTCTATGGCTGGGTTTTCATGGCCTTACTCTTACAGAGGTCAGGGCCAGAGGACTAATGATGGAATGCCCGAACACGAGTTGTGAGCCCCTGCTTTAGGGCTGGTCTCTCCTGATGGTGTCCTAGGCCCGGGTGTCTGGGAGCCTCCTCCCTGTAGTCAGACTTATGCCCAGGATTCTGGGAACTTTACAAACAGGAAGACGTGGTTATTGCCTAGCACTCGGACTTGGGAACACTAGAAGAAAATTCTTCCACATTGGCAGCCATCTTGGATCCATAATAGGAGCACCAAGATGGCAAAGACATCAAATAATTCAGTTCACCTACTTGACAGAAAAAAAGATCCCCACAACGAGGACAGGGAAGGCTGCAAATGTTAAATTGATTATTCCTTTGACAGTAGGTGGTTTTCATTGGTTTTAGAACATTTTTTCTTCAGTTACTTAAGCATTTTACTCCATCTACAGTGGATGCTTAGTAAATGTCACTGATGGACAGATGCCACCATTCTAGGCACAGCCACTGAGCCATTAAAAAAAAGTATAATCAGAGTTTCCATAATTGGGGTTTCTTTTAAAAGAAAGGGGAATTCTTAAAAACAAATTTTACTGTTGCTTCTCTTTTTCTCTCCCTTCCCCCCAACCCTGCCCCCCGCCCCAAGTCCCCGGCATTTATCAGAGAAAATGAGGGGAGAAAAAAAGGGAAGGAAGTTCTGTCACTGTTAAATTGAGCATAAACATCAATCTTTATTCCATAAATATACTGCAATATGTAGACACACTTAAACACGCATACAGACTCACACACAGTTTATTATGATGGCCAGGTGAATGGAAGCAGCTCAGTCATAGAAAAAGGGAAGCTAGAAACAAGGAGCAATGGATAAAGCATGTTAGAAGGCAACACCTGGACTTTCAAGTCAAATAAATCTGAGATTTAATCCAGTCCCATCTTGAGGTATCTGATTTTTTTTAATTTCTCTGAGCTTGAGTTTCTTCATTTGTAAAATGGGATTTAAAAACTAGCTTGCAAGGGTTAGAAAAATAATCTAGGTACATCATCTAAAATGATGCTCAGCATTTCTATTAATAATTAGCAGTGAAAAAAAAAAAAACAGAGGCAGAAAGAACCCAGAATGAAAGAGATAGAAGCCAGATGCAGTGGTTCACGCCTATAATCCCAGTGCTTTGGGAGGCTGAGGCAGGAGGATCACTTGAGCACAGGAGTTTGAGATCAGACTGGGCAACACAGGGAGACATCGTCTCTACAAAAAATATAAAAATTAGCCAGGTGTGGTGGCACACGCCTATAGTCCTAGCTACACGGGAGGCTGAGGTGGGAGGAAACCTTGAGCCTAGGAGGTCAACGCGGCTGTGAGCTATGACTACGCCACTACACTCTGGCCTAGGTGACAGAGCAAAACCCTGTCTCAAAAATAAGTAAATAAATAAATTAGAACGTGATAGAAACACAGAAAGGAGAGAAAGACAGAACATGAGGCAAAGAAAGCTCCTGAGAGACACAAATGTTTAAAAATAAATATAGAAAAAGAAAGAACAAAAAAGGAGGTGATAGGCGTGCACTGGGTTTGGCAGTAAACATTTTTATGACCACATGTTTTCATTGAGCTAGGAGATTTAGAGCAATTTAATGCTGACCTTAGAAATTCCAAAGAAGGCTGGGCATGGTGGCTCATGCCTGTAGTCTCAGCACTTGGGGAGTCCGAGGCGGGTGGATCACTTGAATCCAGGAGCTTGAGACCAGCCTGAGCAACAAAGTGAGACACTGTATCCACGAAAAAAATTTAAAAACTAGCCAGGTGTGGTGGCATACACCTGTGGTCCCAGCTACTTTGGACATTGAGGTGGGAGGATCATGCAAGCCCGGGAGGTCAAGGCTTTAGTGAGCCAAGCACACTATTGCACTCCAGCCTCCAGGCTGGCTGACAAAGCAAGATCCTGTGTCTAAAAGAAAAAAAAAAAAGAAAAGTAAAGAAATTCCAAAGAGCAGTTCAGCAATTTGACACAATTGTTTCCCACTGGAAAACCAATTTTTGGCTTTTTATTTTCAAATTTTAAAGTTTATCTTGAAAATAAATCCTTTCCTCATAGACTGTAAAGATTGTAGAGGTGTATGAAGAAAACCAAAGCTACTATTCTAAACATGCTTACAGTAATAAGGGTCTCCACTCTGTCCAATTCATAGTGACCCACAACATAAGGTTTAATAGAACTTAGAGGCAAAAACATAGTTACAAAAAGTATTATTACTGTGGGGAAAGAATGGGACTTCAGCCTCACCATCATTTCTCCCGGTTTCAAATACCTATCCCCACTCTCAAAGATACAGGGCGGGAGGTAGGTGGAGAGAGAGAGAGAGAGAGAGAGACAGAGAGAGAGAAGCGAGGATAACAGAGAGAGAGCACACTCCAAAAAGAAACTGATAGACCTAGGTTGAGCAGCAGTCTGGGCTCAGCATACTCTAAGGGCTGAAAGTACTCTCTTCTCTTCAGAAACTCCCAAAAGATCTGAGAGCCAAGAAATACAGAGCGGAAGTCCCATCAGGCCAGTTCTTCCCCAGTCCATTCTCTCCTTCCACTCTGTAGGAGACTGGGCCACAGAATAGATCCCAGCCCCCAAACCACATTCTTCCTTGTCTCCAAAATTATTCCAGGAAGCCAAATCAGTAGACCCTTCTGGAAGGAAGCCAGATTGAACACATATTTTCTTCTCACCTCAAATTGATCCCAGATCTTAGTCAAGATATCTAATAAGAAACAGCCCCCATTTCTTCTTCTCTATCTTGAAAATTAGCCTTCAAGCACTTTCAAAATCCCTGGCCCCACATATGTATGCATCTCTGGGCTTTAGGAGGGTCTCAGTAAGTATCCATCAACTTGCTTTGAGCCTGCTGACCTATTCAGTTTTCTTGTTCATCTAAATCAGAGTTGGCAAAACTATGGTCAATGGGCCAAATCATGTTCTTGCAAATAAAGTTTTATTGGAACTCAACCACACACATTGTTTTACTTTCCTAAGGCTGCTGGAACAAATTCTTACAAACTTGGGAGCTTTAAACAACATAAGTTTATCCTCCCACAGTTTTGGAGGCCACAAGTTCAAAACCAGAATGTTGATAGGGCCATGCTCCCTTCAAAGGCTTTAGGGGAGGATTTCTCGTTACCGCCTCCTGCTTCTGGTGGCCGCCAGCATTCCTTGTGGCTGCTTAACTCCAGTGTCTGCCTCTGTCTTCACATGGCCTTCCCCTCTTCTCTATGTGGCCCAAATCTCTCTCTGCCATTGAATTTAGGGCCCATAAAGATAATTAAGATAATCTCATCTCAAGATCCTTAACGTTGCAAGACACTTTTTCTAAATAAGGTCACATTCACAGAGTGGACATATCTTTTGGGGGCCACCATTCAACTCATACACCCATCTGTTTATGTAGCATCTATGGCTACTTTCATATTAAAACAGCTAAGTTGAGTAGTTGCTCAATTGAATGGTTGGCCCACAAAACCAAAATATTTACTATCTGGGCCTCCCTTTACAGAAAATGTTTGCCAAGCCCTAAACCCGCGTTACAATGCAACTTTGCTGAACTAGTCTTCCTCCTGCAACAATCCACACTCACACACACACTTCCCCCCACACGCACACCCAGTCATAATCCAAATTGTTGTTAATAAAATAATGCTGAACCCCCACAAGGTTTATTTATTGTATGGTAAGATGCAAATATGGCCAGTGTATAATTCAATGTCTTCAAAATTATATCTCTTATTGTTCATGAAAATACATGAATTTATTAAAATGACCCTGAACACTGTTCAGCATTAAGTCCATTGCATGATTTGCGGGGAGCAAAAATCTCTTAGGTAAAACTGCACTTTTTTCCCATATGTCTTGCACATCTGATGTCAGTTATCCAAACTTGTGCTGGGGGCAGTTTGAGGGAACAGATGGGAGAATAGTATGGCCCTAAAATTTTCTGGAAATGTTGCCTCTGGAATCTACAAGGCAATATCAACAGAATGACCCAGTTCTCTGTCTTGTTAAATATCAGAGCAAATCTCCACATCAAAATTCCAGATTGAAAGATGCTTGAAGAGCAAACAAAATAATAGTATTTAAATTGGGGTTTTGTAATTTTAATCCATGAGGAACATGAAACAAATTTTCAGGAGTTCCTATGATACAAACAAAAATTGAAATTAATCTAAATATTAATTATGCTTAGAAATTACAGAGAAAAGTACGTTACCTGTGACCATGCCACCTTATGCATTTTATACACACACACACACATATACACATGGGCATGCATGCTGACATTTATACATGAATATTTTAACATCCACTAGGATATCAAAAGACTGAAGATAGAAGTTTTGTACTATCATTACAACATTTATCTTAATTTCCTAAAAACTATGGTAAAACTCTGACGATCCTTGACCGTCTCTGAATTCAATGAGGAAAACACTCAATATCTTCCTCCATGAAGTAGGGAATATTAAATCTCACCTTACAAGGAAAAGAACAATTAATGTTCTGGAATAACGGCCTATTGAAATCTCACCTTTAAGGGTAAAAGACATGTTGTATATTTACATTTGTAGATATGAATGAAGCCTTTTAATAATAGAACCAAGGGTCAGATGGAATTAAGCTATACTTCCCTACCCCCAGATGGTATTACATTTTATCAAATAGCAATTACAGTTTATGCAGTATCAATTTTGTTAAGGTCGGTTCTCCTAACCCAAGGAATTCTTACACCTGAAGCCTAAATCAATAAGTACTATATTTGGGTAGTTGAAAAACTGTATTTACATAAGTGATGCTACAAGCCATTAAGTTAAAAAACAGAGACGAGCCTCCCACCCCCGCCCCACCCAAAACCAGACAGTACAGTAATGTGTCTTTGCGTGATTCTTTCTCTTTAGGACCTGAAAACAAGGGGAAGCATAACCTCCTTGGCCCAGATTGGAACTGTATACCCCAAATGACCACCTTTATTGGCGAAGGGGAACAAGAAGCCCAGATAACATACATAGATTCAAAGCAGAAGACGGTGGAGATCACAGACAGCACCATGTGTCCAAAAGAGCACCGGCACTTGTACATAGACAATGCCTATAGTTCAGATGGACTTAACCAGCAGCTGAGCCAGCCCGGGGAGGCCCCCTGTGAGGCAGACTACAGAAGTCTAGCTCAGCGGTCCCTATTGACCCTCTCAGGACCAGAAACTCTGAAGAAAGCACAGGAATCTCCGAGAGGAGCTAAAGTGTCCTTTATTTTTGGAGACTTCGCCTTGGATGATGGTATTAGTCCCCCAACCCTTGGCTATGAAACGCTACTAGATGAGGGTCCTGAAATGCTGGAGAAGCAGAGAAATCTCTACATTGGCAGTGCCAATGACATGAAGGGCCTGGATCTCACTCCAGAGGCAGAGGGCATCCAGTTTGTGGAAAATTCTGTTTATGCAAACATAGGCGATGTGAAGAGCTTCCAGGCCGCGGAGGGGATCGAGGAACCCCTCTTGCATGACATCTGTTATGCAGAAAACACTGATGACGCGGAGGACGAGGACGAGGTGAGCTGCGAGGAGGACCTCGTGGTGGGGGAGATGAACCAGCCGGCCATCCTCAACCTGTCTGGGTCAAGCGATGACATCATTGACCTCACATCCCTGCCCCCTCCAGAAGGTGATGACAATGAGGATGACTTCCTGTTGCGTTCCTTGAACATGGCCATTGCCGCACCCCCACCTGGCTTTAGAGACAGTTCAGATGAAGAGGACTCTCAGAGCCAGGCAGCTTCCTTCCCCGAGGACAAGGAGAAAGGCAGCAGCCTGCAAAATGATGAGATCCCCGTGTCCCTCATTGACGCTGTGCCCACCAGCGCCGAAGGCAAGTGTGAGAAGGGACTGGATAATGCCGTCGTCTCCACGCTGGGAGCTCTAGAGGCTCTATCCGTGTCAGAAGAACAGCAGACCAGTGACAATTCAGGTTCTTTCACAATTGTTACATTCATTCACTGATAACCATATCATTCCATCCTTCCAAGCCATTTGCCCCTGGAGTCCTGTTACGTGGTGTTCTCCATTTCACACATGTCCCATTTCATAAATGTGCTGAAACTGCCATCATGGGTTTTTTTGTGTGTATGTGATTTCCTTTGTTATTTTTTTTTAAAAACATAAGGCACATCTCCCCCCACCCCCATTTCTGGAAAAACTGCAATAAACTCAGAGTCCTTACTGAAAAGGGAAAAACTTGGTATTTTGTTTTAGTAATAACGAGTCCCATTTTCTTACATGTCTCCAAGTGCCTCTGATGCATCCATTAATCAGTTCTTGTTTTTTACGGCATGCAGGTGTAGCCATCTTGCGGGCTTATAGTCCTGAGTCTTCGTCAGACTCGGGCAATGAAACTAACTCTTCTGAAATGACTGAGAGTTCTGAACTGGCCACAGCACAAAAACAGTCAGAAAACCTCTCCCGCATGTTCTTGGCCACTCACGAAGGCTACCACCCCCTTGCAGAAGAGCAGACCGAGTTCCCGGCCTCCAAGACCCCCGCTGGGGGCTTGCCTCCAAAGTCCTCGCACGCCCTGGCTGCTAGGCCAGCAACCGACCTCCCGCCCAAAGTTGTGCCTTCCAAGCAGTTACTTCACTCAGACCACATGGAGATGGAGCCTGAAACTATGGAGACTAAGTCGGTCACTGACTATTTTAGCAAACTGCACATGGGGTCGGTGGCATACTCCTGCACTAGCAAAAGGAAAAGCAAGCTGGCCGATGGTGAGGGGAAGGCACCCCCTAATGGGAACACAACAGGAAAAAAACAGCAGGGGACCAAAACGGCAGAGATGGAGGAGGAGGCCAGTGGTAAATTTGGTACTGTGTCTTCACGAGACAGTCAACACCTGAGCACTTTTAATCTGGAGAGAACTGCCTTTCGCAAGGACAGTCAAAGATGGTATGTGGCCACTGAAGGTGGGATGGCTGAAAAAAGTGGATTAGAAGCAGCAACAGGGAAAACCTTTCCAAGAGCTTCTGGTCTTGGGGCAAGGGAGGCCGAAGGGAAGGAAGAAGGAGCTCCTGATGGAGAAACCAGTGATGGCTCAGGACTTGGTCAAGGGGACCGCTTCTTAACTGACGTGACCTGTGCATCTTCAGCCAAAGACTTAGATAACCCAGAGGACGCTGACTCGTCCACCTGCGACCATCCTTCCAAGCTTCCTGAGGCTGATGAGAGTGTGGCCCGCCTTTGTGACTACCACTTGGCCAAGCGGATGTCATCACTGCAAAGCGAGGGCCATTTTTCTCTGCAGAGCTCCCAAGGCTCTTCAGTGGATGCAGGCTGTGGCACAGGCAGCAGTGGCAGTGCCTGTGCCACACCCGTGGAGTCGCCGCTCTGCCCCTCCCTGGGGAAGCACTTGATTCCTGACGCTTCTGGGAAAGGCGTGAATTACATTCCTTCAGAGGAGAGAGCCCCTGGGCTTCCCAACCACGGAGCCACCTTTAAGGAACTGCACCCACAGACAGAAGGGATGTGTCCACGGATGACAGTGCCTGCTCTGCACACAGCCATTAACACCGAACCCCTGTTTGGCACATTGAGAGATGGATGCCATCGGCTCCCCAAGATTAAGGAAACCACAGGTACAGCAATGATGGATTTAGCACTTTGTATGACATGCCAAGAGCATGTAAACCATATTTACAACAAACTTAAAAACGTAATGTCTGGAAGAAAAGTAAAAGGTAGAATTTTAAAAGGCCACAGAACTGTAAAGTACCAATCATTGATCCCCTGGTATTTAATAAATACTAAAGATTATAAAGGTGAAAATGGCATTTGCTCTTTATAATCTTACTCTGTGCTTGCTTTCAGAATTGGATGGGGCAATATGTTTTTCCTAAATTCTAAATGCAGATGTTTAGCAATGCCCAGTGTGACTTTTAGTTATATGATAGTATTGCTTAGAGTCACATAACAGTTTGATTTTCTTCCCAAGACATCTGAGTTCTAATTCTGCCATTTCATTATTGAGGGACAAGGAAGGATAAGAGAGCAGGGTATCAGGGAGATTGGAGGGGTTTGGAGAGATCATTTGCCTTTCGGCAATCTTACTGATTCCTCCCTACTCTGTAAGACTGCTCTATATGGATGTTCTGAAGTGTCTTGCATACCCCAGTGTCAGGAAGATTTTGAGGCTATTCCTGATGAGCTGCTTTATTTTCCCCAAAATAATAAAGTGTAAACACACGTAGAAAAAAGAACACATCCACCTTCTGTATCCCACCTTCACCACTCCACCACTCAATGGCAGGCATTCCCCTCACCGATCCACTTGGCTGGCCATCACATGGCAAAAGCAGATACTCTTTCATACTTTTATGTTTCAAATTATGTCATCAATAGTGTCTTTTCCATACAGGTCAATGGAAGTTAGTGACATCTTATATTGGTCATTTTCTATTCCTGTTCTTTTAAGATTTTCTACTTTCTCAAAACCCACCACTGGCTTTACCTCCTTTGGAAAAGCTGTCTGTGAATATCACCTAACTCATCACCCAACTGCATCTTTACCTCTAAACTAAGTCACACTGTTTAATCCTTCATGATTTATAAAGAACTTTCACCTGAGTTACCTCTTGCTTCTCACAAAAATTCTGTGAGATGGGGATTATTTGCTTCACATGACAGCTTTTCTTAAAGAAAAAAAAAAATGTTGAACAACTGGCCCAGTGTTTCAACTTCAGACTTTTACCAGGCAAACCTCATGCTGACTTCTTAAAAAGATTCACTTATTTAATTTGCACTAATTAAATTAGGCCACTTCTTTAAAAGAAAGAAAGGAAAGAAAGGAAAGGAAAGGAAAGGAAAGGAAAGGAAAGGAAAGGAAAGGAAAGGAAAGGAAAGAAAGAAAGAAAGAAAGAAAGAAAGAAAGAGAAAGAAAGAAAGGAGGAAGAAAGAAAGAAAAGAAAAGAAAAGTAACAATGCCAGATTTAACCTAATTCCCTTGAAATGAAACTTAATATCTCCAATATATTTGAATAATCTATACACAGTTGTTTTCTGTGTCTAAGCTTTGATGGGTAGATATTGGGAGTAAGGCAATTCATGAAATCCCTGAAAATGTTTGGGATTTCTAGACAATTCCAAATGAATCAGCAGTTCCAGAAATAACAGATTCCAGTATTTTCTTGATATTCATTAAAATGGAAATTTGTTATGAGATATCAAGAGGCAGTCTTTGGAAAGCAGGGTGACCTTAGCATCGGCAGCCCTTCCAGACTACAACCTTGAGAAATGACAGACATCATGTAGAGATGTAGTAAAAATGACCTCCCAGGAGATGCTTAATGATTCTCTCTGTTTTTCTACTACCCCTAGTGTAGCTTTGACAGAGCCTGGGAAGGAGAGACGAGGAGGCATGCCTTCAGCTTGGTCTCAACATCCTGAAGCTGATCCCATCCTGCTACCATCAAACATTCACTCGGAATCAAAGGTGCCAATTCCAAATCAAGACCCTAATGATTTCTCCCAAGCAAATCAGGCATACGGAGAGGCTGTGAGCTGGCGGCCACCGGATCTGAGAGGGGGGAGCCTCAGGACACCTCCCAGCCAGAAGGCTCTGAGACATAGCAGCAGTATCCTCTCCGGATCTGTCGATTTGGAGACCTTCCGAGAGAGAACCAAGGGTGCAGTCAGCTTAAAGTGTCCAGGCATCACAGAAGCACAGGAGGCCAGTTCTGAAAGGCGAGCAGAACTCCCCCTGGGGAGGAAGCTCACCAAAAGTTTTTCCCAAAGCTCAATGCACTTGAGCTCTGAGGGGAGGTTTCACAAAAGGTCCCCAGTGGCTCATAAAGACTCAAAGCTGTATAGGACATTACCCTTGCGGAAGCTGGAGGGCAGCAATTGGAGATGCCGGGGACCCTTCAGCTATTGCTTCCTGAACCGAGGGCAGGATGAAGATGGTGAGGAAGAAGAGGAGAGGGGAGAGGCCACCGTCCAGGTCTCTTGCCTCTATAGACCACAGATGACTCAAGCCATGCCAGAACCAAGCAGCCCATGCCTGGCTGTGGCGATTCAGAAGCAACGAGGGGAGCTATCCAGAGGGTCAGTGCTGAAGGTCTGGGCAGAAGACCTGCGAGACCCAGATGACTTGGACTTCAGCAACCTGGCTTTTGATGCCCGGATTGCAAGAATAAATGCCCTAAAGGAGAGCACATATGCAATGCCTGATGGGTTCCTTGCAGCCCAAAATGATGCCAATGAGCTGCTCTGTCTCGTCAGGGCAACCAAGGAGAAGAGGGAGGAGTCACGCCCTGAAGCGTACGACCTTACACTTTCTCAGTACAAGCAACTGTTATCCATTGAGTCCAGACAGTTGGGAAGTGCCTGTAGGAAAATGGCGATGGCTGAGAAAAGCCCGGAGGAGATGCTCCTAGCTATGACTTCCAGCTTTCAAGTGCTCTGTTGCCTAACAGAAGCTTGCATGCGATTAGTTAAAGTCGTGAACTCAGAAACACAGCGGCAGGAAATTGTAGGGAAGATCGATGAAGTGGTCATAAATTACATTTGTCTACTGAAAGCTGCCGAAGCAGCCACTGGAAAGAACCCTGGGGACCCTAATGTTGGACTCTCGGCGCGACACTCAACCACCATGGCCGCTCTCGTAAGCACACTGACACGTTCTCTCAAGAGGCTTTTAAACAAATAAATATGGAAGTCACGTCATAATCTACCTTTGCAAAGCCATACATGAACTTTTATTTACTTTGTGTGTATGATGAACAGATGTCTCCTTTCTTCTCTCTGTATATTTTGTTATTTTATATAAAATAGGAGATAAAAGTCACATTGATGAAATGTTGAAATGTACTAATCAGATGTATTCTGTTTATATTATACATATATATACACGTAAAAGAAATATCCAAGAAAGTGATGACATTTGGCTATTTTTCATATAGTTAAAACTCCAGGTATATGATGTGAAATTTTAAATTCTACCATGTTAGAGCAAAACAATGAATCCTATCCCCTTTCTTTCCAAGTAGCTACTTGGAAACCATATCATTCATATTTAGAAGTAAAACACAAAACAAAAAAGAGAGAGAAAAGAAAAGAAATCACAATGTATATAAAACAGTACTTATGTTTTAAAATTATGATTTTTAAGCATTGGAAATAGCAAAAAGACATTTAAAATTCAAGAAGCTATTATGAATTACTAGAGAATATATCTGTAATAAATTAATTTTTTGCTCATAGTATTTGGTTACTGGATGCTTTCTTCCAAGAATCCCACATATTTAATTTGGGTTTTTGCTACTGGGGCTACAAATTGGTGGGGATGGATTCTACTGTGTCAGCACAAATGCTCTTCACAGTGGTTCTAGCATTTAAAAAACTTCCCGGGGAGAAGAACAGAGGGGATGATGGGCAGTTTCCTAGGTAACACCTAGAGTTATAGAATATCTCATTACATAAAATGTATGGAATTAATAATACCAAAATTAATTATTTGATGGAAAGATCTGCTTTGACTAAATGTCAAAAATCTGCAAACCAAAGACATTATCTTCCCCTCATCCCAACTCAACTACGAAACTTAAAATTCCCTTTAGAGTGATAGGACATTTAGTAAAGTATTTGCAAACTTAAAAAAAGGAACATTTAATGATCATCAAAATTAAGTACAGATTCAGTAATGTAGACCAGACCACACACCAGCACCTGTGAGTCTCATCTCAGATCACAGCTCTCAGCATAGGGCTTCATGCATCACCGCCTCTACAGAGGCTAAGGCTGCCAGTCAAATTTGGAATTATAGCGTAGTACTGGGACAAAATCTCAAATCTTGGATGTTCCAGAAAATCAGGGAGAGATGGCTACTGTAATCATGGGAGCCATGAGTAAATAGTTAAGTATTTATTAAATAAATACTTAATCTGGATTGGCTGATAAAAATATGAAATCTGAAAAAAAAAAGAAAGAAATGGAAGTGGTATATTTGACCAGTTCAAGTGAAACCAATGGAATGCAAAGAACTTTCCAGGACTGTCACATCTCTAAAAGTACCCTGCAGTCATAAAATAAAATCGATATGTATATATGTATTTCCTGGGTCATTCAGTGCTCAAGTTACATGCACTCCTACTTAGACAGGTGGCTCCTTAAGAACATGATGGGAGTACACCAGGTGCAAATATTTCTACTTTTGTAGCCTGCTGAGAAGGAGTCATAACACAGTCCACAATTGCAATCTCTCTCTAGTCAGCCATTCCACAGGGACTCAACAACAAAAGCCGCACGTGGTTATGGATGGCAGCAAAGGAAAGGAGTTTAGGTGTGTGTTATTATAAATAATGTTTAACTAAATAATAAAACATTATTTCATTACAATTATAATTATAAATATTGGTGTTTTGATATTGAGAGATATTAGTGGTGTTTACTGTGGAAAATCTTAGTAAATATCATTCTGTGTACTAAAATCCTAACCTATTAATAGGATGTGTGCCCTATGTCAGACAGTGTGCTAAGCATATTAACTATATTATCTCATTTAATCATCACAACAATCTGCTGGTTTGGACACTATTCTCTCTGGAGGCAATATGGATGAGTTCTTACGGATATGGGGTTTGGGGTCAGAAACATCTTGATTAAAATTTTGACTCTGCCATTTTCTAGCCCTTTTATGTTGGGAAAGCTACTTTTTCTAGTCTCAATTTCCTCATAATAAAATGAAAATCAATTATAAGATCGATTTCCATAGGGTTGTCATGAGTTTTGAGTAAAAATGTGTATGTAAAGTTCTTACCACAATACCTGGCAGAGAGTAAGTATTCAATTAATGTTAGCTATTATTATCATCATAATCGTTGTGTTAAATATATTGCCCAAGATAATATGTGGGGGAATGTTTGTTTTATATGCATATTGTATCCTGACTGTGTGCAGAACACATTATGTGTATTGCATATATGTAAAAGAAGTGTACAAGGAAGTGGCCATCCTTGTTCAAGTTACGTATCTAGTTAGAACAACTTCCCAGTCCATTGGAGTTCTTTGAGAAGCCTCAGGGAAGTAGCTCTGGGTCCTTCTAATCAACCTCCCATTACTGCGCCAGTAAGTTTCTGTTTCTTATAAATAAACTCTTTGCTATTCAGAAAACCTCAAGGGGCCCCCACATTCACTAAGCATGGGGCTCCTAACTGGGGTCCAGGTCCATAGAGTGTAGGAAGAACATATTAGAACAATACTTGTGCTTATTTTTATCTAGCTTTTTTATGTTTGTGTATGTTTTATAATGGCATAATAGTACAATGGTACATGTACATAATTTTAAATAAATAAATGAATGAATGAATAAATAAGCATATGCCTGGTGCATGCATGTGACAATATTGTCGCAGGTAGGGTTGCATTCACTGAAATCTGGAGAGCACTGAACTGGAGAATAAACCTTCCTTATACTCACGGTTCTTTATGTTTAGTCCCCAGTCTACTTTGCCAAGTTTATCTCCTACCATTTTTATTAATCTTTTATCACAAATCTTTCAAACAAAAGTAGACACAATCGTATGAATTCATGTGGACTCATTACCTACCGATTCATGTCTAATCTTATTTTCTGTATTTCTACCCACCTCCTCTCCCACTGTATGATTTACAAGCAAGTCCCAGACATCATAGTGCTTAGCCCATGAATATTTCAGTAAGAATATCCTGTGAGAACTTTTAAACATAACCACAATGACGTTTTTGCATTTTAAAAATTGGGAATTCCTTAATATTATCAAATAAACATTACAGAAATAAATGATGGAGAAAGTAATAATCCCCTTAAACCCAACTTCCAAAGATAACCATTGTCCACAATTTAGGGGCTCTTCATTCCATCCTTTACTGTATTATATAGTAAAGTTATTTGTATTTTATTGGTTTATGAGCTTTGCTTTTGGCTCAGAGAGTTGTTCTGACCACAGTTGCCCTCGTACCTAAGTGTCAGTCCCAGCCTATTTCACATAAGTGAATTCGTCAGAAGGGATATGATTGATGTGGAAGGACAGAGTACTCAGATCAACAACCACACAGCATTAGCTTCAAGAAAAAAAAAATCAAAAAATGAATGCAATTGCCGAGACATTAAAATTAACACAGATCCCACTAACCTTAAGCTCAGCAGAAATTAGTCTAATCACAAACGAAATTATTTTCCAGAAAAGCCTGAAATCCCTAGCTATAGCAATACTACAATGGCTCAATTCCTTTTGCTATAAATTTTATCTTTCATTATGATTTCTCTTAGGAAAGAAAATCTTCATTTGTTTATGTTCTGCTTTCATATAGTTCTAAATGCCAGTAATTAATTCTCTGAGTGTTACTTCTGAGTGACCCAGGACAGTGCTCTAATTTATCCTGCCTGGATTATCCTTGATTTGGCAGTGGGGGCGGGTTATCACCCTTCAAAATTGTGCAGTTTTTGAAATGGAAAACAAATCACCTATGTTCAGGTAATTCCTTATCTTTTCCAAACATTTAGAAACCTTCATGGGGATCAAAATACATTAATATTGCCAGGCACAGTGGCATGTGCCTGTAATCCCAGCTACTTGGGAGGCAACACAGAAAGACTTCATTTCAAAAAAAAGAAAAAAAAAAGACTAAAAACAGAAGGAAAAAGTTGCATCAATATTACATTGTCTGTAACCTGATTTTGTCTTTGCTTTGAAAGTGGTCAATTTTGATTTGTGTAGATAGTGATGTGTGTGTGTGTGTGTGTGTGTGTGTGCGCGCGCGTGCCAATGGGTCTGTAAGACTAGCTATCAGTTTGGTTTTATAGATTTCAGTACTAGCTCCCCCTCTAGCAATGCAAAGACTACGAAAAATAAATTTGTATGTAACATCCCAAATCTTCTTTTAAAGTCAGGTTGCAGCAATAGCTTTTCAGCTTTGACAGATCAAAGATTAAGAACTTCGCCTTTTGAACTGAATTTTTATTCATAACAATTTGAATATCATTAAATTGGATACTTTTTATTTATTCCACCTATACCCTGGCCACCCATCTCACTTTTTAATTCCAAAGCCTATACATAGAAAATCCACAGAAGAACAATCTGTATCTCTATCAAATATTTGTTGCTACACAAAATAATGGAATGGCTTAAATCCTACATCACTGAAAGAAATAGATAATCAAATATCCAAAGTAACTTACTGCACCATTCAACTTCAAATTAACCAGCTGCCTTCCGTGAAACTGTCTATATTTATCAATGCATCTTAATTTTCTATTACACATTAATTTCAAAGCACTGGGTTTTGGGGTTTTTGTTTGTTTGAGGTTTTTATTTTTTCATTCTTTGTGTTAATTCACATTTTCTACTCTAAAGTCTGGACCAAAATTCTGTGCCATTTGTGGCATCATCATTCACCACTATAGGCAGAATTCACTTTGGTAGTGGATGTATGTGGGATTGGTGGAATTTAGCTTTCTTGGTAACCTCCAGCCATGTAATATTCCTGCTGTTTTCATTTTGATTAGTTCCCATTTCCTAACTTGCCTTTTCATTAATGATTCATGATTTCTTCCTGCCTCCCACTTAAAGGAAGACGGATCCATTTTTTCACTCATTCATTCAACAGCTATTATTAACTTCCTAATCTAGGCAGACAGCGTCCTAAGTGCTACAGGTGGGTACGATGATGAATATGACTGACATTGTCCCTGCCAAAGATGGAGTGCCTATTCTAGAATTGGCAAACCTTTTTCATTCCTCAAGAAAGCAGAGGTTCAGAGTGAGTTAGCATTACAGGCCGCCTTCCTTTGCATGGTAGTGCAGGACTGGGAAAGTGACCATGCAAGCTGAAACTCTGCAAAGCAATCAATAATCAATGAGAAAAATTATACCTGTTCCATGACCTACAACAATTTTTGTCAAAACTTACATACTCTCTTATTGTCAGTTATTAATGTATGGGGACATGAAAAAGTACAGTAAAATTGATATTTATTTAGTACACAGTAATTTAAACTATTAGAAACCTTGAGAATTAAACTGGATCTTTTTTGTAAAAATTTATCAAGAGGAGTTTGAACAGTGCTTGCCTTCTTTTATTCATCATATAGCTTAATGATATAGATAAGCATTCTTCTTCTATGCCTTTGGCAAATTGTCAAAGCTTCCAATACTTTATCATTTGTGTTTTTATTATTGTGAAATATCTCCAAGAGTTCCTTTCATGTGAAGTGTTTTTTTTCCGTGTCACTTTCTCTGAGACAGCTTCATCCTTTTCCTCATAACTTCTCCCCTTATTTATGTTGATGCATGTACCTTCACTGCATCTCTCTGGTGGCACATCTACAGTCTCAAATGAGGGCAATGTCATTCCCACTGTCAGCTACTTCTTTGATGATTCCATTGATGTCTTATTTTAATTTCACTTCTAGTGTTATCACTTGTTTCTTTGTTGCACTTTCATCTTTGTTGACCAGTTCTCTCTATCAATGCTCCAATTTTATTAAATGTTACACGGCCTTATCACATGGGGGAAAACAAAAGAAGGCAGCACATCTACTTGCTTTTTGCTGTGTGTGCATGAGCTGAATAACAGACCAATCAGTGGCAGACTTGGAAAGAAGTGATGCGATTGGTTGCTGACCATCATGCACACCTTTTATTTGTGTAGTGATTTTTGGATTGAGCAGCTAATGGCAAACTTTGTGCTTTATGCAATTCAGTTAACATATCATGGTAACTGAAATTTAAGCTATGTTGTTGGGGACTGGTAGATTAGCAAAACCATGGTAACTGAAATGTATGCATATCAGGACCATGAATAATGAGGACTAAATGTGTAGCATTCAGCACTGTTCAATAGAACTCTCTGTGATGATGGAAAGTGTCTAAATCCGTGATACTCAATATGATAACAAATAGTCATATGTGGCTGCTGAGTATTCCCAATGTGGCCAGTATGACTAAGGAATCAAATTTTAAACTTTATATAATTTAATTAATTGAATTTAAGCATTCACATGTAGCTATTGTCTACCACATTATACAGTGCAGTTCTAGCGGGCAAGCAGATAAAAAAGAGTGAAAAATAAACAGAATAATGAGAGATAGCAATAAGTTCTGGGAGGGAACATTATAGGTTTCTGAGGAAGAAATCACATATAAGTCAGGGATTTGCCAACAATTTGGATAAAGGAACTAACTCTGATCAGTCAGTACACATGACACTCATTTCATATAGACCCTGCTGAAGAAATTTAAATGATATATGCAATAGAGACAGTTGCAGATAAAGACTTTCGTTCATTAGACCATGAGCTTGACTTAGCCAAAACCATTTTTTTGGCCCCAAGTCCTAGGTGGAAAGACAACTGAGCATCTCCTTAAAAATTAAAACATACACACACATATATAGACTCAAATACACTCACTTGTTCTTAGCCTTTGCATGTCTTACATGATGATATGTGATTTGCGTGGATAGTTCTTCCCCAAGATTTGAAAATCTGCTGTAAAATGTTGGCTACACATTAGTTTGTGAATTGTTGACAAAGGCATTGGAGAGTGTGAAGTGTGGTGGCAAATACTGACCTAACAGCCAACATAGTGGTTGTTCCCTAAAACATGTCCTTCCCAACACAGTCTGAGCTCACACCAGCACTCACCTCAGAGCCTAAGCTTTCCTCTGCTTTTTCTCCCATCTTTCTACCTATTCTTGGTCCCAATTTCCTTCTTGGTTGGGTTTCAAGGCTGTTCCCAAGTCCACTCAGATGTGGCCCAACATGTTCTGCAGCCTAAAATATAAATACTGTATAGGGTAGAAAGGAATAAAGGAAGAGGTGAGGCTCAGTTTTATGAAAGCCAATTTAAATTTAGTATTCAATATTCTTTATTTCTTCCCTCTGTCTTCTTTCCCCTCTTTGTCTTCCCTGACACTACCCCCGACCCCACCTCTCTGTATTAGTTTCCTGTTGCTGCATGACAAATTAACACAAATGTAGTGACTTACAACAACAAGCATTTATTATCTCATAGTTTCCGTGGGTCAGAAGTCTGGGCACAGCCTAACTGGCTCAGAAAGGTTGCAGTCAAGGTTTCAGCTGGGCTGCATTCTCATCTGAAGGCTTGGCTGGGTGCAAGTCTGCTTCCAAGCTCATTCAGATTGTTGGAGTAACCCATTTTCTTGAGGATGTATGACTGAAGTCCTGGCGTTTTACCAGCTGGAGACTAGAGGCCACCCTCAGGTCATGGAAGCTGCTCACAATTCCTTGCCACAAGGGCACCTTTAACAGGGCTGCTTATGTTATCAAGCCTATGAGGAGAATCCATTACCTCAGGGAGGGCCCAGTCCCTCCTTTAAGGATTTTCACCTGATCAAGTCAGGCCCACTTAGAATAATCTCCCTCTTGATTACCTAAAAATTAACCTATTGGGACCTTAAGTGCATTTCCAAAATTGCTTCACCTTTGCCATATGCTATTGGCTAGAACAATAGCTTCCTGCCCACACTCCAGGGGAGAGGATTGTACAGGGCATGAACACCAAGGGGCAGGAATCGTGGGGGCCACCTTAGGGTCTGTCCTCCATGCCCACCAAGGCTCTTCCCCCAGCTACAGATCCAACTGATCACATATCACATATTCCTCTAGATAGATGAAATAGTATAATTTGAAATACCGACTTGAAAGGTTTTCAGGACCCACAGCCCTAATGTGAGTCATTAAAGGCCATACGGGAAACCTTCAGCCTTCTCTGCCCTGGCCCAGGTCCATTCTCTAGATATATTTCTGTATTAACATGCCAAGTTGCTCCGGGGATGGAAACTCCAATAATTATGATGTGCTGACCTGTGCAGGTCAGGATTTTATTAGTGCTAAGTCCATAGGTGAGCTTCTTGTGACAATGGGACTTTTTTCATTGCACTCATTTTAGTCAAGTTATGACTTCAGGATCAGGTTATATAGAATAATTCAACTAGCAGATGAATTGTTAAATATGCTGAACTTTAACCAGCATAACCACACCTTTCTCAAGTATTTATGGGGCAGGAGGATGAGGTGGGCTCAAGTCACTTGCTCCTAAGTTATTCATCTGGAAGCAGAGCCCATGCATTCAAGTTCAACTCCCCAACATGCCTCACTTGGAACTCCTCACCAGAGTACCCTGAAAGGATGCTATTCCCTCCATGTGTGGTCCAGCAAAGATAAGTATGGAACAGGACTCATTTCTTTCTAGATTCCATGACCCTTTATTCTCTTTATTTTCCAAAGCTATATAAAGCTATATTGTTGAACAAGTGCTGGCAAAGATGTGGAGAAAAGGAAACCCTTGTACATTGTTGGTGGGAATGTAAATCAGTACAACCACTAGCGAGAACAGTTTGGAGGTTCTCAAAAAAGCTAAAAATAGAGCTACCATATAATCCAGCAATCCCATTGCTGGTTATATACCCAAGAGATCTGCACACTCATGTTTGTTGCAGCTCTGTTCACATTAGCCAAGATTTGGAAGTAACCCAAGTGTTCATCAACAGATGAACGGATAAAAAAAGAATGTGATACTTATACACGATGGAGTACTATTCAGCCATAAAAAAGAATGAGATCCTGTCATTTGCAACAAAATGAACAGAACTGAAGATCATTATGTTAAGTGAAGTAAGTCAGGCACAGAAATACAAACATCACATATTCTCACTTTTTTGTGGAATCTAAAAATCAAAACGATTTAACTCATGGAGATAGAGAGTAGAAGGATGATTACCAGAGACTGGGAAGAGTAGTTGGGGGGGGGCCTGAGAGGGATGTGGGGGTGGTTAATGGGTACAAAAGAATAGAAAGAATGAAGAAGACCTACTATTTGATAGCACAACAGGGCGACTATAGTCAATAATAATTTTACTGTACTTTTTAAAATAACTAAAAGAGTATAATTGGATTGTTTGTAACTCAAACGATAAATGCTTGAGGGGCTGGATACCCCATTCTCCATGATGTGATTATTATGCATTGCATGCCTATATCAAAACATCTCATGTACCCCATGAATATATACACCTACTATGTACCCACAGAAATTAAAAAATAAAAACATTTTTAAAAGCTATATTGTTGAATGAGACTTACTGAAATACTCCTTTAGTACTCCCTGGATTTCTGAGAAAGGTGCAACAAGGCAAACACACACACACAGGTGCATACGATGTAAATAAATGTAGCATATCACATCACCCAGAAATCCATACAGGGACCAGATGTGGCTTTCCTGCCTCCAGGCTGCCTTTGCCTCCAACTCCTACGAATCCAGTTTCCAGTTTGTTGTCAGTATGATTATAATGACATTAATAATAATAATAGCTAATGTTTATTTAGGCATAATGTGCCAGGTATTGTGCTAAATCATCTTCATGCACAATTATTGCATCTATTTCTTAGAACAACTGATGCGAAATTACTACTATCGTCCCGATTTTTAAGAAAGGAAACCGAGGTTAAAGACTCCAAAGAACTTGCCCAAAATCATGGATGCTAGTCAGAATCAAGATTCAAACACATGAATTGCAATTTTATTCAATAGTTCTTAGCCAAGTAGCTAGTGTGACTGTTTCTAGTCAGAGAAACGCTAGCACGTATTTTTTAAAATTAATTTCCACCAAAGAACTTACAACAAAAACCAACCATCTCCTACCCCAAATTTCCACCCTCAGTTCCAGTTCCGAGGGACAACCTGTTTCATCAGTTTCTGGGTTTAGATTTTCTACTGGTTTTCTCCTTAGTTCTAGATAATCTAAATTCTTGACTTACCAACTTTGGATGATATTATGGACCACCTCTTGAAAGACAAAGAATTGACTTACTTACATCACCCTGACCTTACCTTCTCCTCCCCTAACCTATGTTTGACAGGGGTATTATTATTAAGCTCTATTCATGGTTACTTATTTAGCTTTAAATGTTATAATTACATCTCTGCTTCTTGTTCAATCATCTTTAGACAGTCTCCTTGACTCCCCACCTATGTGAAACGAAGCTCTTTGCGCCCCCAGTCTTGCTTCCTCTCTACCCCTCCCCAACTTCTTCATTTCCACCTTCTATCTTAGGCCTTCAGTACCTTTGCATTTACATCATTTACATTGTTATTTAAAATAATGTTCTCCATGGTGTTTAGGGATTAAATCTTTGTAAACCACTGCAGACTGGCGAAACAGCATGGTGAACTGGTTTCTCAAAACCATAAAGTTATCCAGAGCTCTTCTAGAGCGTGAAACAAAAAACCCTATGCATGGAAGGAAAGAAGAAAGAGTTTACTGGGAATTCATTCTATCTTAAGTCAGTGGTCCATAAAGTGTAGCTCCTGAACCAACAGCATCAGCATCACCTAGAAACATTAGAAATGCAAATTCCTGGGCTCCACCCGAACTACTGAATCAGACACTCTGGGGATGCAGTACAGCAATCTGTGATTTAACAAGTCGTCCAGGTGATTCTAACACACGCTCAAGTTTGAGAATCACTGTGTTAAATAATTAACAACTGTTTGTTAATTATTACATTAACAAATTTAAGGTACAATTTAAGAACAATGACTCTTTCCCGCACTAAATCTTACCTTTAAAGGAAACTACTTAAAACATGCACATGCATTTAAAACCTTTGAAAAATTGAAATCTGCACTGAGACGGTGACTGATATTTCCAAAAGAGATGACTACAGGTTGCATTCATTTTTAAGAGAGATCTTAGCAGACTGGACTTTCAGTATCATGAAACATAAAGGAAAGATGTTTCATAAGACAAAAGAAAGCTGAGCGCAATTTGAATTGCATTTAACCTGGAGAAGTTCTTTATATGCCAAAGAAAGGCAATTTTCTGCCCCACATTTGCCTAACAGAAGTTCAATGTGATTGCCTCATAGAGACCCTTTAACTAATGCTGATTCCTCCTTAAAGGGCAGGTTTATCTTACTGTTTCTTCCTTGTCAAGTTAGGTACATTTTCATTTCTCTAGCCAAAATAAAGTGTTTTAGGCGTTGATTTAGGTTGGATCTACACTCAAATATTTTTTTTTTTTTTTTTGATACGGAGTTTTACTCTGCCACCCAGGCTGGAGTGCAGTGACGTGATCTCGGCTCATTGCAACCTCTGCCTCCCGGGTTCAAGTGATTCTCCTGCCTCAGCCTCCCGAGTAGCTGGGACTACAGGCGTGCGCCATCATGCCTGGCTAATTTTTTGTGTTTTTATAGAGATATGGTTTCGCATGTTGGCCAGGCTGGTCTCAAGCTCCTGACCTCAAGCGATCCGCCCACCTTGGCCTCCCAAAGTGCTGGGATTACTAGGCGTGAGCCACTGGGCCCGGCCGGATCTACAATTTTCTTTTTTTTTTTTTTTTTGAGACAGAGTCTCGCTTTGTCGCCCAGGCTGGAGTGCAGTGGCACGATCTCGGCTCACTACAAGCTCCGCCTCCCGGGTTCACGCCATTCTCCTGCCTCAGCCTCCCGAGTAGCTGGGACTACAGGCACCCACCACCACGCCCGGCTAATTGGATCTACAATTTTCAATCCAATAATCATCGTTTGTATTATAATTATTACTGTGCTAAGATTATTCCTTTTCTATACACCCTATATCATGGCTGCCGTGTCACTTAAAAGAGTGTTCACAAAAGCAAAATAAAATTGATGTTCTGGCCAGGCGCGGTGGCTCACTCCTGTAATCCCAGCACTTTGGCAGGCCGAGGCGGGTGGATCACCTGAGGTCAGAAGTTCAAGACCAGCCTGACCAACATGGAGAAACCCTGTCTCTACTAAAAATACAAAAAAATTAGCCGGGTGTGGTGGCGCATGCCTGCAGTCCCAGCTACTCGGGAGGCTGAGGCAGGAGAATTGCTTGAACCCAGGAGGCGGAGGTTGCGGTGAGCCGAGATCACGCCACTGCACTCCAGCCTGGGCAACAAGAGCGAAACTCCGTCTCAAAAGAAAAAAGAAAAAAGAAAAAAAGGATATTCTTACCCTAAAGATGAGGCCTGGCTTCTCCATTGCAGTGTTCCCAAAAAGGCAGCACTTCTCATATGCTGACGGGCTTCTAAGACAGAGCATCTCTAGCATGAGCATTTCAAGCAAACCAGGCAGAAGCTGCAAGGCTTCTTATGACCTAGACTAGAAAGCCACCCAGCGACTTTCTATTAGTCAGCTGAGTCACCAGACCGGACTCAAGAACAGGAGAACTTGATTCTACCTCCTAATTGGAAGACTGATTTAAAAAAGCTTCAACCATCTTTAATTGTCACAGGTGCTTCCACCAAAGCCTCAACTTGATCCAGCATCTCAACTGTATTATCTATTTCATGAAATCGGCTCTTAGAGGAGTCCCTCCCTGCGAGCCTTCTGACTTCCTTTTTCATCATGAACCTGTTTCTATCTGCATAAGAAGTCCATCCTAGGACTTCCCTCTCCAGCTTTCTTAGAATAGACCCCATAGTTTCCCCGTATCCAATATCACCTAGGGGAATTTTCTCATAAAGATTATGTAGAATGTAACTTTGTTAAACTCTTGCATGTCTGAAAATACCTTTACTTTGCCCATATGCTTAATTGATAATTTAGCTGCATATGGGATTCCAGGTTCAAAACTGCATGCCTTGAAAACCGAGATGTCATTGCCCCCTTACCTTTTTGCATTAATTTGCTAAGTTTTGTTTGTTTTTTTGGTTTTTTTTTTTTTTGAGACAGAGTCTCTCTGTCACCCAGGCTGGAGTGCAAGGGCACGTTCTTGGCTCACTGCAACCTCCGCCTCCCAGATTCAAGCAATTCTGCCTCAGCCTCCTGAGTAGCTGGGATTACAGGCACCTGCCACCACGCCTGCCTAATTTGTTGTATTTTTAGTAGAGATGGGGTTTCGCCATGTTGGCCAGGCTGGTCTCGAACTCCTGACCTCAGATGATCCACCCACCTTGGCCTCCCAAAGTGCTGGGATTACAGGCGTGAGCTACCATGACCGGCTGGTTTGCTGTTTTTCTTGTTCGTTTAAAGGGTTATTTCCTTTTACCTAGGAGACTTATTTCTTTCACTTACTTGCAGTCTCAATTTCACAAGGTTGTATCTAAGTCTGGAATTTTCTTTCATTCATTCTGCTTGGAATTTAGTGGATCTTTCTCTTCTGAGAGCTTATGTCTTTCTTCAATCTAGATTGTTTTCCTTCTATTGTTTTTTTTTTCCTCTGAGTTTTCTCTATACCCGTTATCTAGTGTGCACTGAACGGAGCAAACCAGTAGTCACATATTCACAGGTATTTGTTCAGAGATATTGGCTACATTGTTTTCATAAAATCCCCTTTAGTGCACAGGGAGCACTGGTTTGACATTTTTATGATTTATTATGGGGCCGGTGGAATACGTGCAAGTGCTCTGCTCATGATCTAAGTGTCCCAGTGCATCATCGGTAAACTTTGTCCACCGTTTCCCTCATAAAACAGAAAGCCTTAGTATGGAAAAAATAGCAATAATAAATCACGAGGTTAATGGTTGGTAGGTTTGATTTTTTTTTTTTTTTTTTTTGAGACAGTCTTACTGTCTCCCAGGCTGGAGTGCAGTGGCACGATCTCGACTCACTGCAACCTCCATCTCCTGGGTTCAAGTGATTCTCGTGCCTCAGCCTCCCAAGTAGGTGGGATTACAGGCATTCACCACCACGCCCGGCTAATTTTTGTATTTTTAGTACAGACAGGTTTCGCCATATTGGTCAGGCTGGTCTTGAACTCCTGACCTCAAGTGATCCACCTACCTCAGCCTCCCAAAGTGCTGGGATTACAGGCATGAGCCACCATGCCTGGCCTGGTTATTTTCATACTAAGGTTTTATTTAAAAGTCCTTCCTCAGGCCAGGCACGGTGGCTCACACCTGTAATCCCAACACTTTGGGAGGCTGATGTGGGCGGATCACGAGGTCAAGAGATGGAGACCATCCTGGCCAACATGGTGAAACCCTGTCTCTACTAAAAATACAAAAATTAGCTGGGTGTAGTGGCACGTGCCTGTAATCCCAGCTACCCGGGAGGCTGAGGCAGGAGAATCGCTTGAACCAGGGAGTCAGAGGTTGCAGTGAGCCGAGATCACACCACTGCACTCCAGCCTGGTGACAGAGCAAGACTCTGTCTCAAAAAAAAAAAAAAATCCTTCCTCAATTCTTTACAACAAGTGGATTTCCTCATATTCTTTTCTATTTACTTTATAGTTTGACCATTCATATTTAGGTCTTTAATCTATCTGAAATATACTTTTTTATATGAAATTAGTTAAGAATCCACTTTTATTTTTCTCCATTGTTGTAGACAATTTCTTCACATCACAACTCTGGTCAGATCCTGCAGGACAAGCAGCACACATTGAGGTTTCAATGACAAAGGGTGGCACATATTGGAGATGGTGATTTCTAAGTTCTACACATTTTGCCTCTGGTCCGCTTGGAAGTCTCTGGAAGGAGTGCTCTTGGTCATGACACAGATTCTACTGGGGAAAGACTGAGATGCTCTCCACCAGCTTATGATAGGGAGCAGGTCACAAGGATGAACTGAGGCAGAACATGGAGGATGTCACATGTTCGGCACAAAACTGTTGATGAACTCATGTGAGACACTAACAAGAACTCGCAGAGAAGGGCTGGGCGCAGTGGTTCACGCCTGTAATCCCAGCACTCTGGGAGGCTGAGCCGAGAGGATTGCTTGAAGCCAGGAGTTCAAGACCAGCCTGGGCAACAGAGCAAGGCCCTGATAAAAACATTAAAAAAATAAAAATAAAAAAGGAACTCCCAGGGAAAACTAAGGGAAACATCAATGAGAGAAAAAAAAAAACTCCTACATTACTAGCTGGGCACAAGGGCAGCCAAGCTATAGTTAATTACCATTAAGTTGATTCCTTTGACAACCACAGAGCTGATAGAATCAAGGGAAATAGAATAATATATGTCAGTTGCATTCTGTAATGTGTGACGGAGTGAAACTACCATTTTATTTTCAGATTGATTAAATAAGAATTACATTTCTGTGACTAAATCTCAGTTTGAAAAGAAAAAAAATTTATTTTTGAAACCAAGCCTGTATATGTCGGCCATTCGTGTTGTTATGAAGGATTGCTCTATATTTTAGAAGGATTTTTCTATTATACAGTATTTATGCTGCTAAAGGCAAATGGATATGAAATAAGACATTATAATTATAACATTTAATCATGTAAAAATATCACTAAACCACACTTGAAAGTATCTTAAATAAGATACTATTTTATTTAATCTGTCTGAAATATCTTAAATAAAATACTATTTTATTTAATCTATCTGAAAGATGGTAGAAAGAATAACTAAATCCCAGAGGATATTTTTAGTCTGTCTTTGAGAGTACAGAGCAGAAGATACAGTGGAGTTTACAAGTGCCTGAGGCAGCATAGGAATCAGTGAGGATGAAAGGTATCATAATGATTGATGTTTAATACTTCTGGAAAGTCTAATTACAGTTTTAAGTGTCCATTTTCAGGTAAGACTGCTAAATTCCTTAGAAAGTTTTTTACATCACTCATTATGTGTAGCACACATTTCCCTCAAAATACACCAGAGTTCAGTCTCACGAAACTTAATTTTCAGATTTAATTTGATGTAGGTGTACATTTCAGATGATTTCACAATCCTTTGGGTCATTTTATTAATCTGATCAACCAAATATGAAAACTATTAGAGATCAACCGTACAGTTAATAAAATGATTTCACTTACTACCCTGGGTCAAAATTACTTAATTTTACAAGCTTATAAATCTAGGGGAGATGCAGGGAGTAAACATCTTTTAATTTTTTTTTAATCTTATAGAACTGAATACAGATAAAGGATAAATGATCCAGAAAGTTCAAAAAGTTATACTATGGGAGAAATTAATGTATAATCCCACTACCCTAGGTAGTAAATACTATTAACAATTTATCATGATCAAAAACACTTCTGAAATATTTCATATCTCTGTGTGATCATTTCTACTCAAAACCTTGCAGTGGCTCCCTATTAATTTCAGGATGCAGGCCAAAGTCTGCAATGTTTTTCAGCACATGGCCCAAGTGACCTTTCTAGATATCTTTCTTGCCACTTCCAGTGGGGCATCCCCATCAGACTGATAAGCTGTTTCAGCCATTTTCTTGAAAGTTGTCAGCATTTATCTAGCATGACTTGGTGAAGGGCAGGAAGGTCAGATGAGCTGGGAGAGAGAGGAGGTAGGGTAAGGGCAGCAAGTGATGCCGGAAGAGCTGCAGCTTCCATCTATAGTAACTCTGCAAAAGGTTTGGGTCTGTGCTCTTCACCAGGCCAGAGCTAAGGAAACTCATTGTCTGATATTCTTCCTCAGTGACGGGGCTGGCAAAAACTGCAGGTGTCTGGTCAGTGGCAGATCCAGTTTGGCAGGGCCTGAAGATTATACAAGTGATGGATCCTCATCATGAAAAAGAATGATAATAAATTGAAAATACAAAAGTAGGTGCAAACATGTATATTTTTATTTATTTATTTATTTATTTATTTATTTTTCTGAGATGGAGTCTTGCTTGGTTGCCCAGGCTGGAGTGCAGTGGCGCTATCTTAGCTCACTGCAACCTCCCCGTCCTGGGTTTAAGAGATTCTCCTGCCTCAGCCTCCTGAGTAGCTGGGACTACAGGCGGCTGCCACCATGTCCAGCTAATTTTTGTATTTTTAGTTGAGTTGGGGTTTCACCATATTGGCTGGACTGATCTCGAACTCCTAACCTCAAGTGACCTGCCTGCCTCAGCCTCCCAAAGTGCTGGGATTACAGGCGAGAGCCATCACACCCGGCCAACATCTATATTTATTTAGAATGGGAAATAATTGCAACGAAACTCAGTTAAGAATTTCGTATGTAGGGCAAGCATCACAAAAATCTATAAAGTAACAGATGGCTTTTATGAATTAACTGCCTGACGAATTGCTCTAACACCTTTTTTTTGGCGGGGGGGCCACAATCCTTTGGCTTTATACTCTTTAATTGCCTCTCCATGACTTAGAAAAATATCTTTCAGTTGTGCAACTCATTACCAGTAAGGTCATACAAGCTTTTTACAACTGTCAAATTTGGGAAGACTTCTATCAAGTTTCTTGATATGTAAGCTATAATATTTGGGGGCATTTCAAGGGTTCTTGCACAATGACTAATCTTAAATGTTCTTGAATTGACAGCTCTCATTAACCAGTTAGTTGTCAATGTCTTCATTGTAGTAGCATATTATGAATTTTATGGTTTCTTTTTCAATAATTGGTATGAAATCACTGACAAATAAAATTGTAAAGTGTATAGTTTGTTTCTGATGGGAGAGAATTTCCATTCTGAGTAGTTGAAAATGAAAAGCAAATCTCCTGCTTACAGTTTTACACATTTAAGTAATTGGAAGGATTTTGCTACACACTAGCTTTGGGCTTCATATATTCCATGCTTTATTTTCTCTTTGCTACTCACATACTTTTGATTTTGGGGCAGTACACAAGTTTGTATTGAGATAGAACTTTTACCACTACAATTTCTTGTCACACCACCAGGTAGGTTGACTCACTGGGTGATAGGAATATTCTCAGAAGCTAGTCCTACACCAGAATGACAAGCAATAACTTAACTGCACACAAAAGTGACTCTAAATCACATAAATACACCCCACTATGCCCAGGCTACATGTATTCATGATTTAACTTCCACTTAACCATTTCCCAAAAATGCCCACAGTTGCCACAACACTACCTAAAATGAGGGGAAAAGTAACAGAGGGGAAGTTAGAGTGAAAAAAATAGCCATCATGTTAACCATCTCCAGTTAAAATATCTTCCTGCTGCGATTTTCTTGCAAAAATTGATGACCATTTGAATGCATTACTGCAGGCTTTGGAAGAGATCCACGCAAGTGAGGGCCTCTGAAGCTTAAGCCTCCTTAGCTTCACAGAGGAAAAATCAATGACATCCATGACCTAGTCTTAGAAGCACACGCCATCACTCCCACCAAATTCTATTGGTTACAAGAATCAACTCTGATATAGTGTGAAAGGGACCTATACAGATGCATGAATTTTAGGAGGCAAGGATCATCAGGGGCCACCTTGGAAGCTGTGTACTACACAGGGTGATCTTGAACTAGCTACTTCACCTCTATGCATCATGGAATTTTGAGTGCTATTTTATTTGCTATTGTTATCATAGATTGACATATGCAAAATTAATTTCCCTGAAGCCAATTATTTTAAGGGTGGATTGTCTAATAAACAAGAAGCAAAACACAAAAGACCATACAATAAGGCCAGGCACTGTAGCTCATGCCTGTAATCCCAGCACTTTGGGAGACCGAGGCGGGCAGATCACCTGAAGTCGGGAGCTTGAGACCAGCCTGACCAACATGGTGAAACCCCGTCTCTACTAAAAATACAAAATTAGCCGGGCATGGTGGCGCATACCTGTAATCCCAGCTACTCAGGAGGCTGAGGCAGGAGAATCGCTTGAACCCAGGAGGCGGAGGTTGCGGTGAGCCAAGATTGCACCATTGCACTCCAGCCTGGGCGACAAGAATGAAACTCCATCTCAAAAAAAATTAAAAAATAAAAATGAGACCATACCATAGGTCCTTTTAAAAATAAAGTTCAAAAACAAGCAAAACTAAACAATGTTGGGTAGTGATGCATGTATTCATGGTAAAACTATAAAGCAAAGCAAAGATGTGGTAACCGTAAAGGCCAGGTGAGTGGTTACTACTAAAAGGAAAGGAGGTCATGTGATTGGAAAGTAGGTGGAAGGGTTTCTGTAGCTCTGACAACATCTTATTTCTTAACCTGATTGGTGATTACACAGGCCTTTGCTTTTCAAAGAGTCATCAAATTGTACATTTATGTTTTAGGGACCTTTATGTATGTGTGCTATATGTCACAATTTAAAATCTGAAAGTTAAAGATACGTATGTTGGGAAAGGGCTAGCCAATAGGAGAACTGGACTGGAAATGAGGCAGTCCCCAAGTTGAACCTTCCTGCTCAACAAGGTTCTGATCCTTGAAAGAATCTTCTACAGCTGACAGATGAAGGAGAGTAGCTTTTGAAATGTTTCATAACAGCTGCCAAGGGTTCCTTTTGGGCAACCTGAGTATATCAATAAGAAGAGAGTGGCAAAATCACACAATGGGAGATCACCAGCCTGATAGAGCCATGCTTAGGAATGATGGCCAGAATGTGCCAGCGGTGCAGTCTGGAAAAAGAGGGTTGCATTGTTTCACAAAATGATAACCCTATTATTATATTTCCATGAAGACCAGCGAGGGAGCATCCAGGTAAGCAGTACAGTCTGTCAGTGAAGAACTTGGACTCTAAAACCAGCCTACCCGGTTTTGAATCCTGTTTCTGAGTCATGCCAGCTGCGCGACTTTGGGTGTCATATAACCTCTCTGCAGCTCACTTCAGTGAGTCAACTAAAAGTTCCTCTGGTTCCAGAGGCTTCCATACAAGCTTCCTTCCACACCCACACCTGCACGCCCACTCTTACATGTACTTTCTCACATGTGACAGTGCACACAGTCAGCCACTTCAGCCTTAAGGAAGGGATTCTGCCCAAGAACTCTGCTCAAGGATTCAGCCACAAAACGCTAGGATTTGGACACACATGATTAACCCGCCAAGAGAAAGGAGAATAAAGATGGGACATGTCAGTGTTATTTACCATGTCATCCTTGAATCCTCTGGCATATGACTTATATTTGACATTAAGCTGAGTGAGTTAGACAAATAGGAAAACTGACTTGGCCCCCTGATTCACTTGGTTCTATCAAACCCATCATGCCTGTCTACTGCTCTCCGCTTGTCATCAGTCCACTCCTGTAGATTATTCCCGTTCAGACTCTGGTCATCCCAGAGGCAGTCTTCCCCTTTGGCTTAGGTAGAAAGACATTGTAAAAATTGTCACTTCAGATTAGGAAACGCTTAGCCCAGTGGTTCTCAACTGGAAATCATTTTGCCCACCAGGAGAAATTATAACCATAATAGGTCCATTGCCTGGTGCACACAGCAACTCAATATGCTCGGACACCAGGTTGCAGCAGAGCAAGAGGTTTAATCATAGGGCTACTGAAAAAGGAGACAGAAGGAAACCTCAAATCCATCTCCCCAAGGAGTTTGCAGGGCTTGGAATTTTAGGGTTTTGTAGTGGACCAAAGTATGGAGACTATTGATTGCTCAAAGAGTGCACCAGCCTGGCCAACATGGCGAAATTCCATCTCTACTAAAAATACAAAAATTAGCCGGGCACGGTGGCAGGCACCTGTAATCCTAGCTACTTGGGAGGCTGAGGCAAGAGAATCGCTTGAACCCGGGGTGCACAGGTTGCAGTGAGCCGAGATCACACCACTACACTCCAGCCTGGGCAACAGAGCAAGACTCCATCTCAAAAAAAAAAAAGAGTGCAGGGCAAAGTCATGGAACAGGGAGATGAAGCTGTGTTCTCATTCCTGTGGAGGTCTTCAAACTGGTTGGCATCAGCTGTTTCACTGAAATTGGGGATCCAAAAAACATCTTAAGCTATCCTTTAATGCCTAATGATTCTCATGTCAGAGATTCTATCTATAGGAAAAATGGGGTCACAAATCAATTCATAAACAGTCTTATGATCCTAATATCAGAAATCCTACCTATAGGAACAATGGGGATGCAAATGGTCAGTATCTAGTGCTACACGACTTTTAGCAATAAGTGGGCCAAAGTGCAGCCTGATTAATGCTTAATTTTAACTATATTTCTTCCCAGAACTCAGCATGCAATTCTGGTCAATTCTGTGAGGACAGTTCCAAAACTCTGGCAATATCTGGAGACATTTTTTATTGTCAGTGGCATCTAGTAGGCCAGTGACAATAAAAAATGTCATCTAGGCCGGGCATGGTGGTTCACGCCTGTAATCCCAGCACTTTGGGAGGCGGAGGCAGGCGGATTACCTGAGGTCAGGAGTTCAAGACCAGCCTGGCTGACATGGCAAAACCCCATCTCTACTAAAAATACAAAAAGAAAAAAAAATTACCCTTGGCATGGTGGTGGGTGCCTGCAATCCCAGCTACTTGGGAGGCTGAGGCAGGAGAATCGCTTGAACCCGGGAGGTGGAGGTTGCAGTGAGCCGAGACTGCCATTACACTCCACCCTGGGCGACAAGAGCGAAACTCCATCTCAAACAAACAAACGAACAAAAATCATCTAGTGGGTAGAGGCTATGGATGCTGCTAAAAATCTTCCAACACATAGGACACCCCCCTGACCCCCTGCAACAAAAAATTATCTAGCCCAAAATGTTAGTAATGCTGAGGTTGAGAAGCCCCTTAGCCAAATTTCTTTATAGG